>NC_000008.11:6407986-6710271 GCF_000001405.40 Homo sapiens | reverse complement strand
CAGAAACACTGCTAGGTTTTACAGCCATTTAAAAAAATAAGAACTTGCCAAACCAAAAAATCCTTCAATGGTGTATTCTGCATCATATTGTGTCCTCTTTGAACAAAAATAACATAACCCGCCACAGATAGAATTATTTTTTTAAGAGGTGAATGACTTTGTGTTCTGAGCTTATATCCCATCCCAGGCCAGTTGTCACATGATGTGGAAGTAAAAACTTAATCATGATAAAAATCATACATTTAGACAAACTTGGTGGAGTTACCATATAAAGGGAAAAAATTAGCCTGAATTATTGAAATTTTTAAATGAGGCCCATTTTAAACGTCAACTACCAGGAAACCATGACCTGGAACAGTATCTTTTTTTCTTTCCAAGGAGACACTTACAGACACTGGTTTAAATGGAGGCCCTGGCCTCTCCTAGTTCCTTCCCCCCAAACAACTTCCAACTGGGGCCATCAAGGGTCGATCAGCAGTGCAACTGCAAACTAAATATAGTACCTGACTGACCACAGGGTAAAAACAGCTGCTGTAGGTGGAAAAAAAAAAAGTTAAAAAGACAAAATGATACCGTCCCATTTCCCCATGCCACCCTAACCCTACCAAGAAAAGTAAAAGAGGACTAGGTGGACATTAGGAATAACCAAGAATAAAGCTGTTCTTTCAAACTGAGAAATAAAAGAAAAATTCACCTTTTTTTTTTTTTTATAACACTTCAAATACCTACTGTTAAAGAGGGCCTTCCACTTTTATGGTTTGTTTCTCAAGTTTAATCTACGAATCCAATCTCTACAGAGAAACAGTAACAGAAAGAAAGTAATCAGACAACAGATCACCCACACATTCAAGCCCAGTTAAAGTTGGCAAGAAATGTATCTAGTTAGGCTTCTACGGTTAACAAATGTATTCATTTCTTCGCCCAGCTTTCACTTGTCCAGGGGAAAGAACACAAGACCGAATTGTACTTCTGTTTCAAGAGGTCACTGTAAAAGCGCACTTCGGAGTGTAGACGTCTCCGATCTGTTCCAACATGACCACCTCTTTGGACCAAAGGCCAGAAACTGCTAAACGCGTGCCCTATTATTTAAAACGTGCATCTGCACCCACTTTGCTAAGCAGCATCAGACCCAGGCGAGGGGCGGGGAAAGGGGCGGCGGGTCCCACTCGTAGCCTCAGGACGACGCAGCCACAGCTTCCTAGAGAGCGATCTCGGCAGAACGGCAGGAAGCATGCGGAGAGGAAGGCGGGGAGGCGGCACGTGCTCTCCGTGCTGGGTCCGCCGGGCCGGCCGGGTGACCCTCGCCAGCTGTGGGGGAGCGGAGAGGTCCGCGCCCCCGGGAGCTCGGGTGGACGCCGAGACCCGGGAGCGGGAGGCGGCTCACCTGGACCCCGGTGTAATTCTCGAAGAAGAAGAGCACCATGCTCTGGTAGACGCAGTAGAGCCGGTCGTCCAGCGCTTGGTAGAAGCGGGCGGGCAGGAAGGCGGAGAGCAGCCGCCAGACCCCCCAGGCCAACACGTAGGTGGGCGCCGTGCCCAGGAGCACGACGCTGGGCAGCAGGTAGCGCATGGAGTACGTGTGGAGCACCAGGGACAGCAGCATCTTCTCAGCTCGGCGGCAGCGAGCTCCGCCTGCGCTCCCCGCCCGCCTCCCGGGCCTCAGTCGCGGCCAGCAGGCGGCCAATCACCGCCCGGGCCCGGGCCGCCGCGCCCGCCACCCGCTCCCAGCCTCCGCCCCCAGCCGCATGGGCCGCGCCGCCGCCCGGGGCCGGGTAGGCGAGTGCGGGGCTGCGTGCGCCGCTCCCGGCGGCAAAGCAAGGGAACCCGCGGCCCTCCCGGATCGATGGCTCAGGGATGCTCACACCCCATGACCCTCACCCATCGCCACATCCCCCTGCCGGGGCAGGGGGCTCCGCGGCAACAACGCGCCTTCTGATTGGTCGCCCGTTGCCATAGTTCCACCTCGGCGGCAATAACACGTCTCTTGATTGGTTGGTTTGGGCCGACAGTTGCAGTACAGCTACCTGCTGGGGCGCGGGCAACCCGGCTCCGGCCACTGCGCATGCTCCCCAGCTGGGCCGGCTGCGGACGCGGGAAGGGAGGTGGTGGCGACTGACGGAACTGGGTGAAGGTGGGTGCTGGCCGGAGGAGGGTCCGGGTGCCTCTTGTTCTGCTCCCTCGGGCCGGACGTGCGCGCGGTCAGGTTTAAGGGTCGCTGGAGCTGCCTGGAACGCGCACCTGCTGCTCACAAGCCCCTGGGCGCCGGGATGCACACAATTAGAGCAGTGAGAAAGTGGGTGTTAACGTTATCGGAGGTCTAATTCTTGCAGGCACCTGGGCCCAGGTTGTAGGCAGCTCGGCCCAGGTCGCGGGGCAGCTCGAGTGTCCCCATCTGCTCACTGCCAGTCCTTTGCAAGGGGACGCCGCCTCCTCAGCCTCCGCTCTGAGTGCGCAGCAGCCCCTCCTGCCCGTCTCTCGCTACCAGGGTGTTTCAGAATTAGGGTCCGTGTTTTTCCCCATCACAGTAATGATGATAATTACATGTTTATGCATAGCTGAAGAACAATCCCACAAGGATATTTCCATACTGTTTATTAGACCTTTTCAGAATTCACTCTTGCTTCATTTCCTCAGAGTCTGTTGGACTTGTTTCTGATTTTTTTTTAATAAGGAGCCTCGTTTTTTTCTGTAGTAATTAAAGTAGTTGCGTGCACATGTGTAATCCATAAAAAGCATACTTTTGTAGCCTTCACTAAAAGCTACGAAGGGTGGATAACTGTTTTATTGATGTTAAAGCAGATCCACAGGACTTTTGGATCTTTCTCCTCCCCTTTGGCTGTGGTAAAAATGGTTTAATATGTAACCCTTTTCAAGGATAGTTGTACTTTAAAAGAATGCCGAATGCTTTACCATATATATATATATATATATATATATATATATATATATATTCCCGCCCCCTCCCCACCACCACCATAATGGGAGCCTGTGCTACCTTTAGGCAGGACGGTATTTCAGTGGGAAGTTCTAATCAGGGCCAGGATGGTAGCTACTTTCTTTATACATGATTAACATCAAATAACAACATCATTGGTAGATGATGACCTTTGGGGACAAAGCCAGGTGAATGGAGATCTCTCAAGTAACAAGTATTTGAAGGCCAGCAGGAAGCATTACACAGTAAAAGGAGCTTCTCTCTTTCTGTGGCTGTCATTGTCCTGTACTGTAAGAAGCACTAGGTTTAGTACTGGTGGAAAAAAGTCACAGGTGTGGACAGTGTGCACAACTAATGCTCCTTATGCTTTCTTTAACTGAGACCAGACATCTCTACACTAGAACAGTGTGCGAAAAGATAAAGCAGGTTCTGTGTTCACGTTAGGATTGCTGTGTATAAAGTCAGTAAATATGTGTTTATGTGTAAATTTGTTGTGAATCACCCCAGATTACTGTTAGTCACGAAGTTGTAAACTTTTGTGCAATGTTTGCCATGAAAACACAGAACTTAACTTTCTCTTGTTCCCTCTTTATCTCCAAACCCAGCTCCTGACTATCAGTTATTGTCTGTCCTGCTCCCGCTCCTCTCTTCCTGCGAACAGTCACAGATCCACCCTCTCTTTCTGCCACTACCCGGCCCTGTTTTTCTGTTTTTTTTTTTTTCCCTTTTTCCGTGCAAACCTCTTAGTTGATAATCAGCCCACACCCTCTGCCTCCTTACCTTGTACTTTTGTTGAGCCCTTGCAGTCTGATGACCTTTTCCTCCCCTTTACTGGAATGGTGCTTCTTTCAGAGCACAGCTGATTTCCTCCTTTGCATACCCTGCTGGGCACCAGTGGAACAGTGAAAGGTGAATTCTGTCTATGCCTTCCTTGTACAACATTTAACAAGGAGTTACCTGTGGGATGAAAAGGGGACATTCTTGGTTCTCTGGGAGCATATATCAAGGCAATCTAATTTAGTCTGGAGACAAGGAAGACTTCTCAGTGAAATGGTATTTCAGGTGAAGCTTGAGGGACTTAGTGGGCTTTCCATGGGAGAATGGCACATTTGAACGCCTGAAGCTGAGAAATCACCATATTCTCATGCATAGCACTGGAGTGGGCCACAGTGTTCTTTTTAAAATTTGTTGAGATGCCCCTTGAAAGAATGCTGTGTATTCCCATCACACATTCTTAAACTGATATTTAAATGTTTTTCTCAGCTGGGCATGGTGGCCTATACCTGTAATTCCAGCACTTCAGGAGGCCAAGGAGGAAGGATCACTTAAGCGCTTTGTAGAGTGAGGCCTCCATCTCTACAAATATATTTTTTTAATTAGCTGGGTGTGATTGTGCATGCCTGTAGCCCCAGCTACTCAGGAGGCTGAGTTGGGAGGATTGCTTGAGCCCAGGAGTTCAAAGCTGCTATGAGCCATGATCGCGTCACTGCAATCCAGCCTGGGCAAAAGAGAAAGAGTCCATCTCAAAGAAAAAAAAAGGTGGGGAGAGGGGGGCTTTTAATGATAAATTTAAAAAGGCTTTTAATTATAAATTTAAGTAGTTATGAAGTTCTGATGAGTTATGAATGATGTTTTGAAAATAAAGTGATTACAGAAAATTTTTAAATGTATGCAGTGAGTTATAAATATTATAGTGACTTAATATCCACCCCATCATTCATTTCAAAAATACTTAAGCCTTTGACCAGTTGAAAATTTTGCATTGATTATTTTTCTCCCTGAAAATATTTTTATTTCACTTCTACCACAGGATTCTATCATAATTGAATATGCTCTATCCTTCAAAGTTTTTTACTGATCAGACTGTATCATTAGGGTCCTAAGAAGCAAATTTTCTTCTGGATTGAACTGTTACTATTATTAGCAATACACAGTTTAATCAATGTGTTTCACAAAATCTGATAAGGAATTGTAGGCAAAAAAAAAAAAAAGTTACAAGAAATGCATCTCTTAAATAAGTTATCTCTGTTGGTGTCCTAAGGTTTATTACACCTTTCTACCTCAGCAGGGCAGCACAATGTAGTAAGATTTAGGATGTGCCAGGGGGGAGAGGAGCCATTATGAAATGCCAGGTGGGCCTGGACTGCAGGAGTCCTCAGACAGATCACTTTTAGAAGAGTTGGGATCTGAAAACTGAATCCCTTGAAACTCCTCATGACCACGTGTCCATATTCTCAGGGATACGCATGCCTCCATTTGAAGATTGTTTTTACAGAAATAATTGGGGTAAGGAAAGGAGACAAGGATGCTAGGGATTGAGTCTGGAAAGATAGGCAAGAACCAGATGACAGCAGGGTCTTGGGGGACACATAAGGATTTTAGAATTTATCCCAAAGGACAGGGAAGCTACTGAGATTTTAAGGAGAGGAGTGACATGCTTATATTTGATCTTTTTAAAAGTTGTTCAGGCATTGTGGAGAGTATATTTTAAACAGTTTGGAGACTATAGCTAGACTCCCAGCTAGAAAGGATGATGGTAGCTTAGCCTTTGGTGGTGACCATGTATGGAGAGAAAAACGAATCCCTCATGTACAGTGTTCTTGGAAGGAAATTTGACAGTATGTTCTAAGAATGGACAGCCATATGGTTTGGATCTGTGTCCCCACCCAAATCTCATTATCAGTCTTAACCCCCAATGTTGGAGGTGGGGCCTGGTGCCAGGCGATTGGATCACAGGGGCAGTTTTCTCATGAATAGGTATCACCGTCCCTCTTGGCACTGTCCTCAGGATAGTGAGTGATTCTCGCGAGATCTGGTGGTTGAAAACCACGTAGCACCTCCCCACTCACTCTTGCTCCTGCTCTCCCTTTTCCTTTCACCATGATTGTAAGTTTCCTGAGGCCTCCCCAGAAGCTGAGCAGATGCCAGCACTATGCTTCCTGTACAGCCAGCCAAAATGTGAGCCAATTAAACCACTTTTCTTTATAAATTACCCAGTCTCAGGTATTTCTTTATAGCAATGCAAGAACAGCCTAATACAGACAGATACCCTTTTAATCAGTCCATCTACCTAAGTGCACATCAGTAGCAGAATAGCTTTGTGGATACACAGTACTGATAAGTGAAATGGTATGCAGCAGTTGGACAGGAATAAGTAGCACTAAATGCGTAGTCGTGGACAGATCTCCAGGACACTAGGTGACAAAGCAAGTTGCTGGATAATACATGCACTATGATCCTATTTCTGTAAAAACTAAATAAAACTTTGGTCAGTTCCCATTCATGCTTTTATTTTGCTGTTTGCACAGATAAAACAAGAAGGCATTCCTGTTATAAAAAGTGTAAGCAATCCTATGTTTTGAATATTGAATGAAATGTGGACATTTCCCTCATGCCGCACCCAATCCCACTTTCTTACCCAGAGGTTACAGCTATCTACTTACGCAGTAGATGCTTGGCAATCCTTTGCCCCTTCCCTCCTTGAGGTGACTAAGATGGTCATGCAGACAAGCCACCCCTCCCAACAGAACCCATGTGATCTAGGGGGAAGCTGACCCCACCCATAATGGGCCACCATCAGTCTAGGGCTGTGTTTTTTTGACGTGTGGACCTTGAAGCCTTCAGGCTCCTCAAGATGCTTTCAGCTGGTCCAAGGGAAAAATGTTTTCACAGTGATACTGAGACATCATTTGCCTTTTCACTATTAGATTTACAGTGGTGATGCAAAAGCAGGGGTAGGTAAATCCACTAGCACCTCACTGAGAGTAAGGCAATGACACAGAAAGTTACCTACTAGTGACCATCATGTTCTTCATCACAATGTGATCATGGCAGAAAAACGCTTAAGAATAGCCTGAATGTGATAGCAAAAAAAAAAAAAAAAAAAAAAAGTCAATTTTATTAAATGTCAACTGTGGAGTACACATCTTATGAATACTCCATGTGACTAAATGGAACTTGCATGAAGCACATGGGAAGCATACCAAAGCTCAATAGCTCCCCTGTAGGAAACAACCTCTGAGCTGCAAGCTGAGAGCTACTTTTTTCGTGGAACATCACTTTTGCTTGAAAGAATAACTAGCAGATAAAGTGGTGAGTCTGGCAGACACTTTTTTCAAAAACAAATTCACTTCAAAAGAAAACAGTGGGTAATGTTGCCAACAATAAAATTGAAGCTTTCAAGTGAAAACTTGAATCTTGGAAAACTTATATTGCTCTATGAGCTTGACACCTTCTCAGTTCTTGAAGACCTTTTTCATGAGGACTGTGGTAATAGCAACCATTGTGATTTTTCAATACTGTATGATGCAATGTGTCAGAATTTGGAAGGTTGGCACAATGCAGTAAACCAAACCAATGTTTTTTAAATAATGCATGATATTTTAAAATGATGAATGGGTAAATGGCTCTTGCAAGCACAAGATATACCAATAGGTTTTAATTTAACTACAAAAATTTCATTGATATAATTTCAGACTTTACATGGCTACTAACCTTTAAGCAATTACCAGTTCCTGAGTTTTAGTGTAATATGAAAGAAGAATAGTCACATTATCTGAAAAGGCTTTAAAAATACCCCTTCCAGGCTGGGCACTACAGGTAGCTCATGCCTATAATCGCAGCACTGTGTGAGGCCAAAGTGGGCAGATTGTTTGAACCCAGGAGTTTGAGACCACCTTAGGTAACATGACGAAACCCCATGTTTCACCACAAAAAATACAAAAATTAGCCATGTGTGGTGGTGCATACCCGTAGTCTCATCTAGCTACTCAGGAGGCTAAGGTAGGAGGGTCCCCTGAGCCCAGGAGGTTGCAGTGAGCTGAGATCACACCACTGTACTCCAGCCTGGAGGACAGAGTGAGACCCGGTTCCCCTGCACCCCCCAAAAAAACCCTCCCTTTTTCCAATTACAAATCTATATAAGGCTGGATTTTCTTTATATACTTCAGCCAAAAATGACAACAACAACAGCAAAGCACAAAACATGGCAGCAGATTGAATGCAGAAGCAGGTATGGGAATCTAACTGAAAGATGTGAAAAAATAAGTAAAACAATGCTACCTTTCCTAAATTTTTTATTGTTTTTGAAAATAGTATTTTAAGCACAATGGCACAATGTTATAAAGCCCAAACTCATGGTGAAGGACTAGCCCCCTGCCTTGCCTTAGCACATGACCTTATTTGGCTATGGTCTCCACAGAGGTACCCAATTAAAATTAGGTCATTAGGTCATTAGGATGGGCCGTAATCCTTCTGAGAAGAGGACATTTAGACACAGACATGTAGGGGGAAGATGGTGTGAAGAGTTGCAGGGAGAAGGGGGCTGTCCACAAGCCAAGGAGAGAGGCCTGGAACAGATCCTTCCCTCTATAGGGTTTATTTTTCCCCCTCAGACTTCACTGATTTGATCCTATAAAGCCAACTGGATTGGGAGGCTGAGGCAGGCGGATCACAAGGTCAGGAGATCAAGACCATCTTGGCCAACATGGTGAAACCCCGTCTCGACTAAAATACAAAAAATTAGCCAGGCATGATGGCACGTGCCTGTAATCCCAGCTACTTGGGAGGCTGAGGCAGGGGAATCGCTTGAACCCGGGAGGCGGAGATTGCAGTGAGCTGAGATCGCGCCACTGTACTCCAGCCTGGTGACAGAGCGAGACTCCGTCTCAAAACAAAAACAAAAACACCGCTGGGAATAGACAGATCAAGGAAAAAAAAGCATGTTTATTAACATGCATTCAGGCACAGAAGTCATACAAAATATGAAAAACTCAAATGGCCAGTTGGATGATGCTTTTTTTGATTTTATTTTTTTTGAGATGGAGTCTCAAGGCTCTTGTCGCCCAGGCCAGGGCGCAGTGGTACAATCTTGGCTCACTGAAACTTCTGCCTCGTGGGTTCAAGCAATTCTCCCACCTCAGGCTCCTGAGTAGCTGGGAATACAGGCATGCGCCACCTCGCCCAGCTAATTTTTGTATTTTTAGGGTTTCACCATGTTGGCCAGGCTGGTCTTGGACTCCTGACCTCCAAGTTATCTGCCTGTCTCGGCCTTCCAAAGTGGTGAGATTACAGGCATGAGCCACCGCTCCAGGCCAGTTGATGCTTTTATACCATCTTGAGGTTAGAGCGAGAAGCAAAACAGGTTATGGGAGGAGAGAAGAGGAGACCTCGCACCTAAGGCAGTCTTGTTATACAGAGGAAACCAAGGTAGCAGCCCTCAGGAAGAATAGAGGGTAGGTAGGCGATGGGAAGTGTATGTCAGATTTTAAAGGTTTGAGACTCTCAGGTCATCTTTCCTAGATCTGGACAAAGGGGCTTCAGAGAAAGCCTTCTTACAGCTGTTGTTGACTTCACTTTATTTCCTCTGCAGATGCAAACCTCCTCCCCTCTCCCCAACTCAAAAGGGGAGCCTAGATTTGCAGGGCAATTCTTGTGTTTACAGGCCTTCTGAATAGCCATTTTGAAGTATGTCAAAGAAGTCTATTTTGGGGTGAAATATTTGGTGTCATTTTCCTCCCAGCCTTCACAAAGAACCAACCCTGTTGACAGCTTGTTTTTAAACTTTCTGCTCCCAGCACTGAGAGACAATAAATGCCCTTTTTTTAAAGCCACCCAGTGTGTGGTACTGTGTTACAGCAGCCCTAGCAAACTCTTATCACTTCTGTGCTTGAAATACTCCCAGCCCAGAAAAAAATCCAAATTAAGTCCTGCCTGTGGCCTGCAAGGCTGTACCATGAGCTGCTTCTCTGACCTCAGTACACAGCTCTACCCAGACCATGGATGCCTAGGTGTGCCATGACCTGACTGTCAGGACTAAGCCAACTTCAATGTGACTTGATTCTGTTGACCTAAAAGGAAGAAGCTGGGGCAAAATTAACATAAATAGGGAGTGTTTTGGGGCCAAGCTTGAGGATTGCAACCCGGGAGCATAGTTTCAAGTTACCCTGAATATACACTCCAATTAGCGGCGATTACAAGTGGATTTTTAAAGGGAAATGGGGACAGAGAGTGGGCTGATACAAAGTGGTTTGTCAGGAAATCTCTTTGGGGTTCACATAAATAACATAGATTAGTGATTGGCTATGTATTGCTAAGCTGTAGCCTGTGGGTTATAGTGTCAGTTGCAGCATTATTAGGTTAATTTATAGCTACTTGTGGCAATAGCAAACAGTTTTAAGAGATGAATATATAGCTCAAGGGGGAAGGAGGATGTGACCATGGTCTTGTTATATGTTCTTTTTTATTTTTTATGATACAGGGTCTAGCTATGTTGCCCAGGCAGGTCTTGAACTCCTGGGCTCAAGTGATCCTCCTGCCTCAGCCTCCTGAGTAGCTGGGACTACAGGCACACACCTCCTTGCTGGACTTCTGTGATCTTATTTTAATGTCTCTCTTGGCCTGATAATTAAAAGGACTAGCATTCCTCAGATAAAAATTCTTTTCTTTTCTCAACTCTTTGTTGCAGGAAATTCTTGTCCAGGAAGATAAGGCTATAAAACCAGTCAATAACTTGTTGTTTTCTTCAGGAATCGCTTAAATGTCCATTTATGCAAACAATAGACTGCCGGGCTAGCCCCTTCCCAGCACACCAGGAGGCTTCTCTGGGTAAACAGCCCTCTCAGGACAATAGATCCCACAGGTGCTTCTCACAGAATTGTTTGTGCCTCACCTTGCTCTGAGACCCTTGCCTAGCTGTGCCCTCCAGTTATTTGCCGCATATCAATTAGATCCCATACTGACACGGGATTTGTTTCGACCCCCTTTACCAGACTTGCAGCAGGGGTGGGTCTACTCGGCCCACTGCACTCAGCCCCTCGAGGGAGGGAGCACATGAGCGAGTGAGTGTGGGACCTGGCCGGCCACTCCGAGGGCCACCCCCTCCTTTGACCTTAGACTCTATGTGAGGGAATCTGTGTGCCATGCTAAGTCCCCGGCACACTGCCGCTGTGTGGATGCACATGGGTGCTTTCCCAATCCTTCCCACTCATGGGAGGTGCCCCTATAACCATGCAATGGGTTCATCTTGCCTGCTGCCAAGATAGAGCTGATTTATCAAGACGGGGATTGCAATAGAGAAAGAGTTTAATGTCATGCAGAGCCAGCGGAATGGGAGACCAGAGTTTTATTATGCAAATCAGTCTCCCTGGAAGTTCAGAGGCTACAGTTTTTCAAGGATAGTTTGGGTGTTGCTGATTTGTTGGGGATGCAATCATAGGGGTGTGGAAAATGGTCCCCATCCATGCTGTGCTGAGTCTACTTCTAGGTGAGGCCACAAGACCAGTTGATGGTCCCAGTGTGTCAGTTGTCAAAAATGCAAATACCTGAAAGGACATCTCAAAAGGCCAGTCTTAGGTTCTACAATAGTGATGTTACCTGCAGGAGTAGTTGGGGAAATTTCAAATCTTGTGACCTCTGGAATAATGGCTGGTAACCATTCACATCTTCTCCTGAGCAGAACTCAGGCTCCCTTCATCTCTCTATCTGATGGCCTTTTGTTAGCTTTACAAAGGCGGTTTAGTTTTGGGGAAGAGATATTATCATTTAAACTGTAAACTAAATGTCTCCTAAAGTTAGCTTAGCCTGAGCCCAGGAATGATTAAGAGCAGTTTGGAGGTTAAAGGCAAGATGGGGGTTGGTTAGATCAGATCTCCTTCACCATCATGATTTTCTCTTGTAAAGGTGGTTTCACTCCCTGGAGGCACTGCTCTATGAGATAGAGCTACAAAACCAGGTTTGTACTAGGAAATTGTCCCCTTCAGCACCTGGTGATTGGATCCAAGGTAATTAAGTCATAGACCACATAATTAAGTCACTGGAAACAACAAAATAATTGCCAAACAGAACTAAGCACTGGAGCACAGAAGTAATAGAGAATTACAGTCATAATTGGTACCATGGTGTATTGTTAGTCCATTCTCATGCTGCTATAAAGAAATACCCAAGACTGGGTAATTTATTAAAGAAAAGAGGTTTAATTGACTCACAGTTCTGCATGGCTGGGGAGGCCTCAGGAAACTTACAGTCATGGTGGAAGGCTAAGCAAAAGCAGCTACCTTCTTCACAAGGCAGCAGGAGAGAGAGTGCCAGCAGGTGAAATGCAAGATGCTTGTAAAGCCATCAGATGTCATGAGAACTCACTCACTGTCCTGAGAACAGCATGGGGCAAACCACCCCCATGATCCAATCATCTCCACCTGGTTTCTCCCTCAACACCTGGGGATTATGAGGATTACAATTCAAGATGAGATGTGGGTGGGGACACAGCCAAACCATATCACATGGAAACCCAAAACCACATACATGTTAATGCTTTGGGAGAGCAGGAAGTAATGAAGCTGCCAGCATTGTTTGGAGAAGAACGTACGGTACCTTTCAAGATTGTGCTTACCCTTAATGCTCCCGCACATACTCCCTTTATTGGTGATCTTCATCCCAATATTGAGGTGGTGTTTCTCCTCTAAAACCACTTCTTTGATTCAACCAATGGACCAAGGACTTATAGCGCCTTTAAGGCCTGCTACCTGAGAAGGACTTTTGCCTAGGCTATTGCTGTGGCTGAGGAAGATGCTGAGAAGACACTGATGCAACTCTAGAAGGATTACAACATCTATTGTAGCAGGATGAGCTGCAGACAAAACTCCTCAGACACCTAGTTAAAGAAAGAAGGGGTTTATTCCGCTGGGAGCATTGGCAAGACTCCTGTCTCAAGAGCTGAGCTCCCCGAGTGAGCAATTCCTGTCCCTTTTAAGGGCTCACAACTCTAAGGGGTTCTGCGTGAGAGGGTGGTGATCGTTTGAGCAAGCAGGGGGTACGTGACTGGGGGCTGCATGCACCAGTAATCAGATCGGAACAGAACAGGACAGGGATTTTTACAATGCTTTTCCATATAATGTCTGGAATCTATAGATAACCAGTTAGGTCAGGGGTCGATCTTCAACTACCAGGCCGGGCTGTCTGCCTGTGGATCAGCCAGGCAGCGCCGGGCTGTCTGCCTGTGGATTTCATTTCTGCCTTTTAGTTTTTACTTCTTTCTTTGGAGGCAGAAATTGGGCATAAGACAATATGAAGGGTGGTCTCCTCCCTTACTATGACTGCATCAAGAACTTTGGCATGGTCACCAAGGCGTGTATGAATGGAATCTGGACGAAGACACTCAAGAGGTTTGTCTATGACTTCAAAGGATTAGCCAGTATGAGGAGGTTGCAAAAACCAAGGCTGTGGTTGTCATAGCAAACGACTCCAACTAGGTGTGAATGAGGATGATGTAGAGGAGCTCTTTGAGGTGGTTCTTGAGGAATTGAAGAATGAGGAGCTGTTGGAACTGGAACAGGAATGCATAGCTGAAGAAGAGGCAAGAGAAGAGGAAACAGAGAAAAAAGAACTCCTAAGAAGAGTAACAATGAAGGGTTTGGCAGAAGCTTTTGTAGACCTCAGAAAGCTCCTTAAAAAGTTTGAAAACATAGAGCCCAACACTGAAAGGTTTTCATTAATAGAGAGGACTGTATATGGTGCATTATCTGTTTGCAGGCAAATCTGTGATGTAAAAAAGAAACAAACCAAGCAAACCACCGAAGACATATTTCTGAAAATAGCAGCACTTGCTAAATAGCCTCAGTGAGGTCCTTCAGGAGAAATCCAGAAGGATGCATTGTGGTCATAGGAGATGACAGCTCCATCCATGTTATTTCCCCTGAGGACTTTCTAGTGGGATAACATGTGGAGGTGGGATAACATGTGGAGATGGAACACAGTGATATTGATGATCCTGACCCTGTGTAGGCCAAAGCTGATGTGTGTGTTTGTGTCTTAGTTTTTAATAAAAAAAGTTTAGAAAGTAATAGAAAGGTTTTTAAATGGCTTATAGAATAGACATATGAAGAAAGGAAATATTTTTGTACAGCTGTACAAGGTGTATTTTAAGCTAACTGTTATGAGAATCAAAACGTTTTTAAAAATTAGTTTTAAAACAAGTTATAGCAAAGTAAGGTTAATTTATTATTGAAGAAATAGATTTTAAAAAATAAATGTAATGTAGCCTGTAAGTGTACAGTGTTTATAGTATCTCCATCTTTAAGTATAGCATGACTATATTTCACTTTGTTGCAAAGAAGCTGCACAGTGACTTACAATGATGCATGCAAAACAGTAGAATAAAACAAAGAATGAAATGAGGCAAAAGACTGTGAAGAGTAGGCAAGTACGGGGGGCCAAGATGAAGTCAGTGCTGCACAGACCCTCTGTGGTTAGGCACAACTTTAGGCTAAAGTCAATGCTAAGCTTTTGGAGCCCAGCCTGGGTTTCTCTGTAGAAGGGTTTTTAAGTGTAGATTTTACACACGCGCACACACACACATACACACTGATTTTGAAAATTAAAAATTAAATGTTTTAGTGGCTTTCAGATATATACAATTGAACTTATTTTATCTTGTGTCAAATTTGATAAGTTGTGGTTTTCAAGAAATTTGTTCACTTCATCTAAGTTGTCAAATTTGCTAGCAAAAAAATTGTTTATAATATTCTTTATCTCTGTAATTATGTCCTCTTTTTCATAACTGATATTGGTGATCTTGTTTTCCCACCTTCTCCCCATTGAACAAACAAGCAAGGACTTTGTCAATTTTATAATTTTGTTGTTGTTGTTGTTTTGTGAGACAAAGTCTCACTCTGTTGCCCAGGGAATCTCGCTCTGTCGCCCAGGCTGGAGTGCAGTGGCAAGATCTCAGCTCACTGCAAGCTCCGCCTCCCAGGTTCACACGATTCTCCCCTCTCAGCCTCCTGAGTAGCTGGGACTACAGGCGCCCGCCACCACACCCGGCTAATTTTTTTTTTTTGTATTTTTAGTAGAGACAGGGTTTCACTGTGTTAGCCAGGATGGTTTCGATCTCCTGACCTCGTGATCCACTCACCTTGGCCTCCCAAAGTACTGGAGATTACAGGTGTGAGCCACTGTGCCCAGCTGACCTAACTTTTTATTTATTTCCTTCTACTTTCTCTGTATTTAATTTGATGGTTTTTAGCTTCTTGAGTTGGAAGCTTGTTGATTTTTAACCTTTTTTTCTCAGAAATGAATTTAAAGCCATACATTTTCTTGCAAGTACTTCTTTAGCTGTATCCACAAGTCTTTTTTTTTTTTTTTTTAGAGACCAGGGTCTTACCCTGTCACCTAGGCTTGAGTGTAGTGGCATGATCTCGGGTCACACAGCCATTATTTCGTGGGCTCAAGCAATCCTTCTGCTTCAGCCTCCTTAGTAACTAAGACTACTGGTGCATGCCACCATGCCTGGCAATTTTTTTTTTCCCCTAGAGATGGGGTCTTGCTATGTTGACCAGGCTACAAAATTTGACAACTTTCGTGTTAGTATAGTTTTTTTCTTCTTCTTTCTTCCTGCTGCTTCTTGTTTTTTGTTTGTTTGTTGGTTTTTTTGACAAGGTCTTTGTCTGTCACCTTGGCTGGAGTGTAGTGGTGTGATGATAGCTCATTGCAGCCTTGAACTCAAGGGCTCCGAGTAGACGGGACTGCATATGTCACCACTCACAGCTAACTTTAAAAATTTTTTGTAGAGACATGATCTCACTGTGTTGCCCAGGGAGCTCTTTAACTCCTGACCTCAAGCAGTCCTCCTGCCTTGGCCTCGCAAAGTGCTGGGATTACAGTTGTGAGCCACCGTGCTCAGCCCACTAGCCCTTCCTACTGATGGTGATTAGGTTGCAGGGCCTGTTGCCTATTTGGAACCTCTGAGTTGGTGATATTAAAGCGTTGCCATCTGCATGTCAGAGGCTTTGTGTTCTCTTTTCTGCAGTTTCCACTTATGCAAAAGTTACCATAAGAGGAGCCAGAAAGGGTTGTTGGGATGTTGAGCCAGCCTATAATTTTAACAACCAGGACATCAAGGCCAAGCGAGCCACAGTCTGCTTAGGTCCCACAACTGGTACCAATGGCACTGGGGCCAAGCCCCACGACTTCTAATTCCCAGGTCACTGCTCACCATTCCTTTAACTCCTCCACTATGTCCTCACCTTGGCTTACGTGTTTGTACATATTGTCAATCCTCCATGCAGATTCAAATTTGACTTCATATACTTCCACTCATCTTGGCAGAGAAAATGGACTTTATAGTGATTGTTTTGATTTCTTTCTTTGCGTTGTAACTTAGGTTTTATTATAGCATATCCAGTAGGACAAAAGTCACATTGAAAGACTATTGTGAGTGAAATCCAGTCTTTGATTGCCTTGCAAACTAAAGTGTACAATTACAGGTTTGAAGACCTTTCGATCGGTCGGCCAGGGGTGTAGGAATGTAGAAGGCTTTGCTTCCAGCTTCCTTATGATACTCTGGGGAAGTGTGTTGCAGGCGTCATGACTGCCAGCTGTCCCTCCTCACCTCCACCACTCACCACCTATTTTTCTTTCTGTGTATGATCGAATGATACTTGCTGCCGTTCGCTATGGATGGTCCGGGCACCAATCCAATAAACCCCTTGCATTTAGCTTGCCTTTTAAAAACATTAAATTGTCTTCCATTTTTTCCTTCACTCCTAGCTTTTAGTTTTATAGTCTAATATTATTTTTCAACACTACTTTTAATACTTAACAGTGTGGTCATATTTAGTGTTCAGGGATCTATATGCTTTATTTAAAATGTGTTGAAAATCACTTTATTTTTCAAAATTTTTTTTCTTATAAATCATTTCAAAAATTCTGAAACAATGAGACCCTTAAGATTTAACCAGCCGGGTTCAGTGGCTCATGCCTGTAATCCCAGCACTTTGGGAGGCCGAGGTGGGCGGATCAGTAGGTCAGGAGATCGAGACCATCCTGGCTAACACGGTGAAACCCCATCTCTACTAAAAATACAAAAAATTAGCTGGACGTGGTGGCAGGCGACTGTAGTCCCAACTACTTGGGAGGCTGAGGCAGGAAAATGGCGTGAACCCGGGAGGCGGAGCTTGCAGTGAGCCGAGATCACGCCACTGCACTCCAGCCTGGGCGACAGAGCGAGACTCCATCTCAAAAAAAAAAAAAAAAAAAGATTTAACCAAACCATTTCTCTCTTCTGTAATCTTCTAATAATTTCTGTCATTTAAACAAATTATTCTTTTCTGTTGAAAGATATATATTTTGGAAATGTCCCCTGCCCTGATTCCTTTCATTTCTGTAAAGAAAACACTGGAGACAAACCACTGGAATGAGCCATAGTTATTTGCGCCTGAACATCAATCACTCTTCCAGCCTACGAGGGGACCCCCGTGATAATCCCCCTTCGCCTCTGCCAAAAGATGTCAACAGCATCTTATGTAATGTTACTCTCTGTGGACAGATGACCCCAGATATGTGTCTCTGGCCTTGGCCTGCGACCGTTTTATTATCGGGCTTCTGCATGTCTTTCTTTTTTTTTTTGAGACGGAGTCTCACTCTGTTGGCCAGGCTGGAGTGCAGTGGCGCGATCTCAGCTCACTGCAACGTCCACCTCCCGGGTTCAAGCGATTCTCCTGCCTCAGCCTCCGGAGTAGCTGGGATTACAGGCGTGTGCTACCATGCCTGGCTAATTTGTTGTGTATTTTTAGTAGACACAGGGTTTCACCATGTTGGTCAGGCTGGTCTTGAACTCCTGACCTCATGATCCGCCTGCCTCAGCCTCACAAAGTGCTGGGATAGCAGGCGTGAGCCACCGCGCCCGGCCTTCTCCATGTCTTTCTGATGGCTTTGTCTCCTTTGGACAGGCACTGATACCTCAAAGAAGAGTTCAAAGGTACAGCTTCCATTGACTTCGGCTGTCAAGGCTTGTGTCACATATTGTTAAGAGGGGATAATAAGGTTCCTTGCTTCCTTTATTTTCTCTACGGCACATTATTGTTACTTTTGTTATCAAAACTTGAAACTTGGATTTTTAAATGATTTTCTTTCTCTTTTGTAACTCCATGCCAATTTCTATTGTTTCCTCAATAGTATATTACTTTCAGATTTATCTTTTTCTGCCAAGAGCTTTATTATTTAATATTACAACGGTAAAAAAATTCCTCCCATTTAAATCTTTCTAAACCATGGTGTGCCTACAGAAATTTTGCCATTAATTGCAAGTCTTAAGCAAAAGATATATCACTCCTACAACATTATCTCACACTTAGACACACTACATATATTCTGTTTACATAAAGTGTTTTTAAAAATTAATACAAAAGAGATGAAAAGATACTTTTCAAAAGAAGACATATATACCGCCAAACAAGCATATGAAAAAAGTTAGTATCACTGATCATTAGAGAAATCAAAACCACAATGAGATACCATCTCATGCCAGTCAGAATGGTTATTATTAAAAGTCAAGAAATAACAGACACCGGCGAGGTTGTGGGGGAAAAGGAATGCCTATTCACTGTCGGAATGTAAATTAGTTCAACCATTGCGGAAAACAGTGTAGCAATTCCTCTAAGAGCTAAAAACAGAACTACCATTCGACCCAGCAATCCCATTACTAAGTGTATACCCAGAGAAGTCTAAATCATTCTACCATAAGGACACATGCAGGCAACTGTTCATTGCAGCACTATTCACAATAGCAAGGACATGGACTCAACCTAAATGCTTATCAGTGGCAGATTGAATGAAGAAAATGTGGTACATATACACCGTGGAATGCTATGAAGCCATAGAAAGAACGATCACGTCCTTTACAGGAACACGGATGGAGCTGGAAGTGATTATCCTTAGCAAACTAACACGGGAACAGAAAACCAAATACCACATGTGCTCACTTATAACTGGGAACTAAATGATGAGAACACATGGACACAAAGGGGGAACAACACACACAGAGGCGTACTTGAGGGTAAAGAGTGGGAGGAGGGAAAGGATCAGGAAAAATAACTATTGGGTAGTAGGCTTAGTACCTGGGTGATGAAATAGTCTGTACAACGAACCCCTGTGTTATGAGTTTACCTATATAACAAATCTGCACATGTGCCACTGAACCTAAATTAAAGTTTTCAAAAATTTACTTCAATATTTTGTTGTTCATTTTTCTTTGCCCAATATTAATTAACTTAACAATTATTTTGACCTTACCATGTATCACAGACATGGTCCATGCCTTCTTGGAGCTAACAGCCCAGTGAGTGAGATTGACCAGAACTCTTTTCTAAATTCAATGAGAATATTTTAGTCGCTAACTCTTCCACTGATTACAACTAATTTTGAGAACAAAAAGCATCTACCTGAAGACTCTGAAAAGTAAACAACAGCAGGGGAGAGAAATAAAAACTTGAAAAATGACCAATACCAGTGAGTTTCCAAGTTTTTTTTCTTTCTTCATCTTTTGCCTTCCACACAAGGGTGGCCTGCAGCATGAACTATAGAGCTTCACAGTGGACACAGAGAGCAAAAACTCTTAAGAGAACCCCTTCCTTTCAGCCAGGTGTGGTGGCTCTCACCTGTAATCCCAGCACTTTGGGAGGCCAAGGCAGGAGAATTGCTTCAGACAAGGAGTTTGAGAACAGCCGTGCAAAACTCTGTCTCTACAAAATATACAAAAATTAGCCTGGTGTGGTGGCGTGTGCCTGTCGTCCTAGCTACTCAGGTGGCTGAGGCATGAGAATTGCTTGAATCTCAGAGGTAGAGGTTGCAGTGAGCCAAGATCATGCCACTACCCTCCAGCGTGGGTGACAGAGCAAGACTCTGTCTCAAAAAAAAAGAGAAAGAAACCCTTCCTTTCTGACCACAGAAAAACAAGTCAAGAGTGCAGGGGATGGGAAGTCCCTATTTACGTTTCTTTTCTTCCTTTTTTTCTATTTTGGTCCAGCCACAAGGGCAGCTCACCTTGCACAGCTATACTACTGTGGTGATGATGGGGGCAGCTGAAACCCCAAGATAAAACTATCATTATGATCAGAGGAACCAGGAAAAGGGGCTTCTGGGAGTCAGACCATGTGGGGGACATCTCAGAGAGAAGTGCATTGGAGAAGGGCACCCCCTAATTATGTGTATGAATCTAGCCAACTCTCGAGCTCATCCAGAGCTGTGAGTGCACAGAACAGACCCAGAGAAGCATAAGAAAAGCCTGGAGAACTGAGATAGAAAACACCGCCCACAGAAAGCAAAAAGGAACTTGCCGTCTGAACCAAAACAGGCTGCAAAACAAACCACAAAAAATCAGCATGATCACACAAAGCCCAGAGCTGCTCAACATATTAATATGTCCAAGATAGAATGCAGAATTATTTGATATACAAATAACCAGAAAACTATTCCCATTTCCCAAGGGAAAAGACAATCAACAAATGGCAACCATGAGATGACCCAGATATTGAAATTAGCACACAAAGTTTAAAGAGCTATTATAACTATACTTGAAATAAATGAAAAAATGGAAATGAGTTTTCAGTAGGAAAATCAAAACTATAAAAAAGAACAAAATGAATATTTTAGGACTGAAAAATACAACATAGTGCAAGAAGATGATTCACTGGATGGGCTTAATAGTAGAATGGAGGTGTCAGAGAAACAGTGGAAAATGATCAATAGAAATTATCCAGTCTGAAGTAGAGAAAGAACAAAGATTTAAAACAAAATGAGCAGAGCCTCAGGGACCTGTGGGATAATATCAAAACGTTTCACCTTTATATCCTTGGAGTCCCAGAGGAGAAGAGAAATAGGTGTGGAAAAATTATTTGAAACATAATGGCATGCTTAAAACTTACCAAATTCAGGGAAAAACAAACTTCCATGAACCCTAATCAGGATACACATGAAAAATATTGTGCCAAGACACAATAACTGCAAGAGGAAAAGAAGAAGAGGGATGGGGAGCAGGTAGATGAAAACAACAGATTGTATATAGGGGAAGAAAAATTTGAAGATTTCTCACTGGAACCGTGGAGACCAGAAGAGAGTGGAACATCTTCTAAGTGCTGAAAGAAAAAAACAAGCAGCCAAACCCCATTCCTCCAACAATACTCTGTCATCCCAGAATTCTATGTGCATCAACAATGTCCTTCAGAAATGAAGACAAAATACGTTTTTGAATGAAAGCCAATCAACAAGTCCAGCAAAATTGCACAACATAAAATCAACATACAAAAAATCAGTTACATTTCTGTAACTAACAATAACAATCTAAAAAGGAAATTTTAAAACTTTCATTTACAATACAAAGACTAAAATCCTTAGGAATATATTTAACCTAGGGGGTGAAAGGCTTGTACACTGAAAACCCCCAAAATATTGAAATTGTAAATGAAAAATTACCCCCATGTACATGTACTAGAAGACATAATATTGCTAAAGTGGGAATACTACCTGAAGGGATATACAGATTCAATGAAATCTCTCTCAATGGTATTTTTTTTTTTTTTTAAGATGGAGTCTCTGTCACCCAGGCTGGAGTGCAATGGCGCAATCTCGGCTCCCTGCAACTTCTGCCTCCCGGATTCAAGCAATTCTCCCGCCTCAGCCTCGCAAGTAGCTGGGATTACAGGCACACACCACCATGCCTGGCTAGTTTTTGTATTTTTGTAGAGACAGGGTTTCGCTGTGTTGGCCAGGCTGGTCTTGAACTCTTGACCTCAGGTGATCTGCCCACCTCGGCCTCCCAAAGTGCTGGGATTCCAGGAGTGAGCCACTGCTCGTGGCCTGTATTTTTTATGGAAACAGAAAAGCCCATCCTAAAGTTTACAGAAAATCTCTCTCTCTCTCTCTGTCACTCTCTCTCTTTTTATAAGACATGGTGTCACTATGTTGCCCAGGCTGGACTTGAACTCCTTGGCTCAAATAATCATCTCACCTCAGCCTACTGAATAGCTGGGATTACAGGTGTGTACTACTCCACCTGTCTGTCATATGGAATATTAAGGAACCCTGAATAGCTAAAATAATCTTGAAAAAGAAGACTATAGTTGGAGGACTCACAGTTCCTGATTTCAAAACTTACTACAAAGCCATGGTAATTAAACAGTGTGATCTTGGCTTAAAGATAGACAGAGAAACCAATGGTATAGAGAAGACAGCCAAGAAATAAGCCACTGCATATATCATCAGTTGATTTTTGACAAGGGCTCCAAAAAACCCTCTCCAGGGAAAGGGTAGTCTTATTAATGGTGCTGAGAAAACTGGATATCCACATGCAAAAGAATGAAGTTGGACTCTTCCGTTATACCACATACAAAAATTGACTCAAAATAAGTCAAAGACTTAAATGTAAAAGCTAAAGCTATAAAACTCGTAGAAGAAAACACAGGGGAAAACCTTCATGACATTGGATTTGGCAGTAATTTCTTGGAAATGACACCAAAAGCACTGGCAATAAATGAAAAAAATAGGTAAATTGGACTTCTTCTAAATTTAAAGTATGTACATCAGTGCAGTGTGGGAAAGTAAACAAAATTAAAGTTAGAAATGGTTTAATTCTTCCCTTCAACTCTGTATGCTTGAGTCTTCCTATCCCAGGCACCAGACATGTGAGGGGGCGAGCCTGTAAATGATCCCACCACCAGCCCTGCAGGTCAACCCAAGGAGCCAGCCCCCAGAGCCCTGCCCGATTTGCAGGTTCATGTGTAAAACAGATGTAATGGCTTACACCCCCATTTATATCTTAATTCACTTATTTTTATTCTTTTATGCTTATTTGAATGTCTGCTGATCTAATACATGTGAGTAATCTCTTAGACTGTCAAAAACCCATCATAGGGTCCAGAGATATGTTAATTGATAGAGTCATAGAGACTGACCATGTTGGGAATGACTGTCCAGACCCTAGTGCCCTGAATGTGGCGAATAAGACTGTTTTTATAGAAAAAGAGGCTCCCTCAGCTCTCAGGAGTCAGGGAGCAAATGCTTGGCCCCGAGGCGCTAGGAAGGGGAGTGAGAAGTGGCTGTTTAGAGTGTAGCATGGCACAGCATCACTGGAAATGCTTTGAAATCCAGAACACCACGTCACCTGCCACTAAAGAAATACTTCCACCAGGCTTCTAAAGAGAAGGATGTAATATGCTGAACATAAAACACATTAAACATAACAAAAATGTGGTTTGAGAAGAGATGAAGTAGAAACCAACTAGGTGAAGTCACTCTATTTGATTTACTAATGTATCAGTGAAGATAGGCTAAAGAGGCTAGGTTGTACTGCAGTGAGAAATAACCGGAAGAATGCTGGTAACTGTTTAACGACTGGTTCTTTGGAGCAGGGGTGGGGGGAGTGGAGCAGGGCAGGGGAAGACATTCATATATATATATACATACATACACACATATATATACATATATATACACATATATATACACATATATATCTGGGGAATAAGCTTATTATAAATTTTACTGATAGAAAAGGCATCAATTTATAAATTAAAAAAACCCACTACTCCCTACTGTATGTCTTATAAGTTCCAAATAATTAATTCTCATAGAGCATTTTTGTTAATTTTTGCAGTAATCTTGTAGCCAACCTCTGGTTTCAATTGTCAAGTGAATACAGTTCCAGCATGAATGTTGATTGCTGCATTTATTTATGTTTATGAGGAAGACCAAAGTAAAATGGCTACAAAGATGTATATTAAAACCTCACCCATTTGTTTCCTGAATTGATTGATGCTTTTCTGGAAGAATATTTCCTCAAATTTTTGTGCTATTCATAATGTGGCAGTTATAGACATAATACAGTTTTTGTTTGTTTGTTTGAGATGGAGTCTCGCTCTGCCGCCAGGCTGGAGTGTAGTGGCACGATATCAGCTCACTGCAACCTCCACCTCCCAAGTTCTAGTGATTCTTCTGCCTCACCCTCCCAAGTAGCTAGGATTACAGGCATGCGCCACCATGCCCAGCTAATTTTTGTATTTTTAGTAGAGATGGGATTTCACCATGTTGGCAAGGATGGTCTCAATCTCTTGACCTCATGATCCGCCTGCCTTGGCCTCCCAAAGTCCTGGCATTACAGGCATGAGCCACCGCACCCTGCCATAATACACTTTTAAGTTTAATCCACGGTAACATTTTTCTCTATCATTTTCTTAAGTCCAGAGAAACAAGAAAACAATCAAGCTCTGGTTTATAGAGCTTGCTAGTTTCCCTGGTGTAAATACTCATACCATGGCTGAACATGGAGGTGGGAAGAGATGCACAGTAGCGTACCGTGACATGGTATTTCCACTGTGCAGACCCAGTGCATGCAAATAACCTCAAGAAGAGATAGTAGTAAAATAGTTACACATATTTGAATATTATTTGTTTAAATGTTTGTAATTATAAGCTTATATAATGTAATTCTTAATAATGGCTCACAGAACTCCTGAAAATTTATTGCCTCTTGTGAGGCAATACTCACAGGCTCTAGCACTGCCCTGGGTTATCAGTAATGAACCTACACTACATTTAGCCTATTATTTCAGTTAGCTGCATTAGGGGCTTAAAACAACAACTTATGGTTTCTCAAGATTCTGTGATTTGACTGGGCTCAGCTGGATGGTCGTTCTGCTGGACATGGTGCCAGTGGGAGTCACAACGCTGTTGCCTTCATCTGGAAGCTCAGCTGGGACTGGGACACCCACCTGGCTTCACACAGACATCTGCACTTCAGCTGGGGGCTGGCTGAGTCTCTTCCCTCCAGCAGGACAGCCAAACTTCTTACCTGATGACTCTAGGCTTCAAGTGAGGGAGTGTGGAAGCTGTGAGGTCTCTCAGGAGCTGGTCCTGTAAAAGGCATGTGTGCACTGCATCATATCCTATAGGTTGGAGCAAGTCTCAGGGCCAACCAGATACAAATGAAAGGGAAATAGATTCCACCTCTTGATGGGGAGAGTGGCAAGTGTGTGCAGCAATTAGAGGAATTGTTGGCAGTCATCTTTGAAGACAACCTACCACCCTTATCTATGTAGTTTATCTTCTGTCTTCCACATTAGCATATAAACCACATGAGGGCAAGGAGTTTTATCTGTTTTGTTCACTGCTGTGTCCCTGACACCCAGGACTGTGCTTGGCACACAGAAGACACTAAGTATAATATTAGATGAATATATCAGTGTCAAACTATTTTCTTAATTCTCTGGTTTCTTCTAGTTCTTGCCCATATATATGTATATAGTTGGATAATTGCTCCAGATAATTGCTTTTAATGACATGAATGTTGGTATAACGGTAGTAAGATCACGATAAGATCTGTGGCTCTTTCAAGGTTGGGATTTTGTTTTTAATTAGGATAAGTTTTCCTCCGCTAAGCGAATGGCTTGTCTTTTTTTCTTTTGGACACGGATTTGTTCAACTGATCCTCTGCTGTCATGTTGGATGCAAGAAAGCTTGCTCAATTTTCAGATTTTAGATCTTCAAAGCATACATTTTGCTTTTTATTCCACTTCCGTCCCTAGTATAGGTTCTAGCGTGCCATTCCCTTTGTCTCATCTTTTGCACTTATATCAAAAAACCATTTATTTATTTATTTATATTTTTATTTATTTATTTATTTTGAGACGGAGCCTCACCCTGTCACCCAGGCTGGAATGCAATGGCACGATCTCGGCTCACTGCAAACTCCGCCTCCCGGGTTCAAGCGATTCTCCTGCGTCAGCCTGCCAAGTAGCTGGGATTACAGGCACACGCCTCCACGCCCAGCTAATTTTTGTATTTTTAGTAGAGATGGGGTTTCACCATGTTGGCCAGGCTGATCTCGAACTCCTGACCTCGTGATCCACCCGCCTTAGCCTCCCAAAGTGCTGGGATAACAGGCATGAGCCACGGTGCCCGGCCCCAGAAAACCTTTTAAAGAATAAAAGACAAATTGACCTGAAGCTCTTGCCGTATTTAGTATAGTGATCTATGTGATTATATACATCTTGTAGAAGTTTAATCTCTCCTGTACCTGTTTTCCTGTGCCATTTATCCACACTTCTGCATAACAGTTAGTTTTTAAATTAATGTATTTTTGTGGCAAAATACATATAAATTAAAATTTACTATCATAACCAATTTTAAGTATACGGTTCAGTAGCACTAAGCACATTGATGTTGTTGTACCATCAACCTCCTTCATCTTGCAAAACTGATACCCTGCACCCACTAAACAACAACCCCTGACTCCCACCTCTCCACAGCCCCTAATAACCCCCGCTCTACTTTCTGTCTATGAATTTGACTACTCTAGGCTCCTTACATGAGTGGAATCATACAGTATTTGTCTTTTTGTGACTGGCTTACTTCACTTAGCATAGTGTCCTCAAGGTTTATGTGATACTTCTTGCAGCATATCTATACTTTCTTAACATTCCGTACTGTAGGATGAGCTCCTTAAGTGTCAGGACCATCCTTTTATCCTGTACTCTTGGCACCTAGTATTTGTAGTAGGTTACATAACAAATGCCGACTGAATGACTAAATGAATGAAGGAAACAAAGAAGAAGGATTGTTTTTTAGGATATCCACTATATTCAGGATTTAGGGGAAAAAAGTCTATGTTTGCAAAGTATATATAAGATAAAAACTTATACCCAAAATATATACAAAACACTTAAAACTCAATAATAGGAAGGCAAACCATTAAGGAAAGGACAAAAGATCTTAACACCTCACCAAAGAAAATATACAGATGGCAATAAACACATGAAAAGATGCTCAACAACATATATCATGAGAGAAATGCAAAGTAAAACAGCCGTGAGATACCACTACATACCTAGGAGACAAAAACATATTGAAAAACTAAAGCAATTAACACCAGAACACTGACAACACCAAAGGCTGGCGAGGATGTGGAGCAACAGGAACTGTCAGTCATTGCTGGTGGGAATGCAAAATGGCACAGACGCTTTGGAAGACAGCTTGGCAGTTTCTTACAAAACTAAACCTACTCTCACCATACGATCCAGAAATAATACTCCTTGGCATTTACCCCAAAGGGCTGAAAACTCATGTCAACCTAAAAACCTGCACACAGATCTTTATAGTAGCCTTATTCATAATTGCCAAAACTTGGAAACAACCAAGATATCCTTGAGTAGAGGTGACAGGTAAAGAAACTCCGGTGCATCCAGACAATGGGCATTATTCAGTGCTAAAAATCAATGAGCTATCAAGCTATGTATAGACATGGATAAACACTTAAATGCATTTTACTGAATAAAGGAAGACAATCTAAAAAGGCTGCTACTGTAGAATTCCAGATATGTGACATTCTGGAATACTATGGAGACAGTAAAAGGATCAGTGGTTGCCAGGGGTTGTGGTGAAGATGGTGCATGGATGGAGCACAGGGAATTTCTAGGGCAGTGAAACTATCATTCCTGTTGATATTATAATGGCGGATACCTATCATTATACATTTGTCAAAACCCATAGGATGTACAACATAAGAGTGAGCCCTAATGTAAACTGTGGAGTTTCATTAATAATAATAATATTAGCTCATCAATTGTAACAAATGTACTACACTATTGCAAGATATTAAAAATAGGGAAAATTGAGGGTGACAGGATATATGAGAACGCTCTATACCTTTTGTGCAATATTTAAACCTAAAACTGCTCAAAAATAGCTATTTTTTTTTAGAAAACACGAATATTTTAAAAATCATTTATAATCCTTCCATTGTCCCTTTTCATTAAAATATAAAACAGAAACATGTGTTTCACTGATATGACCTGTTTTCGTGGCTGTTTTTTCTTTGCTTAATTTTCCTGCCATGGGGAAGACTGGCTAATTCTACTTTCTTCCCAGTCAGAAATAACTACCAGCAGAGGTTGCTAGAAGGCAGGCATTAGGAATCTTTCTGCTGTGGAGAGATGGGACGGTCCTGCACAGTGCTCGCTTTGCTTTGACGGCCACAGGCATGTCCCTTGGGAAAGCGATCCATGGCAGGGATTTCACAAAGAACTGAGGATCTTTGTATCTCTTTGTGTCTCTGTCTTATGAATATTCCCTGAGAAAGAAGTCAGCCTGGATACCTGACAACAGGCATGAATTCACACCCCTTTTTCTAGATGTTATCATGGAAGGAATGTTGAAAGAAATATGTTTCTTTCGTTTAGTCACCACTTCGGTGGTTAGAAATGTATTTCTAAATGCATTTGTCAAAAATATCTATTTCAATTTAAATATCTATTTAAATTAACACATTTGTTAAATCATTTTATTCTCAGTTTTTTCAGCGTCTGAGATATGTTTAGAGTTGCTAAAAGGTTCATTAAAATAGTTTTGTTAAACTCCCTTAATAAAATTCTGAATGTGATTCACTTTATTCCCAGAGGTTATCCAAGAAAGGAAGTGGAGAATGTTCTTTTTGAAAGCATGAAGTGGGAAAATGTTTAAAACTATTTATAGCAGCACTTAGCTGTGGAAATCCCAGACTTTGCCATCTATTTATAGTTACTCTTTGGGTTAAAAGGGTGAAACCAGAAATCTTGAAAATGCTACATGCTTTTATCCAGCAGTTAAAACTAATAAACTGTCTTTCTGTGGTTATGATAACCAGATACTTATAAGAGTAATTCTGGAAATGACAATAAGTACATCTGGCTTTTAAAAAAAACTGTTTAAATTTAAGAGAGTAATGTTTTCTCCGATTAAGTGATTTGTGTTTGGGTTTCTTATGTTTTCGAGTTATCTGCAAATCGCATTCTCTCTGTAGCATGTGGGATTTCTAATGACAAGTGGGATTGACAAAAATTTGCACACGGGCTAGTAAATCTCCAGTGCTGGTTGGTCATCTGAATAAAAAGAAGGCCAGGTAAAATTACTGGACTTCAAACGCAGAATTTAAACCTTCCTTGGGGGAATACCCATTTCTGAAATTTCTGCCAGGCTATAACCTCAAACTCTGCTCTGGCCTTGAATATATGGCACAGAATTTACACCTATGCAGTGTAGAATATATAATCTATTGGCCTTTAGGAATTTAATTGTTTTAGTTGCTGAATATGTTTTTTTTTTTTTTTTCTGGAGGCAAAAAGACCAGTTAGGAGGTTGTTGCTGTAAAATGAATGTTAAGTGCATATGAGAATTTGGGAGAGGTCAGTGGCCAGCAAGACTGGAGAGGAAGGGATATGTCTGGAGGCTTTTTAGAAGTAGGCTCAGTTGGCTTTGTTGAGGTGTTTGCATGTTAAAATGAAATTCTTCTGCTGGGCGCGGTGACTCACGCCTGTAATCCCAGCACTTTGGGAGGCTGAGGCAGGTGGATCACCTGAGGTCAGGAGTTCAAGACCAGCCTGGCCAACATGGTGAAACCCCGTCTCTACTAATAATACAAAAATAAGCTGGGCATGGTGGCACGTGCCTGCAATCCCAGGTACTCCAGAGGCTGAGGCAGGAGAATCGTTGGAACCTGGGAGGCGGGGGTTGCAGTGAGCTGAGATCACGCCACTGCACTCCAGCCTAGGCGACACAGCAAGACTCCATCTCAGAAAGAAAAGGAAAGAGAAAAAAAGAAAAAAGGACAGGAAAGGGGAGGGGAGGGGAGAGGAGTGAAAGAAAGGAAGAAAGAGAGAAGGAGGGAGAGGAAGGAAGGAAGGAAGGACTTCTAACTGGGGGGAAAGAAGGAAGGAAGGGAGGGAGGGAAGGAAGGGAGGGAGGGAAGGGTAGGAAGGAAGGACTTCTAACTGGGGGGAAAGAAGGAGGGAAGGGAGGGACGGGAGGGAGGGAGGGAAGGGAAGAAAGGAAGGACTTCTAACTGGGGGGAAAGAAGGAAGGAAGGGAGGGACGGGAGGGAAGGAAGGAAGGAAGGGAAGGACTGATTGCTAACTAGGGGGAAAACTGGGGGGAAATTTTGCCCCAGTAATAATGTGAACTTTGGCTTTGTATAAAAATGAAGAGATGATTAAGAATGGATAAATGTCATCCTGGACAACATAATGAGACCTCATCTCTAAAAGAAAATAAAAAAAAATTAGGTGGGTATAGTGGTGCATGCCTGTAGTTCCAGCTACTCTGGAGGCTGAGGCAGGCGGATTGCTCAAGCCTGGGAGGTTGAGACTGCAGTGAATTGTGATCGTGTCACTGCACTCCAGCCTGTGCAACAGAGTGAGACCTTGTCTCAAATAATTAAAAAAAAAATTAAAGAATGGATAAATGCAGTGGTGAAAAAAACAACAAAATCAGGTTGCTGCCTCAACAGCTCATTCTTTGCATACTCCTTACACAAAATCTGACTTAAATAGCAGACATTATTAATCATCATTAATGCAAATCTGTAAATAGAACTCACAGAACTCAATATGCTTTTGTGTCAATCAGGTTAGAAAAATCAGACTTCTGAAATGCAATTGTAAATGCAAAATACTCTGAAGCCTTTTCAACTACGATTCTCATTTTTTATTAAATTCCATTCTGCTGCCTGGGTAGTATCACGTAAAAATGCAGCGTAAACCTCTAAGTGAGCATGACACATTCATGCCTGCAAACTGGAGGACGAAACTTACCTGATAACTTCCATCCACCTAAGCCCAGTGATTGCTTCTTCTCAGCTCCCAAAACGCGGGCTGCGTGGGCCATCCATTTGTCACTTTGTGACATGCTGTCCTACGCCACCTCTGACGCCAGTGTCCTTGCTATTTGTTCCTGTAGCAGCCCCATTTGAAGCACTCGTTTCCTGTGGCCACGATGGTGTGTCTGCCTGCACCACCGTAAGTAACCTCTGCTCTGCAGCCTCGCCTCCTCCTGCTGAAGAGTTGACTGATTTCCTTGGAAACCACATGTGCCGCATTAACCAGAAGGAACTTGGGGTGGACAGTTAGGCTCCTGAAGTCCTCGCCCTGTTTTTGCTATCAACATTTGAAGTGATTCTGAACAAACACTTAACCTCTTTAAGTCTCTGTTTCCTCTGTTCTGAAATGAAAGACTGGGCCAAGTACTCTCTAAGGCCTCTCTAACTCTAAATGGCTTCACTCCCTCCCCTTATGCCCCTTCTCTCGACTGGACCGAACTCTGAGGACTATATGGTCCCACTTAGAACCAGTTTCCCAAACCTCTAGATGATATCTACAAGCACACAACCCAAAAGAAAACCTAAGAGTGGCTTTAAGGGAATCTAAACTGGTTAATGAAGAGATGACTGGTCTCATGCAGAAGCTGTTGGCTCCCTTAAAGGGCCCGAGGAAACCACTTGAGAAATTTGCAGAAATAGCAGCTCACAGAGTCAACTTGGCCTTCATGGAAGTTGAAGTGGTGTTTTACATCGTTGGATGATATCAAGATGTAAAACTTTTAGCCCAGAGGCTTTGGAGAGGATGTTGTGGAATATGACTCTACGTCCTGTGCCTTGTCCTTGAACCTTATCGGCTCAAGTCTGCTGGACTTTGCCTCATCCTGTTTGGATGGGCAGGATCCACTTCAGTGGGGCTGGTTGGAGAGGATGGTTGTGTTTTCTTTTTCTTTTTAAACCAACCTTCTTTCCTTCCTTCCTTCCTTCCTTCCTTCCTTCCTTCCTTCCTCCCTCCCTCCCTCCTTCCTTCCTTCCTTCCCTCTCTCCCTCCCTCCCTCCCTCCTTCCTTCCTTCCTTCCCTCTCTCCCTCCCTCCTATCTGTCTTTCTTTCTGTCTTTCTTCCTCCCTCCGTCCCTTCCTTCCTTTGTTCTCTTTCACTTTCTCTCTCTCTCTCTTTTTCAAGATAGGGTCTCATTATGTTGCCCAGGCTTGTCTTGAACTCCGGGCCTGAAAAGATCCATCCACCTTGGCCTCCCACAGCACTGGGATTATAGGCATGAATCACCGTGCCTGCCCAGGGGATGGTTCTTTGTAACAGTGGGGCTGAGTCCAGATTGTCAACAGATAGGGATCACAACTGGAGGCTTGGGACCACTGGGAGCAGGATCTGTGTGTCCTCAGAGCCGAGGTCCTAGAGCAGCTTCCCTTCCCCTGGGTCCCAGGCATGCTCACTGATGGTGGCCCTGGGAGTCACTGTCCCCAGCTAAGACGGCTTGACAGCAAAGGTCCCATGCCTTCATTCATCATTTCCATGACAGAACTTTGGATGGGGAAAGAGGGACAGAGCCCTAGGGACACAACACCCCTTGTTATTCCGGTTAAATCCTCCCTGCAACATTCACAGCTCCCGACCCACTACAGTGACCCCTAGGCCTTGTTAGCCCAGGATTGGGAATATGTGCCTCCACCTCTTCTCCTACAGGTGGACTTGTGTCTCTGAGTAGATTTGGTGATATTTTTTAGATGGGGAGAGAGGTGGGGGAAGGACTACATTGTACTTGAGGCACATGAACTAAGGCCTGATCCCAGTTGCAGCTTCAGAAACACCCAGGAAACCCTCGAGTAGTGAGGGTTGTCTCTGAAAGGTGTCATTGCTTCCTAGAGTCCACCCCATGCCATCCAGGCCGCATTCCCCGCTCCTTCCTGTATACTCTGGGTATTCACACGTTGCCTAAATGAAAGCATGTTTATGGTCACTAGTGTTTCATGTGTCAGGTGTAAAAGGCACCAGAATGATGCCTCTTCTAAAAGTACACATGGATGGGGGATGGGGAGGGTCCTACTGAATTTCTGGGACTGTGAGCCCAGGCACAGTATTTTGGGGAAAAACAAAACCTGCCCAGGTGACTCTGATCTGCAGCCAGGATTGAAATCCACTGAATTGGAGTCATGACAAGAAAACAAGTGATTCAGCCAGTGATCTTCTGTCCTTGGCTTCACTAGTCTCCATCTCCTAACAAATCTTGCTTTACACTGGATCAATTTTCCAACGTGCTCTATCCCGGGGCCGCTATGGCAGAATCCTCGAAGGAATCCCATCGTTCACTGCACCTCATTTCAAAGCGATTTAACAGCAGGACCACAGCAATAATGAAAAGACCCTCCCTATCTTTTTATGGGTAATTTGATTATACACGGTGCTTGAATGTTTACGATAAAACTCCTTTGTATGCTCAGATAAGAAAGCTGCTATTTTTTTTTTTAAGCCAGCAAACAATCTAGTACATCTGCATGGTCATTGGTAGTGAGGGCTGTACCCAGGCAAGGAGCTGAGATTGAACTCAGCACACACGCACAGGGGAATGACTTCCATAGCCCATGGAGTCTAATGGGTGTGAATACAGAATGCGCTGTAGAAAGAAGCAGAGTTGGTTAGAGGCTGGGCATCTGCAGGCCTTGAAGAACTGACTGGGGAGCTGCACATAGTCAGCACCTGAAAATAGACAGAGAAAGATGAAATCCACTAAACAGAACACATAACTGGGTCACCATGATTTTCTTGTTAAGGAATCAACAAGTTTGAGCCTCAACTGGGAGATCAATTGGAGCCAGCAAAAGCAGCAAAGGCAGTTGTTTCATGGGGTTCTGCTCGGGTAAAGTTAAGAGGGGTTCAGTAGAGCCTTGAGATAGTGGGGAATCAGGCCTGGATCACAAACAAAGCACCACGTACATCTTCAAACTTCTCAGTTGGGAGTGCCAAATGGGTTTTGTGGTCTCTCAGTGTTTATTTGCATATTGCATATGTTGAATATTTGTATTATTTAGTATTACATGGCCATTAAACTTCTCTGAGTCATTAAGTGTGGCATTAAGATGCTCTTTTTGGGATTCATGATTGAACTCCCTCCTAGAGATCTCCATTTAAACACGCTCTGGGCACCTCAGATTTATCTAGTGCAAATTCAAATTAATAATCTCATTTCTAAGCCTCTTCATCCTCTGTCTTCCTTATTTTATGGAAGTAAAACTATCCATCTACCCACTTGGACTCCCTGCCATCTAAATCAGGCAATCGGTAAGTCCTTTTGATCTTACTTCAAAAAGGTGCCCTGATCTCTCTCTTCCCTTCCATCCTTGCTGCCGCAGCCCTAGTCCAGATGCTCATAATCTCTAAACAGCCACTTGCCATAACCCAATACATCTTTTGGTCTCCAGTCTTGCCCCACCCAAGCCATCTACCACACTCTTACCAGAATGACCTTCCCAAACACAAATTGACTCTCCCCATTCTCGGGCATGAAAGCTATTGATAGCTTGCCAGTGCTCACTAAATTCAGACAAGCTGTATTAGCATGAAATATCCAGCTTTTCACTAACTCATTCCAGTCCCCATTTCTGGCATCACAGCCATCCTGTCTGCTTCTCACACCACACACTCTGGTCTACATGGTTGGGTAAATTACTACTTCTGTAAGTGCCATCTAGATACCTCTATCTAGATGTCTTTATCAGTGTTATTACCTTCTTCCAGAATGGCCTCTCCCCCTTTGCTCTGTCCAGAAATCTCTTACACGTTTTCTAGACCAATCCAAGTGCCATCTGCCCTAATGCTCTTTCCCATTCTTCCTTCTTAATCCTTCATCCAATTTAATACTTATCCTGACTGCACTTGATATACTTCTATGTGACAGACTCAATGACAGCTATTTGTTTATCCTGGTTTCTGAGCTGCTCACGTGCAAGGATTATACCTATTTTTTTAAGCCTCCATGTCAAGTAGGTGCTTAGACAATGTGTATTTAATCGAATTGGAAAACTTGAGGGGGCCTTGATTTACTGAGATGGGACTCACTGAAACTTCAAATAGATCCCTTGGTTTTACTTCCCACATTTCTACTTGGAAGAGTTTACTCACAACTCAGTGTATTCCTATCAGACATTTATCTAAAAAGCAACAGGCTGTGTTCCAGGGTTGCTACAAATTTAGCCCTATCTCATAGACTTTCTACAAACAACATGGTACAATAATTCTGAGGTTCTGGAATAAAGATTTCTGGTGAGTACAGTGTATTTACTAGGACAAGAAAACAAAGAAAAATTTTTGAAAGATTTTCAAAAAGGTGGATTGAACTCAAGCAGGGTTTCTGGTTACAATATTAACCAGGGAATTCAGAAAACTATGACATTCCTGTCTCTGAATATCATGGTTAGCTGAAGATATATTAAATTTGAAAACAGTAAATAATGTGACATATTTCTTAGAGTTTTAACTGTGAACTTATGTGAGATTCTGAACTCCACTTCCCTCACTAAATCCCTTCAACTTAGTTTTATTGTATTAACATAATTAGATTTAGATGGAATATTTAATTTTTTACATCATTTTAAATTTTCTCGTCTATCCATGACTATATTTTTTTGCCTATACTTTGAGAATCTAATTCATTTCATGAAAAGCATGCAGCCATTATATTTAATTCGTTTGTTATTTTTACCCCCATTGGATAAGTTATCTTGGGGGTAAGTTACTTTTGGCAAAGGTAGTATATATTATTAGTTAATTCTAAATAATCTTAGAGTTAGCATTTTGGTTTAAGAACATTCATATGGGAACAACTAAATGTACTACACTGATTTAAATCCTCCCATTTTCCCTCAGAAGCTGTTGTGAGTTATCCTGGTTTCATTGGTACCTGCTGGCAAGCATCTCAAGTGGGCACTCCAGAAAGGAAATTGTGTACCAGTCAAGATGTAGCAAGCACTTGGGGCTGGCACATTCGTGATTTGCGATTGTGCTTTTCTTGTGCCAACCCACGTTCCCCTCTTCCAAGTAAAGACTCTGTTACAGAGATTTCCCTGGGGTGCCAGAGAGTGGTATGTGGCTGCAACACTAATCCCATGCCTTGGTTTCACTACGGACGAAGTAGGGGGCTACGGGACGCAAAATATTGTGAAGCGGAAGTCACTGACAGATGAAGAGCCTTTCCATCCTGAAAAAGAGAGTCCTCTCACTCATTCTGTCTTTTGGGAATTTATTTGGAAAGAACATAGGCTTTGGAACCAGAGAGATGGAATTTGAATCTCCCCTCTGCTACTTAGACGTGGGTGACCTTGGGCAAGTTACTTAACCCTTAATAGCAGGCATTTCTTCTTCTCTAATAGTGGTTCTGCGGATTGAATGAGGTAATTAAGGAAAGCTTCCCCACACAGAAAGGGGCCTGTTAGTCCCTTTCATCTGTGCTACTAATCTCTTAAAATGCAGTTGACTTTTTAACCTCAGTGTGACTTAACTTTCCTCAGATCATTGATGAAGATGGTCAAGGAATGCTAGTTCTGATTTGGGAACAAACTCTGGACATTACAGGCTGGCCTGAGCAGGGTGCTGACCCCAGCAAGCCCTATGGGGCCACACAAGGGAGATGGAAGGAGGAGTCTCATAAAGGGCCAGGGAGAGGGACTGGGAAACCACTCTGGCTTTGCAGTTTTGCGTGGGCACCTCTTTGCAGGTAATACCACTGGGTCAAGTCAGTGCTGAAGCCAGTGTAGGTGGGAGGGCCACCAGCCCCACTCAGTCTATTTCTTTTCTTTTAATTTTTCTTTTTTATTGATATATAAGATTTGTACGTATTTGTGGGGCACATGGGATATTATGGTACATGCATAGAGTAGATAATGATCAGGTTAGGTTAGGATATCCATCACTTCGAGGAGTAACCATGTGTGATGGAACCATTTCAAAGCCTTTTCTAGCTATTTTGAAATATACAATACATTGTTGACTATAGTCACCCTACTATGCCATTAAACATTAGAACTTACTCTTTCTACATAATTGTATGTTTGTACTCATTGACTTTCCTCTCATCATCCCCCACCCCCAACCCCACCCTGCAACACATACGTCCTTCCCAGCCTTTGGTATCCATCATTCTACTCTTTAGCTTCATGAGGTCCACATTTGTAGCTGCTGCATTTGAGTGAGATCATGCGACACTTATCTTTCTGTGCCTGCCTTTTTTCACTTAATGACTTCCAGTTCCATTCATGTTATTGCAAATGACAAAATTCTATTCTTTTTTATGGCCAAATGGTATGTTATTATGTATGCAGACCACATTTTCTTTATTCATTCATCCATTGGTGGACACTTAGTTTAGTTCTATATCTTTGCTACTGTGGAAAGCACAGCAGTAAACATGGCAGTACTTTGATATACTGATTTCTTTTCCTTTGCATAAATATCCAGTAGTGGGAATGCTGGATCGTTTGGTAGTTCTATTTTTAGTTTTTTTGGGACATCTCTATACTGTTTTCTGTACAGGGTTCCCTTTTCTCCATATTTTTGCCAGCATCTCTACTTTTTTATAATAGCCATTTTAACTTGGATGAGATGATATCTCATTGTGGGTTTGATTTGCATTTCCCTGATGATTAGTGATGCTGAGCATGTTTTCATGTACCTGTTGGCTATTCGTGTGTCTTCTTTTCAGAAGTGTCTATTCAGATTCTTGGCCCAGTTTTTAATGGAATTATTTTTGTTGTTGTTGAGTTGAGTTCCTTGTATATTCTGGGTGTTAGCCCCTCATCAGGTGAAGTTTGGCCAATATTCAAATGATCAGAGACAGGTTGTCTCTTCACTTTGTTGTTTTCTTTGAAGTACCTAAGCTTTTTAGTTTAATATAGTCCCATTTGTCTATTTTTGATTTTGTTGCTTATGCTTTTGAGGTCTTAACCATAAACTCTTTGCCTAGACCAACATCCTGGAGTGTTTCCCCTGTTTTCTTCTAGAAGTTTTCTAATTACAGGTCTTAGGTTTGAGCTTCTTTTAAACCAGTTTGATATCTACAAATATCTTCTAATAAGACAAGAACTTTACTATGCTCTCATATCTTTTGTTCTTGCCATCTTCTGCCAACCCATTAATATTGGCATTAACTAACTTTTAATTCTTAGTTGTAAGGATGTATTTTTTCTTGTTAGTCTTATCAATTTGTAAAGATAACAACTCTACTAAGGTATAAAGTCATTTTTCCTTCAAGAATTTCTTGGAATATCTCTTGAATTTCCTTCACTTTTTAGTTAGTTTTTCAAAACTATTTTCAATGTGACCTTTTCTACAAAATCTTGAAAGCACTTGTATGCCTGAGGAAATTCATCATCTCATCTTATTTGAATGATAGTTTGGCTGGATATAAAATTCTACATTTTTAAGTTCTTTTCCATCAGTATGTCGAAAATAAGATTCCAGTTATCTTGCATCCATTGTTGCTGTTAACAAAGATGATATCAAGCTGATTCTTGTTCTTTCATATAGCCTCTTTCTTTCTTTCTTTCTGTGGGCTTTTAGAATTTCTCTGTTTTTTTCATGCTCTTACATTTCAGTTTAGTACGTGTAGGTGAGGTTTTCCTTATTCTCTTTTGTGGTGCTCTACGAGTCCTTTAAATCTGAGGTCAGTCTTTTCATTCTGGGAAACTGATCTGAACTACTTCTTCAAATATTTTCCCCTCTTCACTTTTTCACTCTTGTCTGAGCTGCCTATTACTTATCTGAATGTTTACGTTTCTTTTTTATTCTCATATTGCCTTAAAATTTCACCCCTACTTAATCTGTCCTGTCCTTTCTCCCTTTAAGTCTGTTCCAGTCTTTGTGATCCAAATCTTATATTTCTTCCAATGAAGAGAGGAGAGAAAGAGAAGAACTTAAGTGTTTTCTTGCATCTTCAACCTCTCCCTGCCCTTTGTATTATTTATATGGTGCCTCATTGAGTTGCAGGCACAGGGGATGTCCCTGTATCTCTGACAAACACTGATAGAGAGCTGAGGATGCAGGACCTCAGATCCCATCCCACCTCTGCCATTCTAGGACTAACAGACCCCTTGCTACTTTTCTGGGTCTCATTGGAAGAAGGGACTCATTTACCCTTTGTCTTCCCCACTCGCCTGGGTGCACTCAAAAGACCTGAAGCTCTTTCTGAGGCAGTGGCTCAGTGGTTGGGGGAGCTGAAAAGGGTTGGGCATCTTGCAGCCAAGTTGGCGGGTGGACTTCCCATGTACCACAGTAGCCCCAGTGCTGGGGGTTCGGGGGCACTGGCCTAGCATACACCACACTTCTTTTCCCAGGCACATCACTCTTAGCCCTCAGAGAGCTTCTTTTATCCCCTTCAGACCCTGGCTGTGGGAGAGGTTGTCCTTGCAGAGGTTGTCCTGGCAACCTTTGCCCCCATGGAGTGTGTCATGCCTTTGCTGGCATCACCTCCCCTGTAAAGTCATAGCTGCACTGCTTCTTGGAGCGCTTGGCCACATGAACCTCACTGTGCCTCTGCAGGGGTGTGGAGGAAACTAGAAAGAGGCCTTGGGCTACCCATATTCCAGGCTGGAAAACACGAGGGCATCCTGGCAGCCACACTGCCGACCTGGGATCCTGAGGCCTGTGTCTCTACCTACCCATTGTTCCTCGGGCATTGGGAACACCCATATTCTGGAACACTTTCCTAATCCACTTCCTTTTCTACTGCAGAAGCCCTGATTCCTCCCACATCCACTCCCTCTGCTCTCTTTTCTTCCTAGGGCCACTGCAACCTGGCTCCATTTCTTAATCCCCCAAGTCTTAATCCTCTCAAGCTCTGCCATCCCAGTGGTCCCCCGAATGGGAGCAGCCAGGACATTGGAAGTATTTGAGCTAAAACTGAATATTTTATCAGAAGTTTGAACTCTGGGTGGGGAGGCAAGAATGATTGACCTGGGTGAAATGTTCGGTCCCTCCCAATCTTCAGATGCTTGGAGGATCTGCAGGTCATCCTGTGGGAATTGCCTTTTCTCCCTCCACCCTGCACCACCCTCCACCCCCGACCCCCTGCCCAGCCAACTATGGCCCCTATGTCTGCCCCTAAGAATGGGGGGCCCTGGCCCACTATGGCCCCTATGTCTGCCCACTGACTGGCTGCCCTGCAGGCCAGTGGGGTTCAGTTATTGCCTGACTGCTTCCTTTTCTTGCTCCCTCTAAAGGGTGTGGGTGGAGCTGCAGAGAGAAGGTGCCTTTCTTGTGGGGAGGCCACAGACCCTCCTCCCAACTCGACACAGTGTCCACCCAATGGGACCAGCTCCTCCCATCTCCACACCCTCCCTCAGGCCAGTAGTCAGTTTAGGAGAAAGTCTAAATGGCCTGGCAAAAAAATGGAGGAGGCCTAGGTTAATTATCCAGGGCCCTGTGGGCTATGTCTTATTGGAAAAAATGGCTAAGAAAAACGGATAATCTACAGCATTTTTTTATCATTTATTTCAAATATACAGCACCTCAATTATGCTATGGATAATAGTTATATAATGGTCAGGCCAGGAAGCCAGTACCCGCTGAGACAGTGTTTCTGTAGAATCCCAAATGCTTGGTTCATTGACTTATATAACACCCTGTAATTTGGGGGCTGTTGGTGTTTTGTAACTGTTGAGATGCAGAAATGAGTGATTTCTTTTGAATTCTTTTACTTCTAGGCAGCAGTCTGTCAACAACTATGGCATCCAGCTGGTCAGAAAGACTAGAGGATTTGACATTTTGCGGCTGTTCTCTAGAACCAAAGAAATGAGAACCTCTTGGTAAAATCCGCTGGTCCAGGAGTTATTATCTCCTGGATTATCTGCCAAAGAAATTATCTGCCAAAATTACAATGTAAAACTGAAGAAGACAACCGATAACTCAGTTAAAATTTTGGAAAAATACAAAGAAACTGTGACTGGGGAGAAATGGTGAGGGAAATTTTCTCGTTGAATTAGAGGATCAGGAGGGCTAAAGGGAGCCCTCATGCTATCAACCAAAATCTCTGTTAAATTCCAAACATAAAATATCTTTTCTCACTGTTAAAATGTCTAAGCAGTCTCCACTAGCAGCCCCCGTCCTGGACACAGGAGCACTGCCCTGCCTGGCCGTCAGGTGCTCCCATAAGCATCATTCAGACAGCGAGGGGGGCAGTGGAGGATTCGGGGGCAGGAGATGGGGTGGTGGAGAGAAGGATGTAACCATCAAAAGTCCATTTTCCCTGCTGAAGCTACCCATGGAACTTTTAAATTGGGTGCAGATTTAAAAATTAATACAAAATATTTGAATAATCGGGGATGTATCAAATGTTCATAAATTACAGCTCCAACTAGGAATGCCTAAGGAACTGTTCCTTCCGTTTAATTGTCCTCTTTGTCTATCAAAAAGACAGCCACTCGCGTGCCTCTTCTAAACAGTCAAATACCATCCTAAGCTCTCATGGAAAATCTCAAGAGGCTTATTGGTTGACTAATTCTAAACCTCTGTTTGCTCAAAGGACAGTGTCAGCTACAATTTTTCATTTGCTTTTGTATTCCATTTATTTTTCTTTACAGCTTTGGGAGATGTGTATTATACTTCTTTTCTTTTAATGATTATCTTGGAAATTGTTTATATATACTTAACAGTCTACAGTGAAGGACTATTTACCATCCTTCTGAATAACACAAAGATTTTAGGACAGTGGTCCCCAGCCTTTTTGGCGCCAGGGACCAGTTTTTCCATGGACCAGGGTGCAGGGGGATGGTTTCAGGATGATTCCAGCACATTACATTTATTGGGCACTTCATTTCTATTATTATTACATTGTAATATATAATGAAATAATTATACAACTCACCATCATATAGAATCAGTGGGTGTCCTGAGCTTGTTTTCCTGCAACTGGATGGTCCTATCTGGGGGTGATGGGAGACAGTGACAGATCAGCAGGCATTAGATTCTCATAAGGAGCATGCAACCTAGATCCCTTGCATGCACAGTTCACAATAGGGTTCACACTCCTATGAGAATCTAATGCCACCGCTGATCTGATGGGAGGTGGAGCTCAGGTGGTAATGTGAGCAGTGGGGAGTAGCTGTAAATACAGATGAAGTTTCGCTCATTTGCCTGCCCACGGCTCCTAACTCTTGCTGTGCAGCCCAGTTCCTAACATATCCGTTGGTGGCCCAGGGGTTGGAGACCTTGTCTTAGAATGGTTTTCCTCCGTTGATCACTGCTTCTAGCTTGTGTGCTACTGGGATACAATATTTTGAATCAATCTCTGTTTTTAACCTCACAGATTGTGTAATTATCAGTATCTGCTTAATATGTATTTAGATTAGTCATATGTTTACCATTTTGTTTAGCTGCCAAACGTCATTGCATTTCAGACTTTCTTTCTGGGAGCGTCTCATTCTTCCTGAAGTACATCATTTAAATGTGCCTTTAAGTTTGGTGGCAAACAGTCTCAATTTCTGTTTATCTCAAAGTGCCTTTATTCTACCTCATTTTTGGTAGTTTCACTGGATTTGTGATTTTTAAATCTATAATTATTTTCTAGCACATTGAAGGTATTTCACTTTCTTCCATGTTCCATTGTTATTAAAAAGACTCCTGTCAGTCTTATTGACATTCTTTTGTAGATAATCTGTTTTTTCACTATTTTATCTATGTATGAATTTAATCTATTTATGAATTTCATCTATGTATTTCATCATGTATGAATTTAATTTATTTCTCTTGCTTGATATATTATATTGCTTCCTGAACTCTGAAAAATTCTTGGCCATTATTTCTTAGTCTATTAAATATTCTTTAAATACTGCTGTCTTGCTGTTACTCTACTATTTAATTCTGAAACTTAAAATGAATATATGTTGGACTTTATTTTTCATTTTCTTAACTTCTCTTGCGTATTTTTAATTTGTCTTTCTGTTACGCATCCTGAGCAATGTCTTTGGATATAATTTCCAGTTTACAAATTCTCTTTTGAGCTGTGTCTAATGTGTTATTTTTTAAAATTTTTTTCAGAGACAGGGTCTTGCTCTGTTGCCAAGGCTGTAGCACAGTGGTGCCATCATAGCACACTGCAGCCTCTAATTAGCAGATTATGTTTTCATAAAATGTTTTTTATCTTTGACCATTTAAAAATTTGGGAGTTTATCTCTCCTCTCCTTTCCTTTCCTTCCTTCTCTCTCTTCTTTCTTTCTTTTTCTTTCTTTCTCTTTCTTTTTTTCTTTCTTTCTCTCTCTCTTTCCCTCCCTCCCTCCCTCCCTCCCTTCCTCCCTCCCTTCCTCCCTTCTTCCTTCTTTCCATGAGATCTTCCTATGTTGCCTAGGCGTACCACCTATTTACTTACTACCATTGCATAAGTCACTTATCTCTCTCTCCATTTTGATTGTCTGAAGCTTGATGTCGACTAGATTTCTCAGGAAAGACTCAGCAATAATAGTCCCTGAGTTCTGGCATGTTGATAAAAGTTTGTCTTTTATTAATTAGATATAAAATTCTTGTTTCATATATTCTTTCCTTGAGTATGTTAATTATTATATGTTATTTTAATATTGTATATTGTAATAGCATATAATAACATATGATATTTGTATTATTTATTTGTATATATTTGCATTACTGTATATTTGTATTCTGTATGATTTATCTTGTATATAAATATTGTATGTTAAATAAATAATATGCTATTTCATTTTCTCATAGCATAAAGCATTGCTGTCGACAAGCGTGATGATAATTAATTTTTTTTCCTTATACCTTACACACTTGTTTGGGATATCTGTTGTAGACTGAATTGCATCCTACCCAAATTTATAAGTTGAAGCTCTAATCCCTAGTGTGACTGTATGTGGAGACAGAGCTTTTAAGGAGGTAATTAAGGCCATAAGAGGGGCTGGTAATATAATATGATTGGTGTCCTTAAAAGAAAAGGAAGAGACACCAGGAATGCAGGTGCACAGGAAAGGCCATATGAGGACAGGATGAGATGGCCCTTTGCAGCCAAGGAGAGAGGCCATAGAAGAAATCATCCCTGCGAACACGTTGATCTTGGACTTCCAGCCTTCAGAACTGTGAGCAAACAAATTTATCTTGTTTAAGCCACCCAGGCTGTGTATTTTGTTATGCCAGCCCTAGGTAACTAATAAAATGTTCAAAGGATTTTTTTTCTTTTTTTTTTTTAAGTTTGGTAATTTTACCATTTGGGGTCAATATTTTCGAGTGTGTGGTATAATTTTTCAATATGTAGCTTCAAATCCTTTTTTAAATTCAGTGTTAAAAATGTGGTATAGTTCTTGTCGTTTTTAGTATTCAGTCTTCTTCTTTGCATTGGTATCTTCCTCGAGACCTCCTATGTTCTATCTCCTTTGCCTGTCTTCAATATGTTCCACTTTTTCTGACATATTTTTTTTTCACTTCTTTTTTACTTTTAAAACTTTCCTCATTATCAGCTGCATACAGTGGCTCACGCCTATAATCCCAGCACTTTGGGACACCGAGGTGGGCAGAGCACTTGAGATCATGAATTCAAGACCAGCCTGGCCAACATGGTGAAATCCCATATCAACTAAAAATAGAAAAAAAAATTAGCCAGGCGTGGTGGTGCATGCCTGTAATCCCAGCTACTCGGGAGGCTGAAGCAGGAGAATTGGTTGAGCCCAGGAGGTGGAGGTTGCAGAGAGTTGAGGTTGTGCCTCTGCACTCCAGCCTGGGCAACAGAGTGGACTCTGTCTCCAAAACAGACAAACAAACACACAAGAAAACTTTCCTCATTTTCACCCTCTGTTTTTCTTAGGGCATTACATGTTGTGTTTATTTGTTGTTTAGTCTTTGCTCCTAAAATGCATTTTTAAATTTTTTAATTCTTTTCTGATTGCTGTAACAATTCACATACTTTCATGTCTTACATAATTTTCTTAGAGTCTGTTAGCTTGTTCTGAAATAGGTTTTGATCTGTTTTGTGGCTGCAGAGGCAGAAAGGGGGTAATCACTTTCTTCTCCATCATAAAGGTCATACCAGTGCCCCTATAACAAAAGACAGATTAACATGAGAAAAGTATAACACATTTATTTCATCATAGTTTGATGTGATGTGGGAACCTTCAGAATGAAGACCCAAAGATACAGGGTGAACTGTGCATTTCTATACTTAGATTTGATGAAGCACAGCCAGCCATGTCGAAATGTAAGACTGGACAGAAAGGTCCTGATCGAATGTAATAGATGGTGTGGGGAAACTCAGCAAGGCCTCTGCGTTCAGATCTTTCTCAGCCTCTCTGTGCCACATTCCCTCCTCCTGGGCATAGGGTAGGGTCCCTCTACAATGAGGGTCTTAATTTCTTTATTGCCAGCTGTTACACAGAAAAGCAGGGGGAGGCTAGAGTCATATTTTTAGGCTTTATGGCTGGCCTTGAGGCAAAGGGGTTCTGGTTTTTATGACTCACCTCGGGAGAGGAAGAATTCTAGTTTCTATAGCTTCCCTCAGGGGAGCATGAGGGGTGAGAGACAGGAGGGCAAGGGAAGGTCAGGGGGAAACTTGGCTTCTGAGGCTGCACTTTGGGCCTTCTGAGCCCCATGACGGCCACATCTTTGTGTCTGCTCTTATTGTCTGTTGGGCTGTTATTCTGCTTCTTAGGACCTTTTTCTTATAATAGTTTTGTATGGGATTTGACTTGGATATTTTCTGTTGCTTATTTTTATGGGAAATTCATTTGCCTGAGCCTTTAGGATGTGGCTGGGTGTAGGAGTGCTCTTTTACCTTTGCGGGGCTCCCTCTTCTGCTGTTTTTGGTAATGTCCAAAAGCAGCATGGCATCCTGTCTTGAGTTTTCCTGCATCTTTTTCTCAAAGCCTCTTTCATCAACACCAGGAGACAGAAATCAAACTCTGGCCCACCACCAGTTTTGTATAGCCTGTGCATTAAAAATGCTTTTTACATTTTTAAATGGTTGAAACAAACAAACAAAGAATACTATTTTGTCACACGTGAAAATTGTGTACAATGCAAACTTCAGTGTTCATAAATAAAGTTTTTTTGGCACACAGCCATGCCCATTCATTTACATGTCATGTGTGGCTGCTTTTACCTTATAACCGCAGGGCCGAGTAGTAGCAGCAAGACCGTCTGGACTTCAAAGCCTACGATGTTTACTATCTGGTTCATAACAGAGGGATTTGTTGGCCTGGTGTGGACCTTCTTTTTCTCTTGTCTCTGTCATGCCTGTCTTGATTGATTTTGATTCTACTCCCAGGAATTTCTCCTCGGGGTAGGGCCCTGGCCCAGACAGGCACTCAGATGGGTCAGTTTTGAGAGTTCATGGGAGATAGAGAGCTCCAGACTCTTGGGCCCTTCCAGCTGTGGGTCCCTTGCTCTCGATTATATGCAGTTGCATTGGGCAAAACCCAAGCGCTTTCGTCCAGTTGGCCCTGCTGGGCTTCCTGGTAATACAGAGCAAAAGATGGAGAATAACCTTGAGCTGTGTGGTATTCTGCTGTTCCCAGAGCTGTCTGCTGCTGCCTGGAGTTTCCTTCTTCCACCCATGCAGAACCTGGAACCTCATGGGGCTCGTGGCTGGCAGTAATTTGCCCCTTGTAAGGAGCTCATAAGGTGCCCTTGGCTTAGGTTTGCTACCCAGGCCATCTATTTTTATGTGGGGACCTAAAACGTTTTAAACAATATTAAATTCTAAGTTTAAAAAATTTTTTCTGTAAGTTCTATCTGCCTCCTTTTCAATTCCATCTTATCATTCTTGTTCCGTTCTCATGGTTTTCCGTCCTTTTATTTCTTTTAACATGTATCATCCGTATCTGATGACGCCAACACCTGAAGTCTTGGTCTATCTGGTCCTGTTATTTTTCCTAATGATTGTCTTGATGATTTATTTGGAATTGTGTGTGTGCACGCATTCTAATTGATGGTCATATTGGTGGGAATCATCAGAAGCCCAGGTTCAGGGACATTATTCCTGGAAGTTGTGTGTCTGCTTCTTCCAGGTGCCTAAGGATGTTGCTGACAAAGGATGTTGCTTTGTGTTTGCCTTTGTGCAGATGTTATCCTTCTCCCTTCTTAACTTTCTTCCTGGGAGTCTAACCCTTCCAGAGTGTCAGCTTTATCAGGTTGGTCTCCATTCCAACTCCCCTGTCCCGGCCCACCTCCCATACACACACACATGAATGCACATATACACACATGCACACACACGCAGATGCACACACGCCCTGTGTATACACAATGCTCGGTCAACATGATGTTCCCCAGCTTGGATGTCAACCTGCTTCTCCACCTTGTCTCCAGTGGTAGAGCGTTTCTCTACCTTTCTTGCAAATTCCCTACCATTCACTCTGCATTTTCAGGGGTCCATTATAATGTTCATTATATTGCTGCAAACATAAGTCACTGATTTACTTTCTTGGATAACACAAATGGCTCAGTTTAGAAGTCTGATGATTACATTCTAGAATGTTTAATATGCCTAAAATGTGGTTATAAAGTGGTGGGCTTTGCCTTTAATTGGCCCTCCAACATTTCTCTGTTGAACACCTTTAGCAACAAGAACTTGGCTTCTTTGTGTCCATGGAGGGCACGCTCTGGGCCGGCTGAAGCACCAAGCACCTTTTCCCTTTAGCTGAAGGAGCTGGTTCCCGTGAGGATGTGGATCCTCCCAAGACTGCTGACACTTTATGCCTGAGTCCAAGACTCATCCAGATTGACTCTGTCCCCCTGCTCCTCCTGCGTAGCCACTCAGGCAGCAAATAATTTCATTTCCAAAATTTCATTTCTAATCCACCTCCTCCTTTCCCTCTCTGTGAGCACTGTGTTCTGCGCCTTAACATTTCTTGTCTGGAAAATTTCAATAGCCTTTCTTAACTACCCAACGCTTATATCTCACTTGCGTCCCCTCAACGTGCCCTTCCACTGGAAGTTCCAGCAATCCTGAGGCCCTCAGACCTCCCCTCACCTTCGGGACTGGCACGGGCCTCTCCCTTGGTCTCTTTTCCACTCGGAACTCCTATGCTTCCTTTGAAACCTATGTTAGAGAGTCAGGCATGGTGGCATGCACCTGTAGTTGCAGCCACTCAGGAGGCTGAGGGAGGAGGATCGCTTGAGTGCAGGAATTCAGGGCTGCAGTGAGCTATGACCATGCCTCTGAATAGCCACTGCACTGCAGCCTGTGCAACGCAGTGAGACCCCACCTAAAAAAAAAGAAAACTCACCTAAGTTAGATGTCAGTTTCTTCTGGAAGTATTTCCCAAGCTCTTTTCCTTTCCGTTTAAAAGCAATCACCCTTTCTCAAAGTTGTCGCTCTCCCTGGTCTGCAGTGAACTTATCACACTGTGTTGTCATTTGTTTTCCAGCCTCATCCCCCTTCAAGGCTGTCAGCTCGCTGAGATAGGTGCTGTATCTTCATTATTTCTGGCCCTTGGAGCCTGTACAGTCATTGATACAGAAGAGCTGCCCAATAGAGTTCTTACAAATTTTGGCTATTTCTGTTTGGTGTGAATCAAACTCCAGCACTTGTTGGAAGGTGAGTGGAGGCAGGGAGAGGGCACCACAAGCCCTGTGAATCCAGGGTAGGAAAAGCAGGTGGAGATGAGGCCTTCAATAGATGAAGCTGCAAAGTTACTGCTTTGAACAGAAATGTGGAAAAGATCCTCATATCTTAAAAATAGTATCCCTTTGCTTCTGGTGACAGGCTAACTTCGGTGGGTCCATCAGCATTAGGGACCATGGGGGTCATTTCACCAAATCTCTTTGCTCCTTTGTTGAAGAAGTTAAACTCCTCAAGCTCAGATATGTTATGTGCTTAAAGTCTAATTTGGGCTCCAAGGATATTATAAAGTAGCCCCTGAATCTAATAAATCTTTAAAAAGGGGTGGTGTGGGAATTGCTCAAGAAAAGCAAAGTGCCGAAGAGTTAAAAATATCAGAATTCCTCCGTAAGTCTCTAACCGCTGCTCCACAATCTCTTCTGGGCTCTGAAGCCACAAGATGAGGTGACAGTCTTTTCCTCACCCCTAAAAAGGAGGTCAGTTTTGAGCCCGTTACCTCCTACTGTGCCATCAGCCCTTTCCCCACACAGCATCCCCAGTTGTTTTTGGAAGGAACCTTGTGGCATCGTGTGAGTCACAGCCCTGCGGCTCCTACCATCACAGCCTCACACACTCAGGACAAAGAGTCCTTCTCTTTTCTGTGACCAGTTCCCAATAAGTTCATGGTCGGGTTTCTCGCCATTGGTTGAGTACATTATCTGGCTGATAACTGGCTCTTGGTGCCAAGCTCTGAGGTCTGGCAGTGTCTCCCTTCCCGCCCTCCCAGGGCCCCTGGGGCGGCCGTGGGCCGACGGAGCTGCTGCTGTTGCCCGTTGTTCTCATCTCGCTGTTGACAGACAACAGCCCTAGAGAGCCCAGGATGGCGTTCCTCCCCTCGAGTGCTCCCTCCTCAGCGTTGGCTGAGGTTTCATTGGCTGGCTCACGGGAGACAATACTGAATTAGCTTTTTCAGTAAATCGTCTATCTGGAATATTAAAGATGGAACAACTATGAGTTCCCATAGATAAGCTGTAATCCAAATATTAAAAAAATTGAAACCAGATTAATGAAATTGACAGCTGCCGCCAGTATCTTAGAGTTCTAGGTGGAGTTTGGTCCCTGCAAGGTCCTGAGGCTTTGGGAAAATATTAACGCTTAGACTGGGAACTCATACCAAACAAAATAATAGTTTAGCCTGAAGAATGTTTGTATGATCTTGTGTAGTTTCAGGTCAATAATTCTAATTACTGTCTCCATTAAGGGGTTAAATATTAGAGGGATAAAAGTAGATATTGTCTTCCTGACACAAAAATTTATAGTTTTAAATAAAGTAGTAGAATTAGAATTGAGAACACTGAACAAAACAGTTTAATTACAACCACAGGTAACTTTAAAATAGGCAAATTCCAGCCTTACATTATGGTCAATTAAGTATTTGTCAAACAGACACAATAATGATAAGTTCTCTATTCTTTCCTTGTTGTTTGAATTGTTTGGAGTCAGGCCTGTTGGCTATGCACTTCTTAATCTGTGCTGGGGGTTCCTACCAGTCAGTGTCTGATTCGTGTCTTTGAGTCAGCATAACTCACTGAATACTGCAAACCGAGATGCCTTTGCTTCTTCCCCCTTTCAGAAGGGCGTCGACTCCCTGGCCATCATCCTGTGCTCTCAGGCACCAGACAGGGATTATTGTGAAAATTGCCAGTTGAAGAAACCCTGGCTCTGAGAAGACAAATGCCTTATCTGAGGTTTCAGGCTGGGTGCCAGTGAGAACCCATGGTCAGTGCATCCGTCCTGGATTTAGTGTGAGGCAATCAGGGGCCAGTGTTGGCAGCAGAGTAAGGTCTCCTCAAAGATGTTCTAATCTGAAAATCTGTCAATATGTTTCCTTCCATGGCCGGGGGGATTCAGGTGGTAGGTGGAAAAGGTACTAATCAGCTGACTTTAAAACAAGTCCACCTGGGTTATTTTGGGGAGCCCAAGGTAATCAATGTAATCACAAGGGTTCCTAATTGGGGAAGAGAGGGCAGAAGAGTGAGTGTCAGAGTGAAGTAAGATGAGAACGACTCCCCTGCCGTTGCTGGCTTTGAAGATGGAGGAAGGGGCCATGAGCCAAGGAAGGCGGTACCTTTAGATCCCAGAAGAGACAAGAGACGCATTCCCACCCAGCGCCTCCAGAAAGTAAGGAATCTCTGCTGACACCTTGATTTTAATGAAATCATTTGGGCCTCCAGAAAGGAAGGGAACATAGGAGGTGGAAGAGAAGGAAAAAGAATTGAGTTGAATATAGAAAAATAAATTTAAAGAACAAAGAGAAGCAAAGAAGGGGAGGAACAATCACATTGGAGGGAAGGGAGCAGAGATGAGAGATGTTTGGGATCTTGATTTTTGGTTGACAAAGAGCTTTACTTCTCAGCAATGTGATCCCCTAAAGAGGTTCTACTCAGATCTATTGTTCTCAGCTAGCTTTCAACAGTTAACTAACCAGTGACTTCTTGAAATATGTTTTCTTCTTAGATTTTGTGACTTTGAACTCTCTATCTTGGGTAGTGTTAAAGCAAACTAAATATGGCCAGAGAAGGACTCCAGTACTTTTATATTCGAGTCCTTGTGGACGAACTGCAATCTAACTTAATAGGTAGACAAGATTGAGAACCTAACTTAGGAGTATGCACCTGTAACAATAGCTGAGTCTCGGCTAATCCCAGCAGCCATACTTCAACCATTTATACACTGCTGAGTGTTCAAACTGTGTTTAAATAAGGCAAATGCTGAGCTGTAACCAACCCAGTTGTTTCTGTACATTACCCCTGATTTCTGTACATTACCTCCCTTTGTTTGGTCTATAAATCTTCTTCGGCTGTGCTGGGGTCTCTCTAAATTCGCTGTGATTCTGGGGGCTGCCTGATTTGCCGTTCATTACCCAATGAAGGTCCTTTAAATTTAACTCAGCTGAAGTATTTCTTTTGCCAGACACAGCTTCTCTACATTTACCAGATCTAATGTTTGGAGTTCCCTATGGCTAAAGCTTGGGGCTCTGTTGCTTTCTCCTTCCAGGTGAGCTTATCAATTCCTGAGACGTAAAAGACACACACACCTACTGATTTGTCCTCATGCAGTGTCCGGACTACACACACACACACACACACACACACCACTCTACTTCACATCTTAATTCGGATGTCACTCAGACCTCTCAAACATAACATGTTCAACATAGGATTTTTTTTTTTTTGGAGGCAAACTCTGCCTCCCAGGTTCAAGTCATTCTACTGCCTCAGCCTCCCAAGTAGCTGGGACTACAGGTGCACGCCACCACACCCAGCACATTTTTTGTATTTTTAGTAGAGACGGGGTTTCACTATGTTGCCCAGGCTGGTCTTGAACTCCTGAGCTCAGGCAACCTGCCCACCACCAGCCTCCCAAAGTGCTAGGATTATAGGTGTGAGCCACTGCACCCGGCCTCAACATGGGATTTTAAGTTTTTTCTCGTCATGCCATGTATTATTATTTCCAATTATTTTTCCTCTTCCATGAAAGAGGATTAAACATCCCACCCAGTTCCTAGTTGCTTACATACCTTCTTGGGGAAGGCTCTCCTTACCAGGCTTGCCATGTGTGGTGTAACAAAAATGGACATCTGTTAAATGAGGCTAATAGATACATGTTCTTGGTCCCTAGTTCCTGGCACAGAGCTTCAGAAACCCTTGTAATTTCCTGAGCACTAGGAGTGTCTTTGTGATGCTAATGAGGTGACCCCCGGTGGCCCCTAGGTGGCTTCAGGATGGGGGCTGGTCACCAGAAGGACCAAGCACTTGGTTAGAAAGTTGGGACTTCGGTTGATCATGACCATGGGGATGGAGGAGAGGACCAGAGATTGAGGTCAATCAACCAACTTAATAAATTTAATCAATCTCATGCCCACATAATGACACATCAATAAAAAACTCTGCAGCACAGCCTTGGTGGAAGTTCTTTAGAGGAGTTCATGAACGCACTGATTGATGTCCTGGCCCTGGGAGGGTGATGTGTTCAGATTCCACGGGGAGAGGGCATCAAAATTTTGCATTCCCTCCCAGACTTCACGCTATTTCATTGCAATTTTTGATTTAAGTCTGTTTTTGCTGAATTATATCTAATTATTTCTAATATAACCTCTAATGTAACATCCTTTTAGATTTTCTTTTACTTTCCATTGTTTATTATTGTCATATGCTTTCAAAATTCTTCAAGATTTGAAAACTTAAAGGCGTATGTAAGTGTAGTGAGTAGTTACGTTTCCCTTTCATGCCTAACATTGTTTTGTTCCTTCTTTTCTTCCAACCCTTGGTCAAACTTTCGGAAATTTGTCTATTTTATTAGTCTTCTCAAAGAATCATCTTCGGATTAATTGATTCTTTTTTCTTTATATTGATTTTGTTACTTTCTGCTATTATTTTCTTCCTATCACTTTCTTTGATTTACTATGTAGCTATTTCCCCAATTTCTTTATTTCTTTTTTTTGAGACAGTGCTTGCTCTGTTGCCCAGGCTGGAGTGCAGTGGTGAGATCTCGGCTCACTGCAACCTCTGCCTCCCAGGTTCAAGCGATTCTCCTGCCTCAGCCTCCCAAGTAGCTGGGACCACAGGCGTGTGCCACCACGCCTGGCTAATTTTTTGTATTTTTAGTAGAGACGGAGTTTCACTGTGTTAGCCAGGATAGTCTCGATCTCACCTCGTGGTCCGCCCACCTCGGCCTCCCAAAGTGCTGGGATTACAGGCATGAGCCACCGCGCCTGGCCCTCCCCAGTTTATTTCATTCAATATTTAGCTAACAAAGTTTTAGGTTTCTTCCCCCTTTACTACTAATATAAGCAATTAAGGCTGCATAGTCCCCTCTAACTATTGCATTAGGTATGTCCCAGAAGGTTTTATTTCAGTTCTAAATATTTTTTCATTTCCATTATGATTTCTTTTGATGTATCAATTATTTATGTTTTCAACCTACAAATACAGTTTTTGGACTTCTTTGAGACAGAGTCTCACTCTGTCACCCAGGCTGGAGTGCAATGGTACGATCTGGGCTCACTGCAACCTCCGCCTCCTGGTTCAAGCTGATTCTCGTGTCTCAGCCTCCTAAGTGGCCGGATTACAGGTGTGCGCCACCATGCCTGCTATTTTTTTTTGTATTTTTAGTAGAGATGGGCTTTTACCATGGAGGCCAGGCTGGTCTCGAACTCTTGGCTTCAAGTGATCTGCCCACCTTGGCCTCCCAAAGTGCTTGGATTACAGACGTGAGCCACTGTGCCCAGCCTAGTGTTTGGATTTCTTCATACAATTAATTTCCTACATTATGCTTAGTTCAGAAAACATGGCCTGTATGACCGTATATGAACTTAAACCTGTTGAGTCTCTTTTTTGCTCTCCCTGATTGGAGCTCTGGGCCGGTCTGGCTTCTTTGGCCTCTTGTGCAGTTTTTCCTAGTCCTCTTCCTCTCAGCGTGTCCTTCCAGGAGTTTGCTTTTCTTTAGGGGATCTCAGCTGCAATGCCAGCGACTTTTCACAGGTCCACTTCCTCATCTGCTGATCCTGTTCGACATGAAAACCCAAGCCTCTGCTCCCCAAGAGCCTGCTCTGCCCTACCTGGCAGCGGCCGGACCCCAGGACCTGGACTCGGCATCCCGGCTGCCTCTCTTGACTCCCCACCGCCTGAGGATTTCCATTCTTTATTAGGAGTTCTGCAGTGCTTTTGGAAGGAAGCTTGTGACATTTCCATCACTATCTGTAGGTCTGTTGTGCAAAAGGGTGTTTAGGTTTAGGTGATTATATCCACTGCATGCTTTTTCGAACATTGAGACCATTGTGTTTATTTTTCTTTTCTCTTTCCATTCTCTCCAAACAGAAACTGTACTTCTCGATATGATTCCCTGTAAGCAGAGAAAGGTTCACATAAGGAAGCAATGACAAGAAAAGCGCAAACATGAATGTTCCCTTTATCTGCAATTAAGTCACTACTTGTCATGTGAAATAAAGTAACAGGTTATTAATGGCAGAGTTATGGAAGTGGAAGGCAGATGAGTGGTTGCCAGGAGTTAAGGAAGGGACAGAAGCTGGTGGGTTCCGTGGTTATAAAAGGGCCCCAGGACAGAACCTTCTGGTCACGGAGCTGCTCTGTGTCTTCACCACAGTGGTGGTTACACGAGTTTACACACTAAACAGACAAACGCTCGCACAGACCTCAAATACACGGACGCCCGGACAAGTTATATCAGGCTCCCAGTTGACATAGATGTACTTTTATTTTTATTTTTATTTTTTGAGATGGCGTCTCCTTCTGTCACCCTGGGTGGAGTGCAGTGGCGCCATCTCGGCTCACTGCAACCTCTGCTTCCCGGGTTCAAGCGATTCTCCTGCGTCAGCCTCCTTAGATGTACTTTTAAACTCAGTTATCTAAAAAAGGGTCTTGTCGGCTGGGCACGGTGGCTCACGCCTGTAATCCCAGCACTTTGAGAGGCCAAGGCAGGCGGATCACGAAGGTCAGGAGATTGAGACCATCCTGGCTAACGCGGTGAAACCCCGTCTCTACTAAAAAAAAATACAAAAAATTAGCCGGGCGTGGTGGCGGGCGCCTGTAGTCCCAGCTACTCGGGAGGCTGAGGCAGGAGAATGGCGTGAACCCAGGAGGCGGAGCTTGCAGTGAGCCGAGATCGCGCCACTGCTCTCCAGCCTGGGCGACAGAGCAAGACTCTGTCTCAAAAAAAAAAAAGAGTCTTGTCCCAGAAGGATGCCAAGAGCGAGTTCTTGGATCTCACATGGGAAAGAATTCAGGGCAAGTTGCAGAGTATAGTAAAGTTAAAACTGCTTATTAGAAACTATTACCGAGTAGGGTGTCCTCGAAAAGCAAGGAGGAGCACCTTAAACGTAATGCTTGCCTATATAGCATATTAAGGCAAAGAAGAATGTAATTTATTTTTTTTAATTATACTTTAAGTTTTAGAGTACATGTGCACAACGTGCAGGTTTGTTACATATGTATACATGTGCCATGTTGGTGTGCTGCACCCATTAACTCGTCATTTAGCATTAGGTATATCTCCTAATGCTATCTGTGCCCCCTCCCCCAACCGCACAACAGGCCCCGGTGTGTGATGTTCCCCTTCCTGTGTCCATGTGTTCTCATTGTTCAATTCCCACCTATGAGTGAGAACATGTGGTGTTTGGTTTTTTGTCCTTGTGATAGTTTGCTGAGAATGATGGTTTCCAGCTTCATCCATGTCCCTACAAAGGACATGAACTCATCATTTTTTATGGCTGCATAGTATTCCATGGTGTATATGTGCCACATTTTCTTAATCCAGTCTATCATTGTTGGACATTTGGGTTGGTTCTAAGTCTTTGCTATTGTGAATAGTGCCACAATAAACATACGTGTGCATGTGTCTTTATAGCAGCATGATTTATAGTCCTTTGGGTATATACCCAGTAATGGGATGGCTGGGTCAAGTGGTATTTCTAGTTCTAGATCCCTGAGGAATCGCCACACTGACTTCCACAATGGTTGAACTAGTTTACAGTCCCACCAACAGTGTAAAAGTGTTCCCATTTCTCCATATCCTCTCCAGCACCTGTTGTTTCCTGACTTTTTAGTGATTGCCATTCTAACTGGTGTGAGATGGTATCTCATTGTGGTTTTGATTTGCATTTCTCTGATGGCCAGTGATGATGAGCATTTTTTCACGTGTCTTTTGGCTGCATAAATGTCTTCTTTTGAGAAGTGTCTGTTCATATCCTTTGCCCACTTTTTGATGGGGTTGTTTGTTTTTTTCTTGTAAATTTGTTTGAGTTCATTTTAGATTGTGGATATTAGCCTTTTGTCAGATGAGTAGATTGCAAAAATTTTCTCCCATTCTGTAGGTTGCCTGTTCACTCTGATGGTAGTTTCTTTTGCTGTGCAGAAGCTCTTTAGATTAATTAGATCCCATTTGTCAATTTTGGCTTCTGTTGCCCTTGCTTTTGGTGTTTTAGACATGAAGTCCTTGCCCGTGCCTATGTCCTGAATGGTATTGCCTAGGTTTTCTTCTAGGGTTTTTATGGTTTTAGGTCTAACATGTAAGTCTTTAATCCATCTTGAATTAATTTTTGTATAAGGTGTAAGGAAGGGATCCAGTTTCAGCTTTCTACATATGGCTAGCCAGTTTTCCCAGCACCGTTTATTAAATAGGGAATCGTTTCCCCATTTCTTGTTTTTGTCAGGTTTGTCAAAGATCAGATAGTTGTAGATATGTGGCATTATTTCTAAGGGCTCTGTTCTGTTCCATTGGTCTATATCTCTGTTTTGGTACCAGTACCATGCTGTTTTGTTTACTGTAGCCTTGTAGTATAGTTTGAAGTCAGGTAGCTTGATGCCTCCAGCTTTGTTCTTTTGGCTTAGGATTGATTTGGCAATGCGGGCTCTTTTTTGGTTCCATATGAACTTTAAAGTAGTTTTTTCCAATTCTGTGAAGAAAGTCATTGGTAGCTTGATGGGGATGGCATTGAATCTATAAATTACCTTGGGCAGTATGGCCATTTTCACGCTATTGATTCTTCCTACCTATGAGCATGGAATGTTCTTCCATTTGTTTATATCCTCTTTTATTTCATTGAGCAGTGGTTTGTAGTTCTCCTTGAAGAGGTCCTTCACATCCCTTGTAAGTTGGATTCCTCAGTATTTTATTCTCTTTGAAGCAATTGTGAATGGGAGTTCACTCATGATTTGGCTGTTTGTCTCTTATTGGTGTATAGGAATGCTTGTGACTTTTGCACATTGATTTTGTATCCTGAGACTTTGCTGAAGTTGCCTATCAGCTTAAGGAGACTTTGGGCTGAGACGATGGGGTTTTCTAGATATACAATCATGTCATCTGCAAACAGGGACAATTTGACTTTCTCTTTTCCTAATTGAATAACCCTTTATTTCCATCTCCTAAGTGATTGCCCTGGCCAGAACTTCCAACACTATGTTGAATAGGAGTGGTGAGAGAGGGCATCCCTGTCTTGTGCCAGTTTTCAAAGGGAATGCTTCCAGTTTTTGCCATTCAGTATGTTATTGGCTGTGGGTTTGTCATAGATAGCTCTTATTATTTTGAGATATGTCCCATCAATACCTAATTTATTGAGAGTTTTTAGCATGAAGGGTTGTTGAATTTTGTCAAAGGCCTTTTCTGCATCTATTGAGATAATCATGTGGTTTTTGTCTTTGGTTCTGTTTATATGCTGGATTACGTTTATTGATACGTGTATATTGAACCAGCCTTGCATCCCAGGGATGAAGCCCACTTGATCGTGGTGGATAAGCTTTTTGATATGCTGCTGGATTCAGTTTGCCAGTATTTTATTGAGGATTTTTGCATCTATGTTCCTCAGGGATATTGGTCTAAAATGCTCTTTTTTTGTTGTGTCTCTGCCTGGCTTTGGTATCAGGATGATGCCTCATAAAATGAGTTAGGGAGGATTCCCTCTTTTTCTATTGATTGGAATAGTTTCAGAAGGAATGGTACCAGCTCCTCCTTGTACCTCTGGTAGAATTCTGCTGTGAATCCATCTGGTCCTGGACTTTTTTTGGTTGGTAAGCTACTAATTATTGCCTCAATTTCAGAGCCTGTTATTGATCTATTCAGAGATTCAACTTCTTCCTGGTTTAGTCTTGGGAGGGTGTATGTGCGAGGAATTTATCCATTTCTTCTAGATTTTCTAGTTTATTTGCATAGAAGTGTTTGCGGTATTCTCTGATGGTAGTTTGTATTTCTGTGGGATCGGTGGTGATATCCCCTTTATCATTTTTTATTGCGTCTATTTGATTCTTCTCTCTTTTCTTCTTTATTAGTTTTGCTAGCGGTCTATCACTTTTGTTGATCGTTTCAAAAAACCAGCTCCTGGATTCATTGATTTTTTGAAGGGTGTTTTGTGTCTCTATTTCCTTCAGTTCTGCTCTGATCTTAGTTATTTCTTGCCTTCTGCTAGCTTTTGAATGTGTTTGCTCTTGCTTCTCTAGTTCTTTTAATTGTGATGTTAGGATGTCAATTTTAGATCTTTCCTGCTTTCTCTTGTGGGCATTTACTGCTACAAATTTCCCTCTACACACTGCTTTGAATGTGTCCCAGAGATTCTGGTATGTTGTGTGTTTGTTCTCGTTGGTTTGAAAGAACATCTTTAATTCTGCCTTCATTTCGTTATGTACCCAGTAGTCATTCAGGAGCAGGTTGTTCAGTTTCCATGTAGTTGAGTGGTTTTGAGTGAGTTTCTTAATCCTGAGTTCTAGTTTGATTGCACTGTGGTCTGAGAGACAGTTTGTTATAATTTGTGTTCTTTTACATTTGCTGAGGAGTGCTTTACTTCCAACTATGTGGTCAGTTTTGGAATAGGTGTAGTGTGGTGCTGAAAAGAATGTATATTCTCTTGATTTGGGGTGGAGAGTTCTGTAGATGTCTATTAGGTCCGCTTGGTGCAGAGCTGAGTTCAATTCCTGGATATCCTTGTAAACTTTCTGTCTTGTTGATCTGTCTAATGTTGACAGTGGGGTGTTAAAGTCTTCCATTATTTTTGTTTGGGAGTCTAAGTCTCTTTGTAGGTCTCTAAGGACCTGCTTTATGAATCTGGGTGCCCTTGTATTGGGTGCATATATATTTAGGATAGTTAGCTCTTCTTGTTGAATTGATCCCTTTACCATTATGTAATGCCCTTCTTTGTCTGTTTTGATCTTTGTTGGCTTAGAAGAGTGTAATATATTACAAAGATTTGTGATCAGCTTACGACAGGCTATTAATACTGTTATTTTCTTGTGCAACTATTGATTTCAGCAAGAATTTATGAATGTGCTGTTATCTCTAAAACGAACCCTGTTCTTAAACTAACAATGCTGTTTGTTCTTCAAATACTGGGACATTTCTGTAAGTTCTGGTTCTTTAGGTAGGTAGTCAGCATCATTAACTCGTTCCCTCAACTATAAACATCCTGTGACTGAGAGTGATCATCCCTCAGGGAATGTCCCCCATCAGGTTTGGCTCTATCCAGGCTTTATTCAGGATGGAGTCACCCTAGTTAGGACGCCTCTGACAATTCTGATGTTCTCATAATCAGTGCCCTAGTTATTCTCCAATACCTTGATAAGAATCTCACAAGGTATTTGCAACACTGTAAGAAATAGCAATTTGGTCTCAATCTCCTGACCTCATGAGGCAAGAGAATGGCGTGAACCCGGGAGGCGGAGGTTGCAGTGAGCCGATATTGGGCCACTGCACTCCATCTTGGGTGACAGAGTGAGACTCTGTCTCAAAAAAAAAAAAATAGCAGTTTGGTTTAACAAGACATTACATCTTGTGCAGAAGTAAATGAAATGTACATTTATAATATCCCATTGCGTATTCTAACTCCCTGCTTCTGAAACTGCATCCACATCACCGGATAGCTTGTTAGAATCCAGCCTTTGCAGTGAGCCATGAGTGTGCCACTGTACTCCAGCCGGGTGACAGAGGGAGACCCATCTTGAAAGAAAGAAGAGAGAGAGAAGACAGAGAAGAGACAGAAGGAAGGAGGAGAGAGAGAAGGAAGGAGGAGAGGAGAGGAGAGGGGAGAGGAGGGGAGGGGAGGGGAGGGGAGAGAAACGCAGCCTTTCTGGCCCCAGATGTGCTGAAGTAGAATCTGCCAGTTAACAATATCCCCAGGTGATTTGAATTTGTATTAAAGTTTGAGATGCAGTTGTCCAAATCCTTTATTAAATAGGTATGCTTAGATTTTTCTCATATAATCTCAAATGAAATTATAAGGGGCATGGTTATAAACAATTATCTAGAAATGATCTCTCAAGTCCTTGAATGGCATTTCCAAAAACATGAGATGATAACATTTACTGTAACTCAAGGTGAAAAATGTTTCATCAAAGACTGTCAATGTCTGCCCAAAATAATGGGAGCAGCTACATGGAACACAAAGACGCTCTCAGGGACCATCAAGGGAAGTCTCATTTGTGACATCTCTGCAATGTGCCATGTTTCATTTTCAAAGACGTTTTCTGAGTGTGATCAAAGTTCTCTGTCGTGCATAGACCATTTCAGTTTGGGACATCTTGGATGCACAGAGAAAGCCTTGTGGGTCAGGAGTTCTGGTATTTAGATTCTTTGCACTGAGTTACTGCTCATGGGTGGCGTGTCTTTCGAGATCTCAGCTTCTTTGTCAGTGATAGGAGGGACTGGGCCAGACCGGCAGTTTTCAAGCAATCTCGGAAGTATCTACAAAGGCGCTGTGCAGCCTACCCTTGTGCAGAGAAAGATGAGATCCTTGGGTGAGGATCTGAAACCCTCGTGTGACCACCCCCTACCCAGCTTAATGAGAGCGGTCCTGATAACATGTTTTTACGTATTGTATTTCTTTATGCATCCTCATGTGAACAAAGGATGTTGCTATTGAAAGAAGGCTGAGAACAAACGTCTATTAAGGAAGGTCTCATGGAAATACTTTAGATTGTAAGTTTAAGGACCATGTAGTTACCCTGAAGTCTATGGGACACAGAACACGTATAGCACTGAGGATAGTGACCTCAGTAAACATTGCAAGATTGATTATTAATTGTCATCTGTAGGAAACAATAAATTCCTCTTCGAAGTTTAGCCTGTTAATGTCTTTTAAAATTCAAGAGGGAGAAAATTGTTAAGTACGCTGAGTTCTGAGTTCCTCTCCAAAGAACCAATGTGTCAGTATATTCAGCTTCCCTGTTCTTTGTTCTCCATTTTAAAGTTTAACTTTCTCATTCTTTACATCTCTTTACCCCTAGTTTCAGTAAACAGCCCGCTCCTAGCCTCTATCACCTGCTCTGTCCTTAGTCACCTGTTCTGTCCTTAGTCACCTGTTCTGTCCTAAGTCATACGTAGTCACCTGTTCTGTCCTTAGTCATCCATAGTCACTGTTCTGTCCTTAGTCACCTGCTCTGTCCTTAGTCATCCATAGTCTCCTGTTCTGTCCTTAGTCATCCGTAGTCACCTGTCCTTAGTCACCTGCTCTGTCCTTAGTCACCCTTAGTCACCTGTTCTGTCCTTATTCATCCTCAGTCACCTGTTCTGTACTTAGTCACCTGTTCTGTACTTAGTCATCTGCTCTGTCCTTAGTCATCCTTAGTCACCTGCTCTGTACTTAGTCACCCACTCTGTACTTAGTCACCCTTAGTCACCTGTTCTGTACTTAGTCACCTGCTCTGTCCTTAGTCATTCTTAGTCACCTGGTCTGTACTTAGTCACCCGCTCTGTACTTAGTCACCCTTAGTCACCTGTTCTATCCTTAGTCACCCTTAGTCACCTGTTCTATCCTTAGTCATCCTTAGTCACCTGTTCTGTCCTTACTCACCTGTTCTGTCCTTAGTCATCCTTAGTCACCTGTTCTGTCCTTAGTCACCTGCTCTGTCCTTAGTCAACCTTAGTCACTTGCTCTGTCCTTAATCACCTGTTCTGTCCTTCGTCATCCTTAGTCACCTGTTCTGTCCTTAGTCATCCTTAGTCACCTGTTCTGTAACTGTCCTGCCAGTGTGGCTTGTACCTCTGCTGTCTTTAAAATAGCCAATTGGAATTAGCTTAGACTGTGCGGTCCAACCCTAGTCAGTGGGGGAAAGATATAGCAGTAGGGCTAGCTGCATTAGAAATAAGGCCCCCTTCCCCTCCCTTGTCCAGTGTGCTCTCGCCATTGTTCCATCCGCGAGATGCACCCTTCTATAAAAGTAAATTGCCTTGGTGAGAAGACTTCTGCCTGAGTGCTATTTTCACTTGGCAGCACTGAGCATTTACTTCCAACATCATCCCATCCAACAGCCTCACAGTTGCCCTGTTATGGCTGAACGAGCTTGTAGTATAGGCCTGGGTAGCATGAACACAGATTCCAGAGTGAGACTGCCAGTGCTGAAATGAGACAGTTAGTTTTTATTTATTCCACTTTTGTTCTAGGTTTCACTGAAGAAATGTTGGTTTCACAGTGCTGCCCAGATTCCCCTGGGCTGTTATCTGCATATTACTTTCTGTCTGATGGGTCCTCTGGGTAGCTGATACAGACATGGAGTTCAAAGAGCAAGAGATGACTAAGCGTGACTCCTGGGAAAAATAAAAGTGGGTAGAAGCAGGCTCAGGTATGGAAAACCTTCTGGCCACTGTGGAGGTCTGACAGCTTAGACCACATTGCAGGTCACAGGCAGTATCGGCCAACTCCACAGGGAGTTCTAGGGTGTGGAGCCTCATGTTGGGCTGAATCAGCCATGCCCTGTGCCTTTCTGTGCCCACGTATTGGCTGGGGACTGCAGAGAAAGACCATGGCCTTAACTTGAAAGCCAAGGCCGACCTTAAATGAACTACCAGATGCAGGTTGGTCAGTGTTAGCTACCTGCACTCATTGCTGTGGAAGAGAAAGTTCTTTCTCTAAGGGAGATCTGAGAGCTATTGCCCTGGGGCTGCCATGTAGCTCTCGTTCTCTCTCTCTCTTTTTTTTAAAAAAAATAGCTTTATTGGTGTATAATTCACATGCCTTAAGGCTTACCCATTAAAAGTGTTCTGTTCATTGATTTTAGTAAATGTATACAGTTGTGTAACCAAAATCACAATCCAGTTTTAGAATGTTTCCATCATCCCAAAATGTTTGCTCTCTGTTCCCACTCCCATCCCCAGCTGCAGCAGACCATGAATCTGTTTCGTGCCTCTACAGTTTTGCGGTTTGTAGAAATGGTATCTAAATGGAATCTTACAATTTGTAGTCTTTTGTGTCTGACCTCTTTCACTTATGTTTCTGAGGCTCATTCATGTTGTTGCACGTGTTTAGTAGTTTGTTGCTTTTTAGAAGTTTGCTGAGTAGCGTTCCATGGTGTGGATATACATTTTGTTTATCTACTTTTCAGTTGATGGGCTAATTTTTGGTTATTATGAATAATGTTGCTATGAACATTTGTATACAAGACCTTGTGCAGATCCATGTTTTCATGTATTTTGGTTATATACCTGAGAGTGAAATTGCTGGGTCATATGGTAGTTGAATGTTCAATTTTTTAAGCAACTGCCAAATGGTGTTTCAAAGTGGCTGTATCATTTTGCACTCATGCCAGCAATGTAGGAGAGTTCTAGTTTCTCCATATCTTGGTCAGATGTTGGAATTATCAGTCTTGTTGTTTACAGTCATTCTAATGGGTGTGTAATAGGTATTTCATTGGGCCTTTAATTTGTATTTCCCTAGTGACTAATAATATTGAGCATTTTAATGTGCTTAATATTTGTATATCTTCTTGCATGAATTGTCTTCAGCTTTTTCTTTATCCTTTTATTAATGAGTTATGAGTTCTTTACATGGTCTGGGTACAAGTCCTTTATCAGATATATGATTTGCAAGTATTTTTTCATAGTCTGTGGCTTGTCTTTTCATTTTTTTTTAATGGTTTCTTCAGAAGAGCAAAACTTAAAATTTTGACAAAGCCCAACTTATTTTTTTAATGAATTATGCCTTTAGTGTCATATCTAAGAAAGCTTTGCCTAACCTGAGGTCAGAATGATTTCCTGCTATGCTTTCTTCTGTACATTTTATTTTTTACATTAGGTCAATGGTTCTCAACTGGAAACAGTTTTGCTCTCCAGGGCACATTTGGGAATATCTGGAGACAGAGATTGTCAAAACTAGGTGTGTGTCAGGGGAGGGATGCCACTGGCATCTAATAGGCAGAGGCCAGGATGCAGCTAAACATTCTACAGTGCACAGGACAGCTCTCCACAGGAAAGAATTATCCACCCCAGCAAACGCCAACACTGCTGATGTTGAGAAACCCTGATATAGTCCACGTTGAGCTAATTTTTGTGCATGGTGTGAGGTAAGGATCCAAGTACTTTTTTTTTCTTCTGCCAGCACCATTTGTTGAAAAGAATATGCTGCTATACTGACTTGCCTCGTCACCTTTGTTCAAAGTCAATCAGCCATAAATATGAAGATTTATACCTGAATTCTCTATTTTGTTATTTGATTTACATGTCTATTCTTATGCCAATGTGATACTTTTGTTCTTGTTGTTGTTTTTGAGCTGGACTCTCTTGGGTTCAAGCTATTCTGCTTCAGCCTCCTGAGTAACTGAGATTACAGGTGTGTGCCATCATGCCTGGCTAATTTTTTGTATTTCTAGTAGAGACAAGGTTTCACCAAGTTGGCCAGGCTGGTCTTAAACTCCCGACTTCAAGTGATCCACCCGCCTCAGCCTCCCAGAGAGCTGGTATTACAGATGTGAGCCACGGCACCTGGCTGATACTTTGTAATTATTGTAGTTTTACTGACAGTTTTGGAATCAGGTTCTATAAATCCTCCAACTTTGCTCTTAAAAAAATTGTTTTGTCTACTAGAGGTTCTTTGCATTTTCATAAAAGATTTAGCATCAGCTTTTCAAATTCTATAAAAAGCCATCTGAGATTTTAATGGATTGCATTGAATCTATACGTCAATTTGAGGACTATCATCTTAACAATATTGCATCTTCTAATCTATGAACTTTGTATATGTCTCTATTTAAAGAAGTCTTTAACTTCTTTCAGCAATGTTTTACAGGTTTCAGTATACAGATGTTACAACTGTTGCCAAGTCTATTCCTATTTTGTTTATTTTTAGATGCAATTTTAAATGGAATCGTGGTCTTAATTTCATTTTGAATTGCTTATTGACAGTATATATAAATACAATTCTGTTAGGTTTGTATATAATCTTTAGGAAGATTGCAAGATTGTATATTGCAATCTTGCTAAACTTGTTATAAGTTCTTGTAGGGCTTTTTTTTTTTTTTTTTTTTGCATTCCTTACAATTTCTATACATAGTGTCTTGTATTCTTGAGAATAAAGACTTTTATTTCTTCACTTCCAATCTGTATAGCTTTAATTTCCTTTTATTGCCTTCTCTGGGTAGAAACTTTAATGCAACGTTGAATAACAGTGGTGAGAGCCATAAGCCTTTACAAATTTTTTTTAAAATTCAGAATCCTGAGAACCTCTAGCCCTATATGTTTTGAGTAAGGCTTTGCAGACCCACAGTAAGCTACTAATAGGATTGTTGAAAGGGTAAAATGAAGTACAACATATAATGTGCTTAGTGTAATGTCTAGCAACAGTCAGTCCTCATAAAATACTAGCTTTCAGAAAGAGAATCTTGACTGGCCACTGGCAGGCCAGCATCAGGGATCAGAACTTAACACTGGGGACTGAGGCCTGGGTGGGCAGAGGCTGGGCTGGCTCCGTGGCTGATGTGGTGGGGGATGGAAGTTCTCTGTGGCTTGTCTCCAGCATGAGTCAGCACAATGTTTGTCAGCCTCCTCAGGGATTTTTGGTGCTGTGGGAGCACTACCAAGCCAGGATGCTTGTGGTTATAGAGAAACATATGTAATGTGAAGCGAGTGAACTCAGGAATGACTCATTGTATTGAAGTTCAATTGCTGTTAGAGGATGAGTATCATAAGGGGATGATTTAGGTGTATACATTATTTTAAAACCAAGAGACAACCCTTCATTATTTCCAGTTTCTGTGGTTTTCTATAGAATGCCAATTCCTATACAATGCACTGCTACCTCCCTTCTCAAAGGTTCATTCTAGAAGTGGTTCTGTTATATTTGTTGAGGGACTTGAAATTTGAGGTAGGAACAACAGCTGAGATGAGCAACAGATAAATAACCCAGAGCGGGAACGGCACCACGATGAGGGCTCAGTGGCACCTCCGACCTCGCTGGGACTCAGCATCTCGTTTATGGTTCTCCTTGTAGAGATCCTTTGCCTCCTTGGTTATACGTGTTCCTAGGTATTTCATTCCGTGGCTATTGGAAATGGGATTGCGTTCTTGATTTGGTGCTCAGCTTGAATGTTACTGTGTTTGGAAATGCTGATTTTTGTACATGGATTTACTATCCTGAAACTTTACTTAAGTCATTTATCGGTTCCAGGAGCCTTTTGGCAGAGTCTTTAGGGTTTTCTAGGTATAGAATCATATCGGCAGTGAAGAGAGACAGTTTGACTTCTTTTCCTATTTGGATGCCTTTTATGGCTTATTCTTGCCTGATCACTCTGGCTAGGACTTCCTAGCATTTCATTTCTTTAGAAGGTGACAGACACATCAGTGTTTCTTATTTATTTATTTATTTATTTGAGAAGGAGAGTTACTCTGTTGCCCAGGCTGGAGTGCAGTGGAGCAATCTTGATTCACTGCAACCTTGGCTCACTGCAACCTCTGCCTCTTGGGTTCAAGCGATTCTTCTGCCTCAGACTCCTGAGGAGCTGGGACCACAGGTGTGTGCCACCACACCCAGCTGATTTTTGTATTTTTAGTAGAGATGGGTTTTGCTGCGTTGGTCAGGCTGGTCTCGAACTCCTGACCTCAAGTGATCTGTCCACCTCAGCCTCCCAAAGGGCTGGGATGACAGGTGTGAGCCACCGTGCTCAGCCACAAATCGGTGTTTCTGTGAATCAGCCCCAACTGCCAATTTCATCTCGAGGACGGCAGGCAAAAAGCGGCCAGTGGACATTGTGATCACTTGCTGGTGATGCTTTGCTCACCATAAAGCAGGCTTGCAGAAGTAAGACACTCAGATGTCACCAATTATCCTGTATAACACCCCCCATACCTATCTCCTTTCATTACTTTAAGAGAGGAATCTCCGCTAGATAAAAGTCACCTTAATAGCTGACAAATGTCTTTCCTACCTAATAGATAATGTATTAATAAAGATCGAGTCTAAGCCAAGAAACTTGCAGAGTTCTCTAGTTGTTCTCAGTAATAAAACAATGTCATTGAATTTCCATTCTTTATTTGGCAGTACTGTGCTCTAATGACAAAGGTTCTGTGACCTTTCAATTATGATCATGACTAAGACACAAAGACTGGAATTCTATAGAAGAGGCCTGACAGATCACCTGAGCTCAGGCGTTTGAGACCAGCCTGGCCAACATGGCGAAACCCTGTCTCTACTAAAACTACAAAAATTAGCCAGGCATGGTGGCACACATCTGTAATCCCAGCTACTCAGGAGGCTGAGGCAGCAGAATCGCTTGAACCTGGGAGGTGGAGGTTGCAGTGAGCCGAGATTGTGCCATTGCACTCCAGCCTGGGAAACAGGGCAGGACTCCGTCTCAAAAAATAAAAAATAAAATAAAAATAAAAAGGCCCGAAGCGTCTCTGAAACAGACATTCAGTCATCAGAAAGTCACCTATGAGTTCTTAAGAACCACAACACATGGCAAACATGATATCAGAAGTCATCTTGTATACGCCAGTTCCTTCTCTTCACAGTTTTGTTTCTCATTTGAACATCCAAAGACAGTTTTGCGAGCTGTGTGCAGTCACCACAGGCCAGTGAGGTCACTGTCATTGTGACAATAGGTAGTTTTCAGGGGCACAGACCTTGTGCTGGGTGATGGAATCTAGAGAGAGAGCGAAAAGCAGTTTAGCATTCATAATAGCCAGCCACATAGGAAAGTGATAACCTGTTTGTATATACATGAAACTATATTTAAAAACAAATAGCCAAGAGCTGTGTTGTCCATAGGCCCCCCCACGTCCATAGAGCACACATACCTTTTTAAATTAACGTGAAACGAAATTCAATACAATGAAACATTCAGTTCTCAGTCACACTGGCCAGTTCAAGTGCTTGGTAGCCACATGTCCCATTAGATGCAGGGCACGTTCCCGTTGTGTCAGGACACTCAGTGGGCAGGGTGGGAAGCTTGCCAGTCTGTGACATAGGAGCCAAGAATTTCTAATCTTAGCTCACCACTTCCAGTACTCTTGGCATAAGGCAGAGTATAAGTAAATACATATATGAGTTTTAATTATGACACCAGTGGTGAGAGGTAGGCCGTGCTATCCTATCTACCCAGCATAGGTATTTTTTATGGAATTCCAAGTGAATAAGCATACTTTCTAAAACTCTGTTCTTCATAGCTCAAATTAAAGAAGCTCTAAAGTCCCATCCGTTTGAAACTCGACTATTTTATGAAAATCACAAGTTGCGCCTGGCCCAGGATAGCGCTGCAGGTGCTGCTGAAGGGTCAGCACAGGTGATCCTGGCAGCTGGCGGAAACAACCCCTCCCTCTTTCCTCAGTCCTGGCAAGCGCACTGCATTCTATTCCTACTGTTAGAAAAAAAAAGGAATGAAATCCACTGTCAGCACCGATTGGATGATAAGGTAGATTAAATCAATTGCAATTAAAGAATCACAATGATTGTGTGAATATATAATTATAATTACAGAGTTACATTTGAAGGAACTTAAGAAGTCACACAGATGAGTGATGGAAGGTGGAAAGCTATCCTGGTGGTATGGTACAAAAAAGAAAAAAATGGGTTTAATCTACAAATATTTTTAGAAATGGAAGAAAAAAATGACTTATCTTAGTTATAGCTCAAGATAGTGTCCCAGAATTTAACTGTTGTCTTCTCAATACAAATGTGCTTCTACCCAGGAGGCCTGGGTCAGTGAGGGACCCTCAGATGAATTTCAGAAGGGAGGAACACTAACATTTGTGATAGCTTATATATATAAGAAATGATATAGTTAAAAACATTGTATATAATTATAACAATATTATTAGTACTAGGCATACTACTTAATTCTCTCCACAACAGTGAAGCAGGTATTATTATGATTTACATATTTTTTCTTTTTTTGAGATAGGGTCTTGCTCAGTCACGCAGGTTAGACTGCATTGGTGCAAACATGACTCACTGCAGCCTCAGTCTCCTGGACTCAGGTGATCCTCCAGACTCAGCTTCCCAGGTAGCCGGGACTACAGGTATGCACCACCACACCCAGTTAATGTTTTGATTTTTTGTAGAGCCAATGTCTCACTTTGTTGCCCAGGCTGATCTCGAACTCCTGGGCTCAAGCAATCTTCCTGTGCCTCAGTCTTCCAAAATGCTGGGATTATAGACATAACCCACCACACCTGGCTTGACTTTTCTTATGCAAACTTTTGCCATGTATAAGTTTCAATTTCTTATGTATTCAAATTATATCAACACTTTGTCTTATTGCATCTGGCTTTTGAGTCATAGGTAGGTGGAAGCCTTTTCCGATACTCAGGGTTTAAAGTCATTCAGCCACATTTGTATTTTCTTCCAGGTTGTAAAAACTCTATGGATTCAATTTTTACACTTAGTTTTCTGACTAGGTGTCAGTTTTGAAAAATCATAAAAAAATGCAGAAAAAATGATGCTCTTTCCAAATTCATCTAGAAATTCAATGTAATCCAAAAATTTCAAACTTTTCAAAAAGAAAACGACATGTTTATTCTAAAGTTTATAGGAAAGAAAAAAATGCATAGGAAGATGATTTTTAAAAAGAGAAATGATGAGAAAAAATTTGACATACCAGATATCAAAACAGTCTGTACAATTATAGCAGTAAAATAGAGGTCAGCACAGAATAGACAAACAGATCAATGGACGAGAATAACCAGAAACACACCCATACCATGTGGGAATGTAAGAGATGACTCACAGGGGGCAATATAGGTCAGTGTCAATAAATTAGTTATTAAAAACAACATGGTCCCCTCACATTATACAGTAAGTGAAATGCACATGCATTAAAGGTCTAAATATTTTTTAAAACTATAAATAGGAGAATATGAGATTATTTTTAAAGCTCAGAGGGTGAGGAAGGCCTTTCTAAGCAAAACCACAAGGGTAGGTGCCATGGAGGAAAAGAGGTGTTTAATTTTGTAAAAAATAATAGTTAAAAATTAAAAACTTGGTAATACTTAAGACACCATAAGCACAGCTAAAGAGACAGAGTTTTATAACACAACAAAAGTTTAATGTCCATATTATGTAAACATTGCTGTAAAACCATGTGAAAAATATAAATAACCCAATTTCAAAACAGTTAAGGGATCAGGACAGGTAATTCACGAATGATAAATCTCCTATCTAAGATATTCAGACTCATTCATAATTTAGTAATCAGGCAATTAGAAATTAATGAGATCTATTTTTTTAACTAATCGGATCACCCAATATTGAAAATATGGGTTATGTCCAGTACTGGACATGGGAATTTATAGGACATAGGAAATAGGACTTTATGTACCGTTAGTAATAGTGTAAATTGCTGCAGCCTTGTGTATCAGAATTTAAGTACACATATCCTAGGGCACAGTAATTTCACTGCTTGGAATGTATTTTACAGAAATCTTCATGAGCCTGGGCTCGGACTAGAATAATTCCAGCTCAAGAAAATCTCTTAAAATTGAATTCAGATTGTTCAGTTAGAAAACACACACACACACGCACACACACACACACGCGCGCGCACACACACACACACACACACACACACACACACACACACGAGTTTAAAATAGCAGAAGCCAGCCGTATTGCAGGGTTCATGCCTGTAGTCCCGCCTACTTGGGAGGCTAAGGTGGGAGGACTGCTTGAGCCCAAGAGTTTGAGGCCAGCCTGGGCAACATAGTGACATCTTGTTTCTAAAATAAATAAGTAAATACAATAGCAAAACAATGAAAATAACAGAAAGCACATAAATTAATTACAGTACCTCCCAATGGTTAAAAAGAATGAAGTAGCTGTATATGTGTTAAGCTGGAAGGATCTTCTAGGCATAGGGTTAAATAAAAGCTCCTGAAAAAGCATGTCATTCTCCAATATATATAAAAACAAATCCCTAAACAATATCTGTGTTTATATACATTTATTTCTATGTAAATATGTTTTTTTTTTTTTTTAAAGAGACAGGATCTTGATCCATTGCCCAGACTGGAGTGCAGTGGTATGATCATGGCTTACTGCAGCCTGGAATTCCTGTCCTCGAGTGATCCTCCCACCTTGACGTCCTGAGTAGCTAGGACTACAGGCATGTGCCATGACACCAGGCTACTTTTAAAATTTTTTTTGTAGGGACACGGTCTTTCTATGTTGCCAAGGCTGGTCTCAAACTCCCGGCATCAAGCAGTCCACTCACCTTGGCTTCCCAAAGTGTTAGATTATACATGTGAGTCACTGGACCTGACCATAATATGTTTACATTCATAAATATGTTTTTAAAAGAAATCTAGAAGATACACTTCTATCTTTATTGTAGTTAAGGAAGGGTTGTAAGACTGGAGGACCCTGTGTACTTGTCTACTGTTTGAGTTCTTTGACTATGAAATCAAATATCACTCCATCCACCCATCTACCCATCTACCCATGCACCCGTCTACCCATCCATCCAACCATCCACCCATCCACCCTTCCACGCATGTATCCTTCCATCCACGTATTTATCGTGGTGGGGATAAAGGCTGCCAGAAGTATCGATCTTTAAACAGAGACAAGATGGAACAGAAGCCTACATGTAACCTCACAACAAAGTCTGTACCTTACACCTCTCATGGCCTGCTCTAGGACATGCTGCCTGAGGAATTACACTGGACTTCTGAGCAGTGGCGTTGAGGTGCGCATGGGGCTGTGACTGAGTGTGCGGGCAGCACTCTGGGAGGTCTGAAGCGCATCTGACCACTGAACAAGGGCCGACAGCTCCAGGGTCATGTCCAGGGAGCCCCTCACAGCCCCACGTTCCTAACTGTAAACACACACAGGAAAAATGATTTCTATCCAAGTTTATTTGGCATCTGAACATAGCCACATCCCCAAATTCCAATGTCACTTCATAGGAATAATCCTCAAACATCCCATAAAATGTGGCCGTAGGACAGATGTTAGAGTAATGCCAGTCCTGGCCGGTGGAGACAGAGATGAATAGGAAGCTGAACTGCCCTTGAGCAGCTCCGTGAAATTTAAATTAAAAAAAAAATTTTTTTTTTTTTTTTTAAATGTAAGCAACAGTATTTAGCAGGTCTTGGCAGGCATTTACGCACAAGCTAAAGTTTACTAGCCATGGCTCTGTGTGGTCTTATGGTTAGGATACAGAATCAACATGCTACCAAAATTAATTTTTTATAGTATGGTGGGCAAGTCACTTTATTTAACTAAAACTGCGATTGCCAGCATCCAAGTGTGGTTAATGGTACAATGTACAGAAGTTCAAGAGCACACGGGACCCATGTGAGCTTCATCTTTGCTTATCAAAATAAGTAAGCATGTTAGGGCTAGGAGATCTAGCCACATCTCCACTCTGGTAAGGAATTGCCCAGCTCCCTCACTGTGGGACGGTGGTCACCCAGCCTCTGCGGCTTCATGGCTTAAGGCAGCCCTTAGCAGTAGAGCCCAGCAGGTTACAAATATTCCTAGAGTCGTTTCTCATAATGAGCCCAGAGCTGCCTGCTGTGTGATTTTCATCTGCTCATATCACATGTGTCCTCTTTCACACAGCAGTCCTGTAGGCACTGCTTCTGCAGACTGAATAAACCACTGCTCCTTCCGTGCTTCTCCCGGGTCCTGGCTTCTAGATGCCTCATTCTGGAAGCTCAGAACACAAGACTAGGTGCCACCTTCGAGTCTTCTTTCTCTAATATGCCACATCCAATGTATCAGCGAGTGCACCTGGCTCTGAAATGTATATTTAAAATATGACAACTTCACAACACCTCCATCGATACGTCCCTGGTCCTAACCCCCATCACTAATCACCTGAACCACTGCAAAGGTCCGAGACTGCTTTCTCTGCTTCCATTAAAAAAACATGTGTCAGCACTTTGAGAGGCCGAGTTAGGAGGATCCGTTGAGCCCAGGAGTTCAAAACCAGCCTGGGCAACATTGGGAGACTCTGTATCCATTAAAACAAAAATAAACACAAACAGAGTAAACAAACATATACCGCAGCCTAATCCTCCCACTTAAAATCGTTCTGTGACTTCCATTTATCCTTAGAACAGAACCCAAACTTCTTGCTGTTGTCTGTTAAGGTGTCAGTGGTCTGGAATGGTCCTGTCTGAAGCTGCCTGCTTCTCCAGCTTCATTTCCTATTGCTTTGTCTTCTCTCCCTTCATTTCAGCCACGCTAAACTTACCGCTTCTCCTGACCTCTCAGCCCTTACCATTCCTGGAAGGGCCAGTCCAATAGACCTACAAGAGTCCATCCTTCTCTTCATCATCTGGGCCTCAGCTCAAATGCCACTCACCTGCAAGGGGCCTACCTCACTCCTCCTCTCTATACTCACCCTGTTTTCTTCATTGCATTTACCACCAGAAGGATTTTTAAAGAAATTGTTTGCTGCCTGTCTTCTCTCTTAAATGTTAAGTCCCACAAGGGCAAAGGCTGTATATTCCTGTCAGTTGCTGTACCTGCAGTGCCTAGGATATGCTCGGCATATGACGAGTGTGTAGGAAATATCTACTGGGTAAATGAATGAATGACCTGATACCATGTGTTGTTTGAAGAAAGTAGCCCAGTCTAATAATACAGCAGTTCTCAACATATTCTTTCTGCTCTGATATTTGACTGGAGACATTCACATCGCTGATACTTCTCTAGGACATCCTAAGAATGTGTCACAGACAAGAAAGTCTGCCGTTTATGTGTGACTCCTACCACACCAACTTCTGTTTCCCATCCAGGAAATGTGTAAAAGGATATTACAGGTGGTGTTTCCCTTATCCAAAATGCTGGAGACCAGAAATGTTTTGAATTCCAGATTTTTTTTGGGGGGTGGTGGGTGGCATTTTTGGAATGGACAATGAGAGATCTTGAAGATAGGACCAGAGTCTAAAACCAAAATTCATTTATGTTTCATCTGCATCTTATACACATAGCCTAGAGGTAATTTTATACAGTATTTTAAATAGTTCTGTGCATAGACTGGTGTGATTGCCAGGTGCGACAGCATGACTGTAGTCCCAGCTACAACGGAGGCTGAGGTGGGAAGATCGCTTGAGGCCAGGAGTTAGAGGCTGCAATGAGCTATGATCGCAGCACTGTACACCAGCCTGGGCAACAGAGCCAAACTCTGTTTCAAAAAATAAACAAACAAATTTTGTGCATGAAACAAAGTCTGTGTACATGGAACCATCAGAAAGCAGAGGTATCACTATCTCAGCCCTCACCCCCATGTGGACAATCAGTGGTTGTGTGGCATCACCCTCATTCCTGACTGTGACTTTTTTTTTTTTTTTTTTGAGACAGTCTCTCTGTCACACAGGCTGGAGTGCAGTGGTGAAATCTTGGCTCACTGCAATCTCTACCTCCCAGGCTCAAGCGATTCCCCTGCCTCAGCCTCCCAAGTAGCTGGGACTACATGCATGTGCCATCACGCCCGGCTAATTTTTGTAATTTTTAGTAGAGATGGGGTTTTGCCATGTTGGCCAGGCTGGTGTTGAACTCCTGGCCTCAAGTGATCTGCCCGCCTTGGCCTCCCAAAGTGCTGGGATTACAGGCGTGAGCCACCGTGCCTGCCCGTGACTCTGAATTTATATGCTACTACCAAGCAGTCATTTCCTTACACTTATTCACACATAAGTACTTCACAGTAAAAAATAAGACATGCCATTAACACAGTGAAGACTTACGTGCTCAGGGGAGCTAAGCAGCCAGTGGCATCAGCAGAGACCGCAATCAGCTGCTGAACAACAGCAGCAACAACAAACAACAGCAGGCCTCTGCTCTCCCAACCATGCTGTGCTTTGATTCAAAGCTTACGGGACACGGCATTTTACATTTTAGGTGAGAAGGAACATAAGAAGCAGTTACAGGCCCAGGAAGTGGGTCCTCTGGGGACGAGGAGGCATTCTGCTGGGGGGCTTTTTAATGGTATCTGCACCACTAACAATGGTCTTAGAACCGACAGCTCCTTTCTGTTGGTTCAGTGTACACAAAGTTTGTTTCATGTACAAAATATTTACTTAGTTTTTTGGGTTTTTTTGAGACAGGGCCTCGCTGTTTCCCAGGCTGGTGTGCAGTGGCATGATCACGGCTCACTGCAGCCTCTAACTCCTGGGCTCAGGCAAGACTCTTACCTCAGCCTCCCACACAGCTGGGACTATAGTCACGTGTCACCATGCCCGGCTAATTTTTTTTCTTTCTTTTTTGTCTTAGGATTCTTTCTTTGATTTTATAAGCTGACATGATTGCTTGTTCTGTTGTGAATGCACGCTGCTCTGGGCCTCAGTTAACCCATCACACCTGAGCTCCACGCTGTCCACGGGTGCTTTTTCTGCAGTGTTAACGTCATCTTCATGGTCGGTATCATCACGATCACCTTGATTCAGAACCATTCTGGCTATTTCCCCAACAGTCAATGAAATGAACAACCGGAGCCTCATTATCAATGTTAAAAATGACATTAATGTGTACTTCTTCCCGCTGACTGATGAACTCTGAAGGTATATTTTTTGGAGGTCAGACATCCTTTTCTTCTCACTTGACAAGCTGAATTCTTCTAAACCACCACCTGGTTCATCATCATCACTGAACACAGTCGTAGGCCAGAGGTCACGCCAGGCACGCACATCTGTGTCTTTAGTCACTGTGTTGCAAGCGTTGGCAACAGCATGTATGGCATCCTTCATGCTCAGCTCCTGAAAATCTTCTACACCTACACCTCCGTTCACTGCTGCGAGCGTGCAATTCAAGACAGTGTTTTTATATTTACTTTTCATTGATCTAAAGATACCCTGGTTACAGGCTCAACTAATGAAGTCACGTTTGGGGGAAAGTACACAGCATCAATATTATCTTTGATGAGAATTTCAGCTGGAGGATGAGCAGAACAGTAGTCAAGGCATAAGAAAATCTTGCTGTCATCATCCGGTCCAACTTTTCTGCAGCGAGCACAAGAGGCCTGTACGAAGTGTTTGTAAAACCGATCAGAAAAGATGTCCCTGGTGATCTATGCCTTTTTGTTAGCATAATAATGGACTGGTAAGAAATTTACTCTTTGAAAACAGCACGGACAAAAGCTTTTGCCCATGAGAGCAGGTTTACACTTATGCGTGCCTGCTGCATTTGCACAGCACTGCACAGTCATTCTGTCCTTGGCATCCTTAATTCCTGTAGGGGCTGTCCCGTCAGCTGTAGTCAGCATCTTTCTGGGGCAGTAGCACCCAAATGGTCATGTCTCATCAGCAATACAGACTTGTTCTGGCATCAGATTTTCATTAGCGATAATCTTGGCAAACTCGTCAATGAGTTTCGACGCTGCCTTGTGATCTGCAGATGCTTTAAAACTTGAATTCCATGTCATTTCTTAAATTTCTGCAACCAGCCTGTTGAATATTCACAGTTCCCTTCAATTTTCAGTTCATCAGGATAGATCTTCGCTTGTTTCATGATCAGCCTACCACTGAGTGGCACGGGTTCAGTGTGATGCCTTCAGATCTAGTTTTTCAATACACTATTCACATCTTCATTTTTAGCTTTACGTAGAGTTTTTCTATTTTTCATTAACTTCTGCTCATCACATTCAGCATAGAACTTCAAAAGCGTATCCTTCTGTTTCTTCAGGTCATGTATGGTGGTCATCCCAACACCATACTCTTCTGTAAGACGCTTCACACTTATACTGCTGTTCAGTTCCTCCAACAAGTTGACTGTTTGTGCTATTGATAAACATAAATTATTCCTCTTTTTCTGATCACTGTTACACATAGGGGGATCTGCAGGCCTTTTCGACATTTTCAGTAATATTTTTACATGACACTGCAGAGAATAAGCAAAAAACCACAGTGAGTAATGCATGGAGTTCTCGGCCCCACGTGAGGTATCGTGGGGAATCTGCGTTGGGTGCGTCCAGCCTGCACACGTGCCATTTTATTACACATTGTGGGCGTGCTTGTGTGGGGGAATTTGGGTGTGCATGGAAAAGTTATACTATAGTTGAAGGGGGCTGGGTGGGTCTTTTTTTTCCCTTGGGGACGCTAAATCAACTGTGTCGTGCACCTGTGCTTTGACTATGCCCTGTCACATGAGGTCAGGTGTGGAATTTTCCACTTGTGTTGACAGATTGGCACTCAAAAAGTTTAAGATATCGGAGCATTTCAGATTAAAATTAGGAATGTTCAACCTGTATTACATGGCTAGCCTTGAATCCACTATTATTTACTATGTTTTCTGTTACATTTTATAATTGTTTATCATTGGGTATACAAATGCTAAAGATTTCAGTGAGTGGATCTTACAAAGAGGAATTTTGCTGAATGAGTTGTAACAGTTTATTGACTCTCTTTGATGTTTCTATGTAGACAACTGTATGACATGCAAACAAAATGTGTCCCTTCCTGTATAATTCTTGTAATTTTTTTTTATTTTATTCCCTTGACTAGGAATCATAGAACACTGTTGAAGAGTAATAGCATTCATGTGTGTCTTGTACATGATTTAAGCCTTAAACTAAGGTTTTCACCATTCAATATTTGTTGTACGTTTTTTATAGATAACCTCCATAGTTAAGAAAGTTATCTATTCCTGGTTTCTGAAGAGTTTTTTTTTTTTTTAAATCATTACTCGGCATTGAATCTTCCCTACTGCTTTTTAACACTACTAAGAAAATTAATGGATTAGAAAAAAGAAGACTTAATGCTATTCATTTATCCTTTCATTCTTAGGTTAAACCACACTTGGTTATGTGTGTGTGTGTTTTAAAAACACACTACCAAATTTGACTTGATGAAATATCTTATTTCTGAGTTTTTTTTTCTTTTCTTCTTCTTAGACAGAGTCTCACTCTGTTGCCTAGGCTGGAGTGCAATGGCGCACTCTTGGCTCACTGCAACCTCTTTCTCCCAGGTTTAAGTGATTCTCCTGCCTCAGCCTCCCGAGTAGCTGGGACTACAGGCACGTGCCACCACGGCCGGCTAATTTTTTGTATTTTTAGTAGAGATGGGGTTTCACTGTGTTAGCCAGGATGGTCTCGATCTCCTGACCTTGTGATCCGCCCCCCTCGGCCTTCCAAAGTGTTGGGATTACAGGCATGAGTCACTGCGCTCAGCCTCAGATTTTTATGTACTTGTTTACAAATGAGTTTTTTAAACCAGTATTAGGTCAAGATCAATGTAGCCTTGTAAAATGAGGTGAATAGATTTCTTTTTTTTTCCTGTAAAACTTTATAATGTTTGGTAAAACTTACTACTAAAACTATCTGTGGAGGGTGCCTTTAAAAGTTTGATAGACATAACATAAAATTTACCATATTAGCTATTTTTAAGTGTCCACTTCAGTGGCATGAAGTACATTCGCAATGCTGTGCAGCCATCACTACTATTAATTTCTAGAATGTTCTCATTATCCAAAACTGAGTCTCTGTAGCCATTAAACAATAATTCTCCACTCCCTTCCTGCCTACTCCACCCTTGGTAATTCAACTATAGTTTGTCTCTGTGACTTTGTCTATTCTAAGTTCCTCTTATAAGTGTAGTCGTATGATATTTGTCCTTTGGTTTCTGGCTTATTTCACTTAACATGATGTTTTCAAAGTTCATCCACAGTGTTACATGTATCAGAATCTCCTTCCTTTTTAAGGGTGAATAATATTCCACTGTATGGATAGACCACATTTTGTTTCTTATGCATCCACTGATGAACACTTGGGCTTCTGCCTTTTGGCTATTGTGAACAATGCTGCTATAAATGTGGATGTACAATTATTCTTTTGAGATCCTGCTTTCAATTTTTTTGGCATATACCCAGAAGAGGAATTGTTGGATCATACAGTAATTCTACTTTTCATTTTTTGATGAACTGCCACACTGTTTTCTATCGTGGCTACAATATCTTACATTCCCAACATTACATGAGGCAGACACAAGGTTCCAATTTTCCACATCCTTACTAACACTTGTTATTTTCTGGGTTTTTTTTTTTTTTATAGTAGCAATCATAATGGGTGTGAGGTGCTGAGGTGCTATCTCATTGTGGTTTTGATTTGCATCTTCCTAATGATTAGTAATGTTAAGCATCTTTTCATTTGCCTATTGGACATTTATATCATCTTTTTTGAAGAAATGTTTATTCAAGTTCTTTGCTCAGTTTGAAACTGGGGTTTTTTTTTTGTTGTTGAGTTGCAGGAGTTCTTTATATATTGTGAAGATTAACCCGTTATTTGCAAATATTTTCTCCTACTCCATAGATTGCTTTTCACTCTGTTGACTGTATCCTTTGATGCACTGAAGTCTTTAATTTGTATATAGTGCAATTTATCTATTTTTACCTTAATTGCCTCTCTGTGGCTTTCATGAGCTGTGCCCACCTCTTTCTCTTGCCCACCTTGCATGTTATGTGAGATGGAGATGAGGATCAATCCTTCAGGTATGAATCAGCTAGACTAGAACAGATCATGTCTGGTCTGCTCCCTGCAGCTTGAGGAAGGGAACTGGGAACTGGGAACTGGGTTGCCACCATGTGCCACAAAACTTTCCTGCGGGCTTGAAGATGGCTTTCCTCTATCAGGCATTTGCCTGGTTGCCGTATGCATTTGGTGGTTGTTTAGAGCACCTTTTAGAGCACCTGCAACATCTCTGCAGACAGCTTCTGCCTGATTTTAGCGGTTTCTGTGTTGGATGAGAGGTTAGAGTTTCCTCTTCTGTCATTTTGCTACCATTCCCATGTACAGGTGCCTTTTTAGTGGCTGGTGAAAGGAATACTTTTGATTGCCTATTTGACTTTTTCAAATTGTTACTTTTTAAAATTTTCTTTTTTTTGTTGATATATAATTGTTTTTTTTTTTTGTTTTTTTTTTTTAGGACAGAGTTTTGCTCTAGTTGCCCAGGCTGGAGTGCAATGGCACAGTCTCGGCTCACTGCAACCTCCACCTCCCAGGTTCAAGCGATTCTCCTGCCTCAGCCTCCCAAGTAGCTGGGATCACAGGCATGCCCCATCATGCCTGGCTCATTTTGTATTTTTAGTAAAGACAGGGTTTCACCGTGTTGGTCAGGCTGGTCTCTAGTTCCTGACCTCAAGTGATCTGTCCACTTCAGCCTCCCAAAGTGTTGGGATTACAGGCGTGAGCCACTGTGCCCAGTTGATGTACATATTTTACCTATTTAATTTTTTTAACGCTTGAGCTTGTTTAGATTTTCTATTTCTTGAATCAATTTTGGTAACATTTTTCTAAAAATCATCCATCTTACCTGTTTTCAAATTTATTGGTATTAAATTGTTCATCATGCTCTCTTATGATTTTAAAATATCCTTACGATAACTGCAGTGACAGCTCCAATTTCATTCTTAGTATTTCTCCTGGAACCCTATCTCTGCCTTTCTTTTTCAACATTGTCAGGATTTTTAATATTTATAAGTTTTTCCCAGCCAAAGAAGTCAGTTTTTTGCTATTGCTGAGCCTCTTATTTGCCTTGCTGCCATTTTGCTAACATTTGGTATTGCCTCTTTTATTTCTTTCCTCCTGTGTTCTTCAGGATTACTTTACTGCCATCCATTTGTTTTCAAGCACCAACATTTAAGAAAAATTGACTAAAAAATAAAATGAGATCATTTCATCCAACTACTTTTTTCTCTTGCTCCAAACTGGGGAAGTTTGTGGAACACCAGGTTCTGTGGTACAGTCTGAGACCACAACAGTCAGTGGCTGTGTAAACAAAAAAGAGTTTTCCACTTGCTGGGCCCAGCCTAAGATCCTGCTTCTTACCAAGGAAGATTCTAAACTGAAAATCAGGGGCCAGGACTGGGGTTCTGGGTCTTTCAGTAATTCACTGCATGACTCTGGCCTAGAAACTCAGAGGCCCTCAGTTTCCTGCTGTCTAAAAGCAGATTTCTGCAGGTGATATCAGAATTCATTTTGGGCTGAACTAGTTTGCTCAGGCTACCATAACAAAATGCCACAGGGTGGGTGGCTTAAACAGCAGACATGTATTTTTTCACAGTTCTGGAGGGCAGGAAGTCCAAGACCAAGGTGTCACAGGGGTTAGTTTCTCCTGAGGCTTCCTGGGAGACTGCTCGGGTTGCAGATGGCCACCTTCTCCCTGAGTCCTCACTTGGACTCTTCTCTGTGCAAAAATATCTTTGGTGTTTCTTTGTCTTCCTTTATTTTATTTTTATTTTTTTGAGATGGGGTTTTGCTCTGTTGCACAGGTTGGAGTGCAGTGGTGGGATCACGACTAACTGCAGCCTCCGCCTCTTGTGTTCAAGGGATTCTCCTGCCTCAGCCTCCCAAGTAGCTGGGATTGCAGGTGCCCACAACCATGCCCAGCTAATTTTGCATTTTTAGTAGAGACGGGGTTTCACCATGTTGGACACACTGGTCCCAAACTCCTGACCTCAAGTGATCTGCCGGCCCTGGCCTCCCAAAGTGCTGGGATTATAGGCGTAAGCCACCACGCCTGGCCTCTTCCTCTTCGTATAAGGACACCAGTCATATTGGATTAGGGCCTTGCCCTTATGACCTCATGTTACCTTATTTATGTCTTTAAAGGCCCTAGCTCCAGATACAATCATGTTCTAAGGACTGGGAAGGCTTCAACCTATGAATTCTGGGGAGACAAAATTCAGCCCATAACATGAGCTCTGTCACTTTAGGTCACTTTAGTTTCAACACTGACTGTCTAATATGCAACAACAAAAAGAAACACAAGTTCAGCATACTCCAAAGACACAGGAAAATCTCTCCTACAGTCATAACCCAAAGCATGAATTAAGTCGGTCAGTAAGCAAAGACAGCCTAAAACCAAGGGCAGCTTCCCATTAGGAGGTTGAGCTTTGAAGTTTCTTTTATGTCCATTAACCTTTCTGATCCTCAGAGCTGCAAGGCAGCTGTGACACACTTGGGCATTCACCCCAAGCACGGGAGTGTTTGCAGGGGGCTTTGTGAATTTGTACAGCAAAATAGTCTTCAAAGTTTCCTGCCACAACCAAAATGCTTGGAGCAGCATATACATGGCTGGTTTCACTTCTCAAACCAACCACCACATTTCTAATACACATAAAATGTTGCCTTGTCTACAATATTTCTTATTCTGAATTGAATAGACAGCTGACTCCTGTATTCTAGGATTTTTTTGGTCTGCTTTTAATGTTTTTTTTTTTTTTTTTTTTTTTTTGAGACAGAGTCTTACTCTGTTGCCCAGGCTGGAGTGCAGTGGCGTGATCTCGGCTCACTGCAAGCTCTGCCTCCCGGGTTCATGCATTCTCCTGCCTCAGCCTCCTGAGTAGCTGGGACTACAGGCACCTGCCACCACGACCGGCTAATTTTTCTGTATTTTTAATAGAGACGGGGTTTCACTGTGTTAGCCAGGATGGTCTCGATCTCCTGACCTCATGATCCGCCCGCTTCGGCCTCCCAAAGTGCTGGGATGACGGGAGTGAGCCACTGCGCCCAGCCTTAATACGCTTTTAAATGTTTACATCTCTGATGCAATTCACATCCAGTGAGTTTAGTTCTGTTGGCATAAGTTTAACGACGGGGACCCAACAGGTTAGGAAGTTTCAAAGATAACCATCCAGGACCATTAGTTTGACCAATAAATGCAATGAAGGGAGTGCTTAGAAATTCATTTTCTGAGCAAACCTTTCCAAAGCTAATGGCAAAATACTGTTTTAGGAGCTAGCAGTTAGTTAATTTTTTTTAAAACCCACTAATGTTTATATAAATATATATATATAAACACATATATATTTTTAGACAGGTTCTCACTCTGTCGCACAGGCTGGAGTGCAATGGCATGATCACAGCTCACTGCAGCACTGACCTCCCTGAGCTCAGGTGATCCTCCCACCTTAGCCTCTCATGTAGCTGGAACTATAGGCTTGCACCACCATGCCCGCTAATTATTGTACTTTTTTGTACAGACGAGATTCTACCATGTTGCCCAGGCTGGACTCGAGCTGCTGGGCTCAAACGACCCACCCGCCTCGGCCTCCTAAAGTGCTGGGATTATAGGCATGGGCCACCGCACCTGGCTGAGATATATATTTAAAAGCCTAAACATCTCAGATGTCGACATTACCAAATCCCACCAGTTTTAGTTCTCATTCATTTATATGCTGGTAGATTTCGTCTGTTTTAAGAACAACTCAAAGGAAAAATAATTCTTCATATTGTCTGAATTGTGTCTTTGAATTCCACAAACATTTTCTGAGCGGTTGCTGAGCTCCTGGGTGTGGAAACCTGGGTGGGGATAAAATGAGGCCGTCCTTGGAGGAGAGGGGCTGGAAGGGGGCAGTCCCCGTCCTCACTCTCCTCTCTGCCACTCTCCACAGCTTCTGCAGATGGCCTCCCCTCTCTGCGACTGGTTCCTTATCGAGGCAATGGAGATGTGGACTGCGGTGACTGATCAAGCCTCACATATCTACTGAATCAGGAAGCCCGAAGGCCTGAGGCCTCCCGAGTGGCCCCATGGGAGCGTCGTGCATTTTTCTGGTCAGTCAGTCATTAGGGGAAACGATGAATGAGCCAGGCCAGCATGAGAAGGCCTGCATGCTATCGGATCTTTTTCCTGAAAACATCGACATGGGACATGTTCAAACCAAATTTTCTTTATAAGTTATAAGAAAATCAGGCGGAGGCTAAACTTTTTTTTTTTTTTGGCAATGCTGTTGAGAATATTACATTATGTTCCCACAATAGCATAAATGTATGTCTTATCACTTGAATGGAGCCCAGACAATAAAAGGGCGCCTGAGAGTGGAAATACGCCTATGAGAAAGGCCAAGCCAGCCTTTCGTGATAACAGCAGCAGGGAGGGAAGAGTGCACAGAGCTGACCACAGCACAAATGTCGCAGACCCTTGAGGACCGCGCCAGGGCTCAGAGCTCCACCCAAGGGCTTGTGATCCTCACCCCAGCCAAGTTCCTTCAGACCCCAGGGTCTTCGTTTCGTGACTTATAAAATGGGAATTATATGTCATGGGAGTGTTGGGGGGAAAATGCAACCATTAGCAAATGCTTTCAAATATAATATGTATTATCAATATCAGGTAAAGGTAACATTTTATTTCCTAGGGCCGGGAATTTGATTTTTGTTTTCCCGTTTATTTTTATCCATGTTCAACCACCCACAAGTGTGCTCTCTCAAAACGCAAAAAAAAAAAAAAAAACAAAACAAAAAAACCAAACAACAACCCCATTTCTCCTTCTGGTTGAATGATTCATCAAGAATCTTGGCCCAAGTACAATACAGTTTCAGGGAAAAAAGACTCCAGGGAATGAAGAGGGAACGTAATCATGCCCTTTCCGATAACCCCGTTATTAGGCAACGCGGCGCAGATGAAATTCTCCAGGGAGCAAGTGAGTGAGGCGTGGCTTACATTTTGTATACTGAGCCCTGTTGAGTGACTTCACACCTCCACTCCCTGTTCTATGCCAGCAAGGTGGGGCAGCTGGGGTGGCGGGCGAGCTGAGGGTCACCTCAGAGCTGAGGTCGAAAGAAATTCTTACAAGTAAAATAATCACTAACAATTTTTATCGTCATAGATATGGAGTTGTTGGTCTTGAGAGGCAGACTGTGCAGGAACAAAGGCTGGCGGGTGGACTGTGGTGCTCGGATGCTGCAGTCCCAGGGGAAGAGCTGTCGTTTCAGTACCCACCTTCCTTTCCCTCCTCTGGCCACAGAATACTAATAATAATAAAGAAAGGAAAAGAAAAGAAACTTCTCAGAGAGGTTCCTAGTGGCTAAAAAACTCCTGGTTCTCCACCCCCTGTGAGTTTACGACATCTGCAAAACAAGACTGTTAAGATACAGAAACAATATAAAGGCACTGAAAAATGATTCTTTTTTTTTTCTTTTTAGAGATGGGGTCTTGCTCTGTTGCCTAGGCTGGAGTACAGTGGTGGGATCGTTGCTCACCGCAGCCTTGAACTTATGGGCTCAAGCCAAGCTCCCACGTAGCTAAGACAACAGGCATGGGCCACCACGCCCGGCTCAAATTACTCTAAGACGCTCAGGGACCCTACCTTACAAAGCAGTTGATATTCCAGTTTGAATAAATTTAATTGATTTTTTTTTGAGTATTGTCTTTTCATAATTTAATTTATTTAAACAAAATAACTTCTTTTTCGATTTGGTGCTTTAAAATGGTTTGATATATTCCTAGTTTTTCAATATTGCGATATTTTGAGAATGAAACATTGTCCAGAGAAGCATTTGTTATAATGGAAATGAACGGGAGGAAAAAAAGTCTCCAAAAGACACAATGTGCTTTGTCGAAGGGGCAGGGATGATGAGGACACATCCATGGATACCGTCAATCTGCCACACTTAAGAAGCCTACGCCTGCCACAGGGCATTTGCGCTCTCTGTGTTTCCTCCTTTAACCAGCATGTGGGGTAAGCAAGGTGGAGGCTATGACTCTGTTTTATACATGAAGTAAATGCATTCCACAGAAAATAGGTGATTTCGGCCAGGCACGGTGGCTCACGCCTGTAATCCCAGCACTTTGGGAGGCCGAGGCAGGAGGATCACTTGAGGTTGGGGGTTTGAGACCAGCCTGGCCAACATGGTGAAACCTCATCTCTACTAAAAATACAAAAATTACCTGGGCATGGTGGCGGGGCCTGTAATTCCAGCTACTGGGAAGGCTGAGGCAGAAGAATCACTTGAACCCAGGAGGTGAAGGTTGCAGTGAGCTGAGATCTCATCACTGCACACTCCAGCCTGGTGACACAGCGAGACTCCATCTCAGAAAAAAAAAAAAAAAAGTATATGATTTGTTTCTGGTTAGAGAATAAGCAAATAGCCTGGACCTGGATGAGGCAGGAAACGCAATGCCCTGGACTGTGTGTTCTGTAGGTTTACGTGTGTATGTATGGACAGAAAAATAAACCTTCCTTTATTTGTACATAGCGGCAGCTACCAGATTGGAATTCAATTCACAAAGAGAAAAATACAAAAAAATCTACTTGTCTATTAAAGGATAATGTTTAGCAGAGGGTGAGAAAAGCCAGAAGTATGTACGGACAGAAAAATAAACCCTTCTTTATTCGTACATAGCTGCAGCTACTAGATTGGAATTCACTTCACAAAGAGAAAAATACAAGCCAATAAATACTTGAGAACTACGTGATCTTACATCTCAGAGAGTGTGGGCTGGAGAGGCCTGGTACACTGGAGAGGTCTACTACACTGGAGATGCCCACTACACTGGAGACGCCCACTACGCTGGAGACGCCCACTACACTGGGGTCTGGTGGCCGGCGAGTGAGGGGACCTGTCTCACATGGGTGAGGTCTGCAGCACACACAATACCCAGATGTTACCAAGGGCACAGGCAGATGGCATAATTGGTGAGAAATCAGAAACAGGACACAAGTTACAGGAGGAAAGAAAAAGAGGCTGGGGCCTGTGGCCCAGGCCTGGAAGTCAGAGAACTCTGAAGGGCTTTGCGGGATCGAAGCCTCAGGATTAAGCAGGTAGACATTCGCCTCCTGAAAACCCACGGGCGGGAGAGCCGAGCGGCAAAACAACCGGAGGAAGTGAGCAGCTGCCGAGCAAGCGTGACTCCACACAAGGACGCAGGACCCACAGGAAGGGGCTGTCAGAGCCACCCAACCTGGAAACACGAGTGCAGAGGCAGGCTCGGGCACTGCACGGCACACGCTTTGCAAACTCCAAAAAGACTGCCTGTTGATATGCACTGTGGATATCAATCGTGTGCACAGTTCCGTCAGCTGGCCCAGACATGCTTTCAGGCCCAGTTCTGTTCTGCAGTCCGTGGCATTTTGATAATACACTTCTCCAGAAAAACAAAACAACAACCTCTGTTTCAGAACATAGGATGTTTTGAAGGTTATATTCTTGGCATTTAGAAAAGAGTAAACAGCCTCTTAGCTTTTGGACTGTGACTAAAATCAATAGTTTTTTTTTTTTTTTTTTTTTTTTTTTTTTGGAAGTTGGTTTCCAGGCAAAAGATGAATTACTCTGCACCAGAGTAAAAAATTACTTTTGATTGCCACACTTCTAAAATATATGAAAGGATGACCATCAGTCATGTAAAAGATACTTGTAAAATGTCCGTAGTTAGATACGAATGTAACTTGAACAAACACAGTATCTACTTGTCTATTAAGGGATAATGTTGAGCAGATGATGAGAAAAGCCAGAAGTTTAGGATTTAGAGACATGCAAAAGTACTAAGAAAGGAGACTGAATAGGAAACATGGAAGGAGATGGAAGCAAAGAGAGAGAAAAAGAATGAGAGAACAGGAGAGAGAGAGAGAGATTGAGAGAGAGAGAGGGGATGTACCTCTAAAGTCGGGTAAGGATCTTGGCCCCAGGGGCTGAAACTAGAGTGATTCATTGTTATGGGCTGAATTGTGTCTGCCCAAAATTCGTATGTCGATGTCTTAACCCTCAGTAACTCAGGATGAGACTGTATTTGGAGATGGGGCCTTGAAAAAGACAAGTTAAAATGATGCCACTGGGGCTGGGTGCAGTGGCTCACACCTGTAATCCCAGCACTTTGGGAAGCCAAAGCAGGAGGATCGCTTGAGCCCCGGAGTTTGAGACTATCCTGGGCAACATAGGGAGACCCCATCTCTACAAAAAAAAAAAAAAAAAAAAGAAAGTAAAGCTGGGCATCGTGGTGTGCACCTGTAGTTCCAGCTACTTGGGAGGCTGAGGCAGGAGAATCACTTCAGCCAGAGAGGCTGAGGCTGCAGTAAGCTGTGATCATGCTACTGCACTCCATCCTGGGTGACAGAGCGAGACACTGTTTCAAAAAAATAAATAAAAGCAAATAAAAGTATGCCATTGGGTGAGCCCTAATCCAATCTGACTGGTATCCTTAGAGAAGAGAACATTTGGACACACACAGAGATACCAGGGATGTGTGTGCATGGAGGAAAGGCCACGTGAGGTCACAGGAAGAAGGCAGCTGTCTGCAAGCCCAGGAGAGAGGCCTCAGGGGAAACCAACGCTGCCGATACCCCATCTTAGACTTCCAGCCTCCAGAACTGAGAGACAATGCGTGTTGTTTGAAGCCACCCAGCCTGTAGTATTTTGCGATGGCAGCCCAAGCAAACTAACATGTTTATCACAACCCCATGGAGGAGGGTGTGGGATTTCCCCACAGTGGAGCCCTAGGCTTGTCCCGCCACATATGACTCCACCACAGGGCAGGTAATTTCTAGCACAGACGCTGCCCCTGCTTCCTCCGCATTCCCCAGGCCGTCCTTGCTTCACACTCTTCCTTAACCCTCTTCTCCGGGGATCACCTGCAAGTCTCCTGGAGCCCGTGTGTTAGCACGGCGTGGGGTTCCAGCCTCCTCCGATCTCAGCTCAGCTCCTACCACCTCTTCCTCCCCAGAATCGCACACGGCGCCTGGCGCAGCTCCATGAACGCCAGAGTGGGACATTACGGTCACACTGTGCTCACTTTGTCAAATAAAAGATGGAGTCGTTTGACGTCTTTTAACACCCTTTGAGCACATGAGCAGACGGAGTGATCATGAGATGTACCTGGGAGAGGAGATGACAGGGACGGGGGCTTGGGCCCCAGTGCCGGGCGCTGCCAGGGACTCCTGAAGCAGGACAAGGAGGCACTGGGGAGGGAGGGTCTAAGAGGGGTGCCCGGAGAGTCTGTGCCCACAGGGGTGGCCCGGGGTGGCTTTGGGTAGCCTGGATTTTTCACACGAGCCAGGGAAGTCAAGTGGGGAAGTCCAGTTAGAGTTCCCATTTCCTCGTGAACTGTACGTCTGCTAACAGCAAGGAGCGGGAATGCCGAGGGTGACCACACGACGCTGCCAGGGCAGATGCTGGAGGCTGAGACATCAACCCAGGTGCCCCAGCTGCGTGGAAGGGGGTGTGAGCCTGACGCCGCCCTCCCTGGAAACCTGTCCACAGATCTGGACCACACCACAGCGTCTGTGTGCCTGGATTCTTACCTAAGACCCATTTCTCAGACAGATACTTGACTGTGGCTTTCTTCTTTCCGCTGTAGGGCCCGATGACGATGCTGGCCTGGCGGGGGACTTGGCTGACCCGGCCTCCGCACAGGTGGACTAGTTCACAGAGCTTGGCCACTGGGGGGCTGCTGGCAGGCGAGACAAACATCGCTGGCTGGTCGGCAAAGAGGGTTCCGCGGTACGGCCCTGCAGACAAGTGGCACTCGCTTCGGCACAGCTGTGGGGCAGACAGAGATAGAATTACAGAGGTGGGACCACTCCAGTCTCCATAGCGTAGGCGAACTGTTGCAGTTTACTTCCTTTTTTATGAAAAGAATAGACTGAATGTAAGGCTGCCATGCTCCTGTGAATTTTGAATTCTGAGAATCCAGAGAAGATGATGACATTAATGACATAAAACTGACGTTTTCTGAAGTAGCCATGCGTAAAACTCCAAGGAAACAAATTAGAAAAAAAAAAGTGTAGGCCTTTGAATTATTCCAAAGCCTCAAACAAAATATTGAAAAGCAACTGTTAGCACAGCAGAGCCATAGCTAGGCTGAACTCTCACTAAAGTAACTTGGTGACGTGTGCAAGTGACGGCAAGATTCTAATGCACTGCAAATGCCGGCTGTGCTGGGAGAGCGTCATTCAATCCAGCGCGCTCCAGGCTGTTGGCAGAAAAGGACTTTTATAGGATGTAAGAAATGCTGTAAATCCAATACCATGGTCTGGACGGGGAAAGGGAGAGTGAGGCAATGCAAAAGTAGAATTCCTAGAGCCATTCCCGAAACACGCTGGGTTTGGGGGAGAGAGGTGTCTCGAGATTGTTTCAATGAGCTGTTGGGAAACATTTCAGAAGCAGGGATGTGAAGCTGCTCTGCTTCTCATTCTGGCAATGTGTGGTCATCTGTTTGACTCAGAGGACCGCGGGAAGGCCCAGTTATTCTGAACACGCATTTTCCTAACTACGGGTTGGTAAAGACTTCTTCAGTGTACACACCCTGCGAGATGCTATGGGTTATGTGCCATCCACGTTTTGTTTTGCGTATTTTCCCTGCTTATTTTTCCTACAATATCTGAAATTAATGGTTCACACAAATTAGAGATTTGAGGGGATGTATTTCGGGGAAGGGATGAAGGGACCTTCTCAGAGGAGTATAACCTGGGGTGGGGTGACGTCGGGGTCCTCTCAGTCAGGGGCAGCAGGCAAGGCTGACCTCGGAGGCAGGGGTAGGGTGCAGGTTGGGGGAAGAGCAGCAAAGAGTAAATTCCACAGCCCACATCACTCACAAAATCAGAGAAACAGTGAACTATTCTTCTGCTAGGTTTTCCTACTACTGTAATATTTAACAAAAGAGGATCCTACTGTGAAAATATAGCTCCAGCATCAATGGAGTAGATCCGATACACTTATATATGCTCATGGAATTTGCTTGTTCTCTCCCCTTGTGTTGAATTTTATAGCATAATAAATACCGAGCCTCAGCAGCTTTCATGTGCCTTGCAGGAGACAGTGGCAGCAGGGGCAAATGATTCTTCCTGGATGGTGACTTTGTGAGTATTTTTGGCACTATATCCTGCGAGATAGGCAGTGGAAAGGGCTACTGATTTAATTTGCAGACAAAGAGACTGAGCTGATGCAAGGCAAGAGATTTGCTTTGGCAAATGGTGAGTCACACTGCAAGAAAAAGCCATGGTCCCTAGCATCACGGGGCCAAGCTGCATGGAAATGGAATCAAGAAAGAGTATCTTTCATTTTAAAGTAGGACACACATACATTCAAAAAGTTAATTATGAAAGTATCTGGCCGGGCACGGTGGCTCACACCTGTAATCCCAGCACTTTGCGAGGCTGAGGCGGGCAGGTCACAAGGTCAGGAGATCAAGATCATCCTGGCTAACATGGTGAAACCCTGTCTCTACTAAAAATACAAAAGATTAGCCAGGCGTGGTGGTGGGCACCTGTAGTCCCAGCTACTCGGGAGGCTGAGGCAGGAGAATGGTGTGAACCCGGGAGGTGGAGCTTGCAGTGAGCTGAGATTGTGCCACTGCACTCCAGCCTGGGCAATAAGAGCAACACTCTATCTAAAGAAAAAAAAGGCTGGGCGCAGTGGCTCACGCCTGTAATCCCAGCACTTGGGGAGGCTGAGGTGAGTGGATCACTTGAGGTCAGGAGTTCGAGACCGGTCTGACCAACATGGAGAAACCCCATCTCTACTAAAAATACAAAAACTAGCCGAGCATTTTGGTAGGCGCCTGTAATCCCAGCTACTCGGGAGGCTGAGGCAGGAGAATCGCTTGAATCTGGGAGGTGGAGGTGGCAGTGAGCAGAGATGGCGCCACTGCGCTCCAGCCTGGGCGACACAGCAGGACTCTGTCTCAAACAATAAAATAAAGTATTTGATTGTTGAAGCAATACGGAAGGGTATAAAGTAAAAAGGGGCTTTTCCTGTTAGACACTGTTGTCTGTGTCTTCTTTATTGGCAGAACAAAGACTTCTTCTGGGGGGCACCGATCTCCACCTGGCCATGTCTTCAAGCCCAAGGAGAAGTCCCAGGATGGGTCTGAGCTAATCACGGTGATCGCAATACAAATGACTGCGCTAAGCATGGCACAGCTGGCCTCAATCCTGGCCAATGCAACGTGAGAATCAATTGCTGGTGGGATTCTGGGGGAGTTTTTCTCACTGTTATAAACAGATGCAAAGCAGAAATACTTCTCTTTGCTGGACACTGTCATGTCTAATGTGACGCCTGGATCACTGAAGCCCCCAGAGGCCACGGGACACGCTGAAAATGGCCCAGTGGGAAGGCGGAAAGCCTTGGGTCCTGAAAAACACTTCTAAGTCACTGACGGACCAAACTGAAATCATCCTTTATTTTGTTCTTTTCATGTCAGAAAAAAAGACCCCTAAATTCTTTAAGTGACTTTTTTGTTAAGTTTTTGTTTCTAGAAGCCCAAAATATCCTAATAATAATAATTTTAAATAATCCACCTATTTTTGGAAATAGCTTGTTCATCATTGAGATTATGAATAATAGATCAGTTCTCACCCCTGCCTTCCCCACCATTTACCAGAGTTAACAACTGTGAAAAATTCTCTGTGTATTTTTAAAAATCCTGTAAAATGCACACACAACACACACACACATTTATGATAATGCTTGTTCTTAACCAAAAACTGAGATCTAATCTCTATCTCACTATATGGATAAGCAGTAAATAAACCTTTTTGTAATGCAGTAGAAAAGGAAATCAACCTCTCGAATGTTTAGGATGTGACTTCAGTAGCTAGTTTCTTTGTGCTGTGACACTGCCTTCAGAATTCTGATCTTGGCCAATTTTCCTATCCAGCAAATAAAGCACCATTTCCCCCACACTGGTACATTTTAAAAAGTTAGCTGTGAATTCTAAGCTGCAAATATTAGATGCAGCAGGCGGTGTTCTCATTGTATCACCACTGGCTCTCGCCAAGGAGCCTGTGTGTTACCTGGAGATCAAGGCGAAAAGCCTCAAACGCACAAATTCTGAAGTCAACTTGCTGTTTATTATTTTCATGGATTTTTCAATACCCTTGGTAATCGCAATTTACAGCAATGTGCTCTAAACTCTAACTTCAGCTGGGCAAAGTGGCTAACACCTGTAATCCCAGCACTTTGGGAGGCTGAGGTAGTTGGATTGCTTAAGCCCAGGAGTTTGAGACCAGCCTGGGCAACATAGGCAGACCCCATCTAGATAGATAGAAAGATAGATAGATAGATAGATAGATAGATAGATAGATAGATAGATTAGATAGATAGATAGATAGATGGATGATAGACAGACAGACAGACAGACATAGATAAGCAAGCCCGGCATGGTGTCACATGCCTATAGTTTCCGCTACTTGGGAGGCTGAGGTGGGAGGATCACTTGAGCCCAGGAAGTTGAGGCTGCAGTGAACTGTGATTGTGACCCTTCACTCCAGCGTGGGTGACAGAGCGAGACCCTGTCTCAAAACAATACAACTCCCCACCCCCAACAAAAACCAATGATTCTAATTTCATTGCAAACCTTTACACACACACACACATGCACACACCCCAGAAACAGGAGTGCGTGCAGGACATGTGGAGGGGACAGACGTAAGTTGGGGAACGATGGCTCGGTGGCATCGTGTTGTTTTATTTTTGTTGTTACCTCAGTGAAAACCTCAGATATAACCAGGCTCATCTATTTATATATTGACCCAGAAGTTTCTAGCTAAAAAATGTTAAAAGATAATTTTTTAAAAATCATAACTTTTGGGAAGCTGAGGCAGAAGAATGGTGTGAACCTGGGAGGAGGAGCTTGCAGTGAGCCGAGATTGCGCCACTGTACTCCAGCCTGGGCGACAGAACGAGATTCCACCTCAAAAAAAACAAAAAAAAAAACAAAAAAAACACCCCCCCCCCACCAAAAAACCCATAACTTTCATACAGGTATAAAATAAACAACAGTGTATTCATTTTACTTAACTCAAATGCTATAACTGGTTCAAAGGACAATCCGAAGAACACATTTAATGATTAGGAATACTGATATAAACTTGCTAATGGACAAAAAATATTGGCTTTCCTACAAGGTAGGAAGCATTCCCTCTACCAGACAGAATTCATTTCCTGCCCACAGACAAGCGCGTTTGCATTGCCAGCAGCTATTTACAACTTATGAAGCTGTAAAACAGCTCCCAAGCAATGAAGGCTGCAAGCAGATAAGGTGGCAGGCCGTGAGCAGGCCTCAAATGGAGTTTTACAGTGAAGCACAAATGTTCCCCTACAGAACCCAAGATGTCTCTTTAAAAGAAATCATGAAAGAAGAGGGGATTAAGTGGAGCTTATGGACTGCTCCAGGGTTAAGTGGCCTCCAAAATAAACAACAGGACTGCTCAGTAGTCAGAGTGAATTTTGGGTGGGGTTTGAAAGAGTTCCAGCTTTCCTCTGCTAATGGTGACATAAAATGTTCATTTCATACCCATGCATATACACTGATGTATACATGTAGTTGAGGAGGCAGTGGCAGAAGCCAGAAGGCTTTCTCTGCCATGAGCTCCTCCTAGGAGCCCTGGGTTGCAGAGGGTGAGGACTGCTAGGAAAGTCCGTCAGTTAAGGCCGAAGGGACATTAGCTTTGCCTTAAACCACATTGGCTGTGCTTGCCTTTGTGTCTTCACCTGATTTAATGGGTTTTAGCTCACACTCTCCGAATCTATTTACCTCCAAGTCAGTTAAGGCAGACTGTACTGTTGACAAAGCTAAGCAGAACAGAATTTCCCCATGGCTTCTAGCTTCAAGGAATCCCAGCTATTTATCCATCACCAAGAAATGAAGCCCCATGGGTGGCTGACGGTTCATTTACTCCAGCCCAGGGTGTTGGATTTCAATTAGTGCATTCGCTTTTCCCTCTAGGCAGAGCTCACCCTTTAAAGTCGCTCCTTGGCCTGCTAACTGTCTTAAGATGCACTTTCCCATCTCAACAATGATACAGGACGTGTCTTACAGGGCTGTAGTTCTCATTCACAGCATTCTTCCTCTGAGTGGTCCAGGAAATACTCGCAGGCCTTACAGTCAAGTCACCTTAGATTTAAAGTACGGAATACGCGAAACCTTCCTAACTGGTAAAGCGCTCAGTAATGCAAGCTCTGGGTGCAACTCAGTGGTTCTTAGTATAGTCAGAGTTATGCGATCATCAGCACAATCTACTCACACCCTCCTCGAGGTATTAAATAAATATTTCAGAATCCACAATGCAGCCAATCTCATCAATAACTTTACTGAATCCTGTAGCCCAGCACTCAGGGGTTCTCTAAAACCCTGCCCCGCCTTCCCCTCCAATTGCGGTGCCCACTGTCTCTTTTAAATAGACTCTGTCCTCATCAAGCCTGTTCTCTGTCCCCCAAATATGCCGTATCATTCCTTAATGCATGCATTTTTTCCCCAGTTCCCTACAATCTTATAATTAGTGGTTACGCTAATCTATATGTGTGTTTAAACTCATAGAATTGTATACAAAAAAGTCAACTGTACTGTGTACACACATTTAAAAGATAAAATGTGTTCTTTTAACGCTTACATTGGTCTACTTTCCATTTTTTCTTGGATCCTGGCAAGGCCTTCCTGTGCTTCCTAAGACATAAAATCCTCCTCCCAGCACCTGCCTCCTGCCCCCAACTCAGGGCTGAGCCACAGAATCAATGCACGCATCCCCACATCACCCCCTGCAGAAGTACCTGCACATTCGTTCGTTGTGTCGTTAAGTGAACTCATTTCATTGTGAGTATCAGGCTAAGTTCTGAGGATGCAAAAATGCAGGGACATGGTCTTTGCTTCTCAGGACACCCTAGAAGTTACACACATTTCATGGGCAGGAAAGTGGGAGCCTGAGTAGGCTTGGGGCATTGAGGGAGGACTTCCTGATGGTGGCATGTGACATGGAGTCGTGAGCAGAAAGACAGTTCCTCACGGAAAGCACACAGGAGCCCCTCAGGTCCTGAGACCTGGGTGTCTGAAGACTCACGGCATGTGTGAATGCAGCCCAGGGGATCGGCAGGCAATAATTGCAAGAGCTAACTTGCTAAAACATTCACATGCACGCCAAGTGATGAGGTGTGGACCAGACCGTTCGTGCTTACGCAGTGTGAGCGTGGTTACTGGGGACCTTAGAAACCTGAGCAGACAAGGCCATGGGGGGATCCGTGTGTTAGGAGGCTCACTATGCAGACAACGTGGAGGACAGATGGAGGGGTTGAGATCAGGAAGACCCAAGAAAAAGGGATGGAGTAGGGTGGGGTATGGGGTTGGGGAAGGGAGGGAGATTCAAGACAGAATGAAAAGTCAAACTCACCAGGAATCCAGTAATGTGACTGGCTTCCTGTGTGCAAATGGGGAGGTGAACACTAAGATACCACGGGGGCCACACAGGCATGTGTAAGAAAGCTCAGCTGTCGAGGTTTTGAGGTTTCCAATGAATAATCCATCTTTTTTGCCCCCAGCTTCAATAACAACTGAGAGGCAGATATAGGCATTGAACTACAGAGACAAGTCACGTTGATTATTCATAAGGCTGGCTGCAGATTGGGCGTTAGGCCAACGGACGTGTGTGTTTGCTAATGTCCTCTGATAACTTAGAAAGACCACCCACCAAGCCACATGGGCACTGGACAAAGGGCCTGCCTCCACGCAGGGAGGGACAAGAGGGGGCGAGAAATCAGGCTTTTTCCAGGAGGCAGTACGTAGTTGTGGTAAGATTTGATTAAGTTGGTCTTCCTCTGGAGGAGATGGGGGTGAGGGGAGGAGGCGCCAGCCTGGCAGCGGAAAGCTATAAAGGAGGCAGGCCCCTCACCACGCATGGGAGGAGGCAGGCATCTGAAACCTGGGGCACCTGACCGTCTTCCATCGTGAGTCCTGTCCGAGCGGCCAAGCTTTGGTGAAAGCCCTGGCTCTGCACAACCGTCTCCAAAACCATATCCTAGTGCTGATCATTGCAAAAGAGGTGAAGTCAGACCCAGAGGCCACCATTTGGAAAAACAAAACATTTTTAGGAGTCTAACCTTCTAAAATAATTCTCAGTGTAGAGTTACACGTGACAATGTGGCCTGCACTGAGCCCATCAAAGTCGGCATTAACTGGTCTTTGGCACCAGGGAGAAGTACAAACGATGTCTGCAGCCTGTGGACCTTAGAAAAACCAGAGAAATAGGAACGGAGCACACCATTAACTATTCTGGTGATCACTTCAATCCCATTAAAGTAAAAAAGGTCTTCAGATGGGGAAGTCATGGAGGCTCCTGAAACTCTGCATCAAGTCTTCTCCCTTGGCGATCAAAAGCATCCCTGCCCCTGGCTGCCACCTCAAAGCGTCCTGTTCCCTGGCCGTCCACAAGCCAGCTCCACACCCCGTGCTGCTAGACGGGGGTGCCCACTTCAACCTCGCTGTTACTGTCATTCCTCTCGGCCCTGATGACTCTGTCTCTATCTCCATCACTGATCCTGTCCCACTTCCTGGAAGTCTCAGGACATCCACAGGTGCCCCTTCCAACCCCCTCACCCCCCGGTCCCTTGGGCTCCTGTCTCCCCGGGGAACTGCAGAATCCCTTGCAGCTTCCTCCGTAGCTGCCACCTCCCACCTTGTCTGCAGCCCCAGGCCCCTGCCCAGCGGATGCGACTGACTCCCGCCTTCACCCCTCCATGTCCCAGCCCCTAAACCAGCACACAGCCCACCACCCCCCCGTGACTCCCTGGCCCTTCTCTCCACGTCAGACTGAGTCAAACCACAACCCGGGTTAAATTCAGATGCCGAGCTTCTCTGCACCGGCATCGCCGCGGGTGAATCTGGCTGGTGTGCCAGTCCCCTGACCGTTGGCCGTGTGGCCCTCCGTGTTTCTATCCACTGTTTCTACCCGGCTCGTCCTCCCCTCCTCTGCCTGGCCATTCCCGTCTGCCTGGCCTTCAGCCTATAAGCCCTTTCTCACGCTCAGCCGTGGCTCCCCACTGAGGACAGTGGAGTAACAGAGATGTCTCCTGCTTCCCGGCACCCGGCACCTGCTGCAGGCCTGCCTTCCTCAGAACCCCAGGCTGCTGGAGAGGAACCCCCATATGGAAGGCCGATCCCCCAGCAGGCCAACCCCATGCCTCTCGCCTTCTCAAGGACACGCTCCATCAGGTCTTCCTTCTGTCCCGTTTGTCATGTTTTGGCTCAAAACCGTCACAACAACAAAGAACACAAATGCTGTTATTTCTCCCAACCTGCAAACCCCTTCCCTCTTCACTTCCTTTGCATCTTTTTGTAACAAAACTTCTTGAAAGAGTGGCGCACGCCCACTAAACTCACACGCTCTGCCTTTGCTTCCACCACACCCACGAAATTGCGGGGTTCACAGGCGGTTCTCAGTCCTCTTCTCAGAGGCACCACCAGCTGGGAGAAGGAGCAGGACATGGAAAGTGCAGATAGCAAAAGCAGGTGAAGCGGCGATGTGAGCGGAGGAGGCGCCCAGAACACCAGGCCAGGCAGGGGAGGTCGGAACAGAGGCAGGCCAGCCAGCTGGGCAGAGAGAGCCGGAGCAGGCCCGCAACCAGCGGTGCCGGACGCAGTGGGGGTCAGGAAGCCCAGGGTGGAGGCTGCAGGGATGAGGACATGCACTGAGCGGGGCAGGCACCGGTGCTGAAGAGCACGGGTCGGGGAGGATGTGGACTAGCCAGGTCGCAGAGGTAATGGAGAAAGGGGTAGCCCTCAAAAGACAGGCAGCAGCACTGCCAGGCGGCACGTGGAGAAGGATGAAAGCCTCAGAACAACTCTCCAGCTGGGGCAGAAGAGTTATCACGCCCGGGAAGTGGGCTGGCTGTGGAGGAGAGGAGGTTGGCCTTGGGGAAGGGGGGCTTGGCTTAAATAGGCAGAATGTGATGGGGCAGCTAGTCACCAAATTAGGCAGAGTGAGGGGGTGACACTGTGCTATAACGAGAAATATGTATTTGGTTTCTGCCCCGGGTTCCTGGCAGTGAGCCCCTAAACCCTTGGAATTCCCCGAGCGATGCAGAAGAACGTCCTTCATCATTTATCACAAGCCCTTTCCAACCCTACCTGCGTGTATGCTAATGAGGTGGCTCCTGGAGGCTGGGGGCCGAGTGCCAGAGGAACGTGCCCAATCTTTGGAGGGTTGAAACTTTCAGCCCCACCCCCGCAAGGTCTGGGGTTCACTCAATGGCCAATGATTTCATCAGTCCTGCCTATGTAATGAAGCTCCTTAAAAATCCCGACGTCAGGCCGGGCGCGGTGGCTCACGCCTGTAATCCCAGCACTTTGGGAGGCCGAGGTGGGTGGATCACGAGGTCAGGAGACCGAGACCATCCTGGCTAACACGGTGAAACCCCGTCTCCGCTAAAAATACAAAAAATTAGCCGGGCGTGGTGGCGGACGCCTGTAGTCCCAGCTACTGGGGAGGCTGAGGCAGGAGAATGGCGAGAACCCGGGAGGCGGAGCTTGCAGGGAGCTGAGATGGCGCCACTGCACTCCAGCCTGGGAGACAGAGTGAGACTATGTCTTTAAAAAAAAATAAAAAAAAATCCTGACGTTAAAGGGTTCAGGAGCTTTGGGGTTGAACACACCCTGGTGCAGGAGGTGATGCCCCCTGAGAGGGCATGGCAGCTCCGTATGCCCTGCTCCCCGGCCCCGGGCCCTGTGCATCTCTTCTCTGGCTGTTCATTCACATCCTTTCAAAATAACGTTTGTGATGAATTGGTCAATGTTAAGTGTTTCTCTGAGTTTTGTGAGCTGCTGCAGCAAGTTACAAATCCCAGGAGGGGGTTGTGGCAACCCCTGATTTACCGCTGGTCAGTTAGAACGGGGATTTGGGACAAGCAATTGGCATGGGTAGGGGGGCAGGCTTGCGGGGCTGAGTCCTTCACCTGCTAACTCCAGGCAGGCGGTGCCACAATTGGATTGTAGGACACTCAGCTGGTGTCTGCAGTGAACTGCAGAATTGTTTGGCATGAAAAAAACCCATACATTTGGTGTCAGAAGTGTTTTCTGAGTGTGTGTGTGTGTGTGTGAGTGTGTGTGTGAGAGAGTGTGTGTGTATGTGTGTGTGTAGCAACAGTAGAAGCAGTAGCAGTAGTAGGAAAAACAGGAGTTTGTTTTCTTTTAGAGGAACAGTTCTGCCTGCAGCTTGCAGCTGGAGAGGGGTCTGGGAGACATCTGAGTAGAGGTGACAAGCAAAGCCACAAGCGCATGGATTCATTTTCTGCTAAATTTGCAGTTCAAAAGTCCCAAGTTTCAATTTTGTAATATGAAACACTGTCCGTGAAACAGTTCTTGAAAGAACAAGAAAGGTTTTTTTTTTTCTGGAAGAAAAATCAGCGTCTTATGTTCTTAGTTTTAAGGAAATGGGCATGAAGTTGTCTCGAGTGTATGAAGACAGTTCTGTCAACTTCTGGCCTGGGAGACCCCCAGGCTCTGGGAAAGTAAAGATAACAGACTTGAAAATGCATCCTTCTTTTGGAAGTGGGCTTAGGGGTCTGTACTTTCTAAGCAGAATGATTATAGTTTTTCATCATGGGGGAAAAGAAAGCCTTAAACCAGGGAGCTAAAAAGAAAGAAGATAGATGCTGTTCTTTTTCCTTTCCCTGGGCAATTTTGTCACTGCAGAAAGGAAACAGACTGGAGGAAGATTATGGCTTTTGCTAAGAGTCGAACTAGAAAGGCTGAAAAGAGCAGCATGCAATGACAGTTGACGCCAGACTTTGGGATGGTTGGAACAAGTAGTGAGATTTAAGGTAAGTTATAAAAGGATATTCTAATCAGTAGCCAACAACATGGCTTGATTAGGTTAAGTAAAAGTTAAATGTCATAAATGAAGACACCTGATTGTAACTTAGAGTTTGTCTAAAATCAAGGTGGCTCGTGTTTTCCAAACCGCCTTCTGTCTGCATCCCAGCTCTTGCAAAAGAGAAGAGGGCTCAGTGGCAACCCAGCCCCACACATCTGCATCTATTTAAGAGAACCAGAAGCATGAGCATTTAACAGTCTGACAATGGAGACAAGAGGATGTCAAAGCAAGGAGACTCTCAAGGCCAGTAAAAATAGCGAACATGACTTAGAGGGTCCTTACGGCTCTTGGCAGTAAAGGCCTCAGGCAAAACCATGTGTTGTCAGGCCTGGGAGTATCGTTTATATAATCGGCCTTGCTTTTAATACTGAGATGTTTCAGGATGTTTCAGAAATAAAAGTTGAGAGAACTGCCAAAGAACTTATCCAGACAAAAAAGGAGGTGATGGCAGAGGAGGGTGTGTAATAAGGCAACCATGACCTGCACCCCCCTCACCCTCTGTGGTTTACCTGGCAGTCTGTGTGTGGGGGGGGGGCGGGGGGCATTGCTTTGATAATGAGATTCCCGGCAAAAATAAAATCTATGATGTTGTCAAAGAGCATGGCAGGCGAGGCCTGGGAAATGAGAAGTGGCTCACTCTCCCGGGACATCCTCCTCAAATTCTTATTTTATGCAAAAAGTAAAAGCGCATCAGGATAATCGCTCCCGGCTTAGCTTTTCCAAAAGCCACATGCAAATGGGACTTTCTGTTCTCCATGACGAACTAGCAGTTAAAGGAAGGCGGAATGTATTTTTTCCCCCTGACTTTCGCTGAAGGCGATTCAGACAACTGACACTGGAACTCAATGAGCGCCAAACTTGGATTTTTTTAAAGCATCATTTGAGGTTTTTTTCTTTTAAGGCTACATAAGTGATGGGAACATAATCGTCTTGGGAATCCACAAATAACTTTTTAAAAAGTCATAAATCTGGATTTCATGCCTCATAGTTTTCAACAACTGCGAGAAATATGTCAAAACTCGAACGCGGTAGGTTTCTGTCCCCGATAGTGGGCACACGCTCATGCTCTGGGTCCCGTCCATGCGCTTTGGTGGTAACTGCGTGAACTAGTCAGCAGCATGCTGCCGAGATGCCTTGGTTGCTTTTCACTGTCGTTTTTCAATATTACGATAAAATGCACAGGGAAAGAACTACACAACTTATAGAAACTTTGATTTCATCCTTAAAAAATGGTCTGATAGGTGGCATAGAAATTTGTAAACCTTATAATAACACGAAAGCAGGTCCACAATGTCATTGAAAGTTGGGGTTTTAGGCGAGAATTTGGGCAGGGCCACCCCCAGCAACTCTGCAGTATTCTGTGGGTCTTCATGCTTCAGAGGAGAAGCTCATCCTAGCTGTGCATTCTCATCGCCTGGGAAGCTGTTAGAATGTTGTTTTAGGGGCCCCACCCCACGCTAATTAAGTCAGAACACGGGATGGAGGGTGGTGAGGCCTAGGCATTAGTGATTGTTAAAGCTCCCTAGGTGAAGCTAATGGGCTGCTCAGGCTGAGAAAAGATTTTACCATGCCCGTGGTTCTCAAACTTGACTGCTAGGGCAGTCACCCGGGGAGTTTGAAACAATTCCAGTTGCTGCAGCCCCAACTCCGAGCATTCTGATTGAAGTATACGAGGTTTGGCCAGAGTAGCAGGAGTGACAAAATTCTCCCCAGACGATTCTAATGACAGCAAAGGACCGAATGAGAATCACGGAGGCTCAGAAGAGCAAGCGGGTCCATATCTCTAACAATAATCTTACATCTGTCAGTGAGCACTTAGCAAGTGAGTCCTGCTGCCCTGCACTGAGCACAGGAGAAGAAAACAGAGTCCCTGAGTCCCTGTTCTAACAAGCTTGAAGGTTAGGACAAGAAATCAGGGCAGCAAATGCAGTGTCAAGTCTAACAATTAGAAAGACACCCAGTGAAAGATGAGCTTCCTTTTTGATGGATACAGTGCTACAATTCTCAACGCATTTCTCCTTGCGATTGCCTTTAGGCCGACGTCTGCCTTTCCTCTCCTACTCACCTGTGAACACCTCAACACCTGCTCAGCCCCCCTGCCACCAGCCGGTAAGCACGGGCAGGTGAGGCCTGGCATTGTTTTCACTGTGCTCAGCTCATCAGGGTCCGGGCAGGCCGTGCGACCTCTCCCACCCTCGCACGTGAGTCAGCTCTGTCTGCCTTTCCTGGTTTGCTCTCCAGTTCCTCTGCTGAGGCTGGAGTCCTGCTGTGGGCTCCAGCTCACCTTGCTGGAGGTGAGCACTCCCCTCAGCCCCTGCCAATCCTCACCTCCTGGGGGTGGATCAAAAAACACTATTCCAAATGGTTGGTCTGGCCTTTCCCAGCTCCACCCACTTCTTGGGCGTGAATGGATCACTTTATTGCCAAACAAATCCGGGCCTGGTAGGTGTATTAGTCCGTTTTCATGCTGCTGATATAGACATACCCAAGACTGGATACTTTATAAAGAGAAAGAAGTTTAATGGTCTCACAGTTCCACCTGCCTGGGGAGGCCTCACAATCACGGCAGAAGGTGGACAGCATGTCTTACATGGCAGCAGACAAGAGAGAAAAATGGGAAGCAAGTGAAAGGCATTTCCCCTTATTCACCATCAGATCTCATGAGACTTATTCACTACCATGAGAACTGTATGGGGGGAAACTGCCCCCATGATTCGATTATCTCCCACTGGTTCCCTCCCATAACACATGGGAATTGAGGGAGCTACAATTCAAGATGAGATTTGAGTAGGGACACAGCCAAACCATATCAGTAGGGAAGGAAAGATTTCTTTCCTCACCCATTGCTAGGTTCATGGCTGGGGCCCTTCCCTGTAACTAAAGAGTAACAAGAGGAAAACAGGCACACATATTTAGTATGTGTTTCATGTGACTCAGGAGTTATCACAAGGAAAGGAAGACCCACAGAAACAGGCAAACTTGGGTATTTTGTACTTAGGTTTGATGAAGAGTGGATAGTGGTGGAGGAGGTGATTAGACAAACTGGGAGTGAGCTAATGGTGATAAACTGGGGTCACTGAGAAAGGCCTGTTTGTTCTGATTCTTCTCTGTGCTCTGTGTCTTCAGAGACAAGGATGTTCCTTTCCTCCAAGTATTGGGAAAGACTCTCCCAAATGAGGATCTTATAACCTGCCCCAGGGGAGAAGGGCAAGGAGGGGAAAGTGAGAGGGGCCTTCCTGCTTTTGCGATTTTCTGAAATGCCAAGGTGCTATAAATGGGGACAGTGTGTCCTGAACACCATCAGCCTCTTGGTTTCCAAATGCATTAGTCTGTTTTCATACTGCTGATAAAGACATACCCAAGACTGGGCAATTTACAAAAGAAAGAGGTTTAATGGACTTACAGTTCCATGTGGCTGGGGAGGCCTCACACTCATAGTGGAAGGTGAAAGGCACATCTCACATGGTGGCAAACAAGAGAAGAGAGCTTGTGCAGGGAAACTCCCCCTTATGAAACCATCAGCTCTTATGACACTTATTCACTATCACGAGAACAGCATGAGAAAGACCTGTCCCTGTGATTCAATTACCTCCCACAACATGTGGGAACTCAAGATGAGATTTGGGTGGGGACATAGCCAAACCGCATCACCTAAGGTTGCTGATGCTTTATTAGTTTTGTTGTGGATGCCACACCTTCTCACATACACCTTCTCACATACACTCTCCTCCTTACTAGAATATCTCCATTCAGCACAGCCTTGCTCCCTGTGTGGGAGGGGGCAGGAAGCAGCACATCCTCCTGACACTCCCTGGTCGACAGGCACTGGTTTATGCTGCCGGACCTAGGGAAGTTCCCTCCAACTAGGACAGGGACCTTGCTTTAATAGAACATGAACACCCACCATATATAGGTTAGGTTTTTAAATGAAGCCTTTACTCAAAGCCATGGTTTGGTTCAAGATGTATAAAATGCAACACGGACTGTTGGGAATTTTCAAGTTGAATTGGAATGAATTGTATTTGATTTCTCAAAAGCTTTTTACTCTCTTCTTTTGAGAGTTGCTAGATGTTTTAGATATATTATTTTATGTGCGAGTAAATGGAAACAACCTCATCATTTCAAGGCTTCAGTAATTTGTGTTGCCTTATAATCAGGCATATTCTTCAAAGTATGAACAAAGTACTCTCCAGAATCTTGCAACACTTTGGGACTTAGCAATTTATTGTCTGCCTACAGGAGCCACTGAACTTATCAAAAGCTTTACAACTTACTCACAATTTTTTTATTAAAACAAAACTTACCAGTGTGGATTCAGTTTTTTAAACAAGCAAATTGGCTTTAAAAATTTTTTACAAAGCCAGGCATGGTGGCTCATGCCTGTAATCCCAGCATTCTGGGGGGCCAAGGGGGGTAGATCACTTGAGGTCAGGCATTCGAGACCAGCCTGGCCAACATGGAGAAACCCATCTTTACTAAAAATACAAAAATTAGTTGGGCATGGTGGCAAACACCTGTAATCCCAGCTACTTGGGAGTCTGAGGCACGAGAATTGCTTGAACCTGGGAGGTGGAGGTTGCAGTGAGCTGAGATCGTGCCACTGCACTCCAGCCTGGGTGACAGAGTGAGACTCTGTGTCATAAAAAAAAAGATTACAAAAATAATGTCTGTGATTCACAGAACTTAAAAACAAAACTTGATCTCTTGGCATCCTTCTGGGGAAGGCCCAGATCAGCAGCCACTGACTTCATCCCTGCTTAGAGTCTAGAGTCCAGCTACTATGTGGTCTGGCTACTCAAAGCACAGTATTGTTATTTCATAAGACAGTAGAGGTTTACAGTTACATCTTGGTTTAAGGACATATTGTTCGTTTCCATGATTTATTTGCTGCGGAGTCTTTGGTCCAAAATGCAAACTCCCATCGCATAACACTTTTCTGCTTTTGGGGAATGCATTGGAATGAAAGGCAAGGACTCCCTGCTCTAGTTACAAAACTCACCCCTGGGTGAAACAAGCTTTTTTGCAAGGAGTGTGAGTCCCAAGCGAACAGGAGTACAGGCAGGGAGGAGAGAAAGGGCAGTGACAAGCTCTCAGGAAGGACAGATTCTAGCTGGATATCAACTTTTGGAAAAAAGAATATAAAATTCCCCCAACATGAGTAACCATTCCAGATTCAGGGACCCAACAAGAGCGGGGCTGGGTGTCAGGAGACCTGGCCTCTTTCTGGGTCCCCAAGCACCTGCTGTGGGACCAGGACCACTGAGACTCACAGGGAGAGGTCAGGCGACAAGGAGGGACATAGGGTCCTGTCGGGGTGACCTGACTTCTCTAGTCCTTAGTTCTTCCCCTCTGAAATGAAGGGATGGCACCGAACAATTTCCTAATTTTCTTTCCTTTTGAAAGTGTTTGATTCTGTGGTTCCTTCTGATCTTCTTGCTCTTACTCCTCCTTACTTAGAGACTCAATTTCCCCCCAGCTAATTTCAAAAGCTTCTATTGTACTTAAGTTGGTAATTCTAAGAAGTTTTGTTCATAGTATAAAAGTAGGCTGGGCTGGATGTGGTGTCTCACACCTGTAATCCCAGCACTTTGGGAGGCCGAGGCAGGCAGATCCCCTGAGGTCAGGAATTCGAGACCAGTCTGGCCAACATGGTGAAACCCTGTCTCTACTACAAATACAAAAACTAGCCAGGCGTGGTGGCACGCACGTATAGTCCTAGCTACTTAGGAGGCTGAGGCAGGAGAATCACTCGAGCCTGAAAGGCAGAGATTGCAGTGAGCCGAGTTTGCGCCACTGCACTCCAGCCTGGGCGATAGAGTGAGACTCCGTCTCAAAACAACAACAACAGCAAACGTAGGCTGGAGAATTCTGACATGTGCTCTCACATTCCACTGTATTTTGACCGACCCAAGCAAAGAGTCTTGGAGGTTTGTTAGGGAATGTTTAATTTTAAAAATTCATCATTAGGGTAGTGGAGTCTACAACAGAGATCTGATCTGAATCACCTAGTTTCTACTTCTCGGTCAAAAGTTCTTCTGTTGGCTGGAATGTGGCAGGCAGTGGGTGAAGCACATTGCCGGCCTCCAGGGCTGAGAACAGGGCTCCGTGGAGAAGCTGTGTCTGGGATGGCTCCATGGAGGGGCTGTGGCTCCTTCCAGTGCAAACCTGGAAGGCCACTTGGCTGCGGCCTATGACAGCATGGGGGCTGAGCTAGATGAGACAGGGAAGGTCCAAGATCAGGCTCCAGTCCCCATCCAGAGGCCACCAGCAGAGTGTGCCTGTTTCCTACTGGCCAGGGTGTGTGTGCGGATCAAAGGAGACATATGTCACAGACAGGTTAAAAAAAAAAAAAGTCAAAGTGAATAAAATAATTTGTTGAATACTGATTTTTAATCTTGTAAAAATAACTCTGATATCTTCACCAAATTATTTTTGAAACTGACTTGCAAATCAAGCATTGTAAAAAGCACATTTATTTCTTGGGAATCGGGTCCCTTAGTAGACCTGCTTTTTAATGTAAGATGGAATTGTAGCATACAGAGTATTGACTTGATGTGAAGTTCAGAGAATGCAAGTGGCAGTTTCAGAGTTTGTTACTAAGTCCCAGTTTGGATCCTCTTCTTAAAACCTTGCACAACCTACTTTCTGATTATTTATCTGAAACCAAGCTCAGCCTTATGAATAAGGAGTGCCTATGTAACTTACTGAAAGCAGGAAGGTACTTCCATCCCCAGATTCCCATCCCATACTTCCTTGCTAGTACCTTCCACATTATCAGTTATATCCTAAAATGCAAATGGCCCTGGGGAGAGAATGCATTAGCTAAATTCATATAAAGGCATAAACGCTCTACAGGATCATTTTCGAGCAAAGGGTATGTGTTTAACTTTTAAAATCAACTTTACTGAGGTATAATTTAAGAATGATGAAATGTAAAAATTTTGATGATTTTGACACATTGAAGTAATAACACCTCAATCAAAATATAGAGTACTTCCGTCATCCCGAAAAGTTCACTCATGCCCCTATGCATTCCATTGCCATTCCACCCCTGCACAATCACCAGTGAGAAAACTGAAGACAAAACTGAGCTGGCCCTTCTGAAACTATTCATGTTAATGGGACTATGAAAATAAGCACATTCCTATGAGCCCCAAGACCTCAGAGACATGGATGGATACTAAAGCAGAGTCCGGCGGTAGAGGCTGATCACTTTCTGATTTGACTTTTCTTAAAAAATCATTTTTGGGGAAACTGAGAAAATACAGGCTGAAAACTAGTGTTTGGGGGAGAATGGCAAAAAGTGCAAGCAATGACGTCAGGAGACTGATGCCCTGGGTTTATAGTACACCGGCCACACACACACACACGGATGCACACTCAAGGGCACACACATGCGCCTATGTACACAGACACACATGCACACACAAATATACATATATATATATTTTCTATTTTAAGACCAGACTTGCCAGGCCATATTTAGTTTATTGCATCTCTTTAAATAGCCAAAATGAAATAAAATCTGAAAACACCAAGCAAATATGCTTCCGAGAGTGGGGAGGTCAGAACAGGAGCAGAGTTAAAAAGAGTAAAATATGCAGAGTTGGGCCAAGAGGTGACTAAGAGGGAAGGAGATGATAAGATCTGTCACAAATACCTGGAGCTTGTAAACAACAAGGAAAGCAACAAACCCAACCAGCCAACAACAAAGGGTGACCAGGAATTTGCTGTGTATTAAAGAAAGGAAATGAACCAAAAGGCAAGCAGCCTTCCCCGCTTTGGGGAAGGCTCTCTGAGTGGGAGAGCACAGCCCAGCCGCCGCCACTCAGCCCCACACCCTCCCTTCCATCCATTCCTCCCGCATGCATCCAGATTCTCCCCAGAGAGGCTGGGGTCTGGCTTTCCCTCCTATCCTCACAGACACTGCTGAGGCTCAGGTGTCCTGCGGACACCTCTGGTTGCCAGGCCACTTCCCAGTGGGACTCTTGATCCTACCTTCATTTCCCTCCATGTCATTGCCATAGAAATCCGCACAGAATGCAAGGACGGTCCCTCTCCTGCTCCAGCCCGTGCCAGACAAAGTGTGCACCGCCCTGCTCTTGGTGCTTAAGGCTCCCCACGGGCTGGCCCCTTGTTGCCTCCCTCCTCGCTAGCGAGCACCCTTCCTAAGTCTTTCTGCTCAAGGACACTGGTTTTCCTGAGCTTGGCTCTCACTGCACTTTGTGCCTTGCTACTGCCTTCCAATCCGATTCCATTTAAACTCAGGAAGTTTATGGAGAGCCTTCTCTATTCCATGCAGTGGATTTAAAGCTATGAAAAAATTCTTCAGAGCCTGCATTCAGGAAGCTCATCATCTAGCAGAAGAGACATACTTAAAGAATTAATTACTATGGTACACTGATTACCCTTTTTATATGATAGTATTTATACTGGTGATATAAAAACATTACTATGAAACCATAAAAGAGGGTGACACTAATTTCTCTAGAAGCTCTGGGGAATGCTTTCCAGAAAAGCTTCTCCTTTAGATAATTAGGAAAGGCTTGTGTGTGTGTGGTGTGGGTATATGTGGTACGTGATTGGGTGTGTGTGTGTGTGTGGTGTGGGTATATGTGGTATGTGATTGGGTGTGTGTGTGTGGTGTGTGTTGTGTGTGGTATGCACTGTGTGTAGTGGCATGTGTATTTAATGTCTGTGTTGTGTGTATGTGTATGTATGGTGTGCATGTGGGTGGGTGGTGTGTATGGTGTGTGTATTTCTGGTGGGCATGTATGATGTGCATGTGGGGTGTGGGTGTGCGTAGGGGTGTGTGTGTGTGTGTGTGTGTGTCCCATATGATGGAGGACAGGTAGGGGGTGTCATGGCGGGAGGGAGATCGCCACAGACGTCCGGCTCCCTGCAGGAGGTGAGCAGTCCCGTACGGGCAGCCGGTATTAGGGCAGGAAGAGCCAGGAGGCAACCAGGTGGCTGGACGGAAGAGGAGGAGGGCAGTTTAAGGAGAGGTCTTGAAGGCTTTGCTCAAGAGTCTGAACTAGAACCTTCAGAGAAGGGAAATGACTAGAAACTGGGAAGCACAGGGTGCCCTGATGAGAACTGTTTTCCAGAGATGCACCTGCAAAGACAGCTGAGAGCTGTGAGGGTGGAAGCTGCAGGAATAATCCTCTGGAAAGTGCAGCTGCCCAGGTGGGCACAGCTGGGAGGTCTATGGACTCTGTCTCCAGGTGGTGGCTGCAGGGAGGCCTAGGGACAGGTCTCTCATCTCCAGGTGCTGGCTGCAGGGCCACAAAGCCAGCCCCCAGCCCACAGGGAGCCTCAGCTCTCCTTCCTGGGGGCTCCAGTCCCTATTTCCTCCCTTGGTGACCCCGTAATGGCCCTTGTCATCTGCCTCTGCACTGCTGTGTTTAGCGATTCTGAACGGTGCATGGAAGTGTGTTAAGTACCATGCTCCCGTCTCCTGGGTGAGATGTCTGTCCAGTAGTTCTAGGCAATGTCTCCTCAATGCACTCACCCTTGATGGGAGCCCATAGCTGTAAAGGAACTGAAGGCCTCCAACCTGCCCCCAACGATGGCCTGTGTGCCTCCTGCGTTGCTCAGCTATTGAAACATTGCCACAACCCTCACAGAGGTCCAATCCTTTCGTTTCATAGTAGAATCGTTTTGTTCAGTGTTATTTAGTCAATAAACTAAAAACTTAAGAAATCTTTCAATACAAAGCTGTAAGGTTTTTCTCTTGTCACATGTATTGTAAAGTCCCTGCCCCACCTAGGAAGATGTGATGTCACAAGCCTAACGTGCCTCAGTCAGAGGTATGCTAGAGACACTCAGACTCTGCTGTAAGCTGGAGATGTGCCGCCAAGGGTGGCCAGTGCCGCCCCAATCCCCAGTGGTGGCAATGGTAAATGTATCTGAAGGAGCAGGCTCTTAAATGTCAAAGATGGACACTGTCACTCCCACAGGAATACCAGTTACACCTCCACCTGTGCGCTGAGGGCTACAGGTGGCCAGGCCAGCACCCACGGCCAGCTAGAGAAGGTCTGGCATCCCTGCTGGGGACCCTCTCTCCCTTGCACTCCCCTGGGGGTCCCTGACTAAGCACTATTAGAAGTAGCACACTAGTGAGTCTTAAAAATACCGCACTCTTGCCAGGATGAGTAGGTTTTGCAGATTTGACAGCAATGTCCTGGCCTAATCCTTTGGAAAAGGACAAGAAATTCCAACCTGAAGATTTCTGTGTCTCCAGCAACTCAGCTCCAGATATTTCTGTAACTTTTATTTAGCATGAAGCGAACTATTAACCAGCTCCTGTGGGGAAAAGGTTACTTTATTGACCGCTTCCTAGCAAATAGAACATAGAGAAAGAAAACCACAGTACTTTTCCTCTTTGTTAATCTCTAATACAATTCCCCAGAGTAATGGTTACTTTTGAATTAGTAATTGCATTGAAGCAAGTTATTGTTTTTCTTTGGTTTCCCTCATCTTGTACATAATTACAAAAATTGGTATATGGGAGCAAGGAGAGAATTCCCGCTTGCTTTATTTAATCTTGATAGCTGATTTTTAAAAATACACATAATCTCTAATTGAATCTCTCTGTAACTTCCTACCCTCACTACTTTCAAAAAAACAAAATGAAGATAAAAAGTAAATCAAGGGGAAAACTACCAGGAGACTATTTCCAACAACAGATGACTCAACAAGCACCTGAGAATTTGTTGTACTTGTGTGTACTAAGCTTCTGAACTTCCTGTTTCAATAAAATGCCAAACAAGTTGTGTTTCCTTTACAAATAAGCTATTACATCAAGCCCTGTTCCTATAATTTCAGGTTTTTGTCTCCATTCCAACATTTTCTTTGGCAAATGTAGAAACATTCTAATTAAAGTGGAGAGGAAAACAAGCATCATTCATCACGGTGAGAATAATGGACAAAGAACATCCTCGGTTTTTTCATTCTTTCACTAAGCCGCGCTCTGCTTTAAACAGTTGGGGCCTGGCGTCATGCAGTCCCTGACTAACTCCGAGGTAATGGCTTCAAGTAAGCCTGAGTCACTTGGAAAAAAAAATTCCAAAGGTATCGATAATTCCTGTCACAAGCTTCACATTCCTTTAAAAATATCCTTCCGGTCCGCGGAGGAAGGCATTCCTTTTAGGTAATCACGTAACAACATCAAGGCTTCTTTTTAAGATACTGAGATTAGGAAGAGGACTTCCTACTCATGACCGTGGAAGCCTGAGTTGGAGGGAACATTCCCACTTCCCAGGCGCGCCTCGGATTTTCACTTTTATCAGGACTTTTAAGAGCCCCGTATTCGCGCTAGGAAGTAGCATCTCAATAGGTTTCACGCTTTTTAAAATACATGCCTTAAGGAATCAGAACTAATTAGGGTCTTTTCACCACCCAGCTCAGCGGGGCTGCATGTGCGTGTGTGCACACATGTGTTTTCACGCTGAGCTGAGATGAGAGCAATGCATTTTGGAAAGTTACATTCTGCAATGCATCGGGCGGGAAGCCGCAGCTCCAGCCTGGCCACCCTCGGCAGCCATCCGCTCTCTGAAGTGTTAGGGCGCCTTTCGGGTGGCAGGGGGCTCTTCTTAGTCCCACCACGCAGGGGGGAGCCGCACTGCGCTTCCTCACCCACACAGGGCCATGGCCTTCTCACGCCTGTCGTGAAGCCGCCCGCCGGCTCACACGAGAGGTTTTGCTTCAGCAAACATTGGGGTCGCTTGGGGGAAATGGTGTTTACCTTTTGGAAAGCCTTGGGTGTTCGGGAAGAAAGCCTGCTTTGCCCCGAGGAGAGCTGTTCTGGTGTGTGCCTCTCCCAGCCCACTCCTTCCTCTGCGGAGCTGGTGGGCCGGGTGGAGCCTGGACAACGACATTCCTCACGACCGCCCCCCACCCCATCCCCTTCTTCTCCCCTCATGTCTGAGGCTCAGAGCTGCACTCTGGCCGGTCGCCGGCTCTGTCTTTGGGTTCGGGGCTTCTGCTTTGCCTCCTACTTTCCAATCCCTCCCCTCCCTGCATGAGTTCTGTTCCTGACTGTGAGACTCTGAAAAGCTTGGCATGTGCTGCATCCTAAACTTGCTCTACAGACCCTCTTCCCCACCCTGGCTCCCCAAGGCTGGTGTGGGAACCCACGTATTTCCCAGGTACACGGAGTCTCTGGTGCTCACTCTGATTGACCGCCTTTGCCTCCCAGAAGCATCCCCTTTCCTCCTTCCTGCCTCAGAGCTAATTTCTGTGTCCAGGAGCATCCTCACCCTGTTGAGCGGAGGCACAAGTATAACTAAATACGTGAAGGCCCGCTGAGCTGATGTTGGCTGGAAAAGGACATCGTCATCTGGAAATGTGGCTGTTTATTCAGCAGACATGAGTGGCACGTCCTCAGTGCAAGGCTCTAGGTCAAGTGCTGGGGGCAGAAAGACCAACAAGCAGGGTTCTGCCCTTCCCTTTGGAGAGCTCACGTTTCTTCTAAGGAGATGGGTAAGTGAAGGGCAGGCCCACCTAGGATGTGCTTATGAGGGAGAGGACCAAGGTGATGTGGGTCACGGAAGGACAGTAGACCATATTCAGAAAGGAGTGGGTTCAGGAGGGGCGCAGTGAGGTGTGAGGATGAGAAAAGCAGGACTCTGTTGAAGGAAATGTTCCCAGAGACGAAGAAATTAGCAAAGAGAGGGAAACTCCTCTTCATTCCCTCTCCCTTCCTAGCGCTGAGCCCTCCCTCCGTGTTCCGGGTTGTCGTGTCCACAGCAGCACCAGCCCCCAGAGAAAACCCAGCAGAACTCTTGGCCGAGCTGGTGAATGTTCTGGGCTGGGAGAGGGCTCCGGGTTCCTGGGGCTGTTTGTTGTCTTTTATTTTTGCACAGTCTTCGGTATTTCCAATGGCACTTGGCACAAGTACATAAAATTCATCTTACAAGACATATTTGCCACTTGTAGCCAAAATCTGGAGTCTACCTTCTAGTCCTGGCTTTAAGGAATCTCTTCCTAGAAGTCTAATGTCTTCCTGAAGCCGAAAAAATAAGACAATGGTGGGAAACGCTGGGGCTTGCCTGTGTCCTGCTTTCACCATTGGCTCCGGGTCGACAGTGATGATGGTAAAGACGGCGTCCATGGTGCCTTGTGAGCAGCCAGACCCCACACAGGACTGAGGCTCATCCATTTGCTCCTCTAATTCTCACTGCAGGCTTATAGGCAGGTGATTTTATTACCTTCATTGAGGCTTAGATAAGGTACAAGAAGTGCTGAGATCACACACCAGGCAGAGGGCTGTGAGTCCAGCCTGCTTGGATGCTAAGCCCATCTCCTGCCCACCTGGCCCCATTGCATCCTTCCTACCCTCTAAATGTGGTCTACGGGATGGTTTTAGATTCTCCGCTGATTTAATTTACATGAAGAAGCAACTGGTTGCTAACTCTGACCGTATCCTCTATACAAGAGTTTTCTCATTCATTCTTACTGTGTGTCCTTCTGTATTTTCTCAGCTGGTTCTTAGCTATTTCATGGTCAATAATGATTATTCTCCGCTGCATGTGTCTTAGCATTTTAGGAGGCTATCAATTTCAGCAGAAAAGAGATTTATTCTCGCGTTGATCTGGCTGGGGTTTTCAGTTCTACCGTTTTTTGGCATCGTTGCATTGTGGGATCTGTGCTGGTCTCCGGCAATACAAAGCCCAATGCCGTAATACTGTCTCCTGGGCCCCTGTTAGCCCAGGGGTTCCTCTGTGCACCCCTCATCATGCCCTCATACTCACGAGCTCCTGCACCTCCACGCTGGCTCCAGAGTCTGGCTTCCTTACTGCCCAGCCCATTGTGCTGGGTCATCTCCTACGGCTCTGGCGGCCAGGTCCCCTTGGCTGCCATGTGTACAGGCTTATAAGATACCTACGTTAGACACAATGGAGCCAACTATCCTGACAGATGGGGCTACTTCCCTTAGCAGAAAAATTCCTTTCATCTCTTTACTGTGTATAACCTGCCATGATGCAGGCAGGGGGCTGTGCCATAGACCCACTCATGCAGCTGCAGCAGAGTCTAAGAAGAACGCCAGAGCTCACTGCACCCCTCCCCTACCTTCCAGGGGAGCAAACGCAAACCCAAAGGGATGAAGTGACTTGGTCCAAGGCACAGTGCCAGTTCGTGGCAGAGCTGAGACTGGAGCCCAATAAAATGATCAACATATCTTTCATGTCCATGGAAGATGTGTCACACGTGGCTTACGGTGTTCAGCATGCTTGGCAAGCATAAAAGGGCCACTCCACGGGTGTGCTCTAAATGCTCCTGCAAACTGTGCTGAAGGACACAGAAACATACTTTTTTGTAAAAATAAATAAATGAATAAAAAGAAAGAGACTGTCTCATGTGACCCATATTATTCATTTCTTAAATTCTTCATCTGACGCTCACAGGCTCCTTTTTGGGGATTAATCGTCTTCCCTTTTTGTAAACTGAAAACAAATGGTTGCACCCTAACTTTTCTGATGCTTCGTCATCTGTAAAGGGCCGTTGCCTGCCCAATTGTATCTGACTCTATTACCATCTATTACTGTCTGCATCAACTCTTGCCCCTGATGCTCTTCCCTGTGCAGCAGCCGGAATGATGCTCTGAAGACCTTGTTGGACAGTGCACTCTTCACTCAAACCTGCAGCAGATGGAATGATGCTCTGAAGACCTTGTTGGACAGTGCACTCTTCACTCAAACCTGCAGCAGCTGGAACGATGCTCTGAAGACCGTGTTGGACCATGCACTCTTCACTCAAACCTGCAGGGCTCCCGCATCTCTTCTGGAGCAGAAGCCCACCTGCCAGTTCATCCCGACTGTGCTGCTGCCTCCTCTTCCCCACTGGCTCAGCCGTCCATCAGGCCTTGTGCATGCAGCTGGCCAGCTCCCTCTCCAGGGAACACTTTTCCCCTGCATCTACTTGGCCAACTTCCTGATCTCTTTTAACTCATTCACCTTCTCAATGGGACAGTTTAGCGCTGTGGACTCGAGTCCACACTCCTGACCCATCTCCCATGTTTCTATCCCTTGTTTGCTCCTACAGTACATACCCTATTTGCTTATTCCATTCACTCATTCCTGTGTGTCTCCTCTGCTGGAATGAAGTCTCCATGTGGACAGGGATCCTTGCCTCTCTCACTCCCTGACATATCCCAAGTATGCAGGCAGTGCCTCGCAGCTGAGTGGGTGCTCAGTGAATGCTTTTGAATCAATCAATCATCTCTGTTTTACTGATAGGGGAGCGAGGTTCCCAAAGACAAAGTGATTTGTGCGAAGTCAGTAAGTTAGTTAGCAACAGACTCAACCTCAAGTTGCCTGTCTTTGACAACTATATAGTCTTAAGATTTACAAGAGGTTCTTGGTTAATACATAAGTCAAAAGTAGATTAGAAAAACTTCGATTTTAAAGAACAGTTTAAAACCATTATGGAGCCCCTGAAGAGAAGGAGCTAAAGTAATGTCTCTTCTATCCCTTTAAACTAGGTCCTCCCCAGCCTGGTGTGCTCTGACCCCGAGGGCAGGTCTTTCCACATGCTGTAATTTAGATTCTGACATATGTATGCCTCCCCTTCCCTCTCTGTAGCATCGCAGAAATGAGAGATGGCAAGTGACAGGCCAATCCTCCCTTCCCCTGCAGTCCCCTGCAGTCCCCTGCAGTCCCCTGCAGTCCCCTGCAGGAGAACACTGAAGTCTTCGTAGCGTCAGTACTTTCTTCTCCAGAAAAAAGGCCAGTTGGCAATACTCCAAACAATCTGGCCTGATGCGAGCAGGCTCTGTGCCCAGGACGCCCTCAGCAACATGGACACATGAGATCTAAATTCCTTCACTGTTTCAGAATTCACTGGATATGATCAAGGACTGCTATTTCTTGGTAATGCCCTAGGAGCTTCTATGAGGGCCCACGAATGAGTGTTTTGGAAAGATTAGCATGCTCCAAGGGAGTGGAAGCCCTCTGTGTCCTACCCTGGGCTGCACTGCAGTGAAAACTCCAGTAAAATTCCACAGCTGTGACTCCCAGGGTCCAGAGGTGCCCTGGGTAAACCACTCATTCCACTCTCACCCGGCTCATGGCGCTCTGCTGAACATTCCTAACACAAAGAACCCTTTAATAGAAACGCTGTCCAGGACCAGCATAAGGAATGCTCCTGTTTGGGTATGACCTGGGCACACGGGGAGCGGGGGCTCCTGGGAGGCCAGGCTAGGCCCTGCAGCCACACCCCTGCTCAACTCAGCAAACCTCTGCTCAAACACAGCAGCCTTGCCTGGACAGCCAGCTGTCAAAACACCAATGACAACAAAAAAACATGCACCCAGGAAAACCCAGGAAGGTTATACGAGGTTATAGGAGAGAAGAGACAATAGGGAAGGCACCTGGAGCTCACCACCAGCCTTCTATCCATGCTTCTGTCTACCTGACAGAGTGCCAGCGGGGGTCCTTCTGATGGGAGGGACGGCCACTTTTGCATAAGAAGGAAGCAATGAACAGAGGTCTATTGTTGTGGAATGATCTCAATCTTTGCAAAAGAAAGTATCTTGCAAGGAAGAGGCTGTCTTTTCTTGAGAAGTCCTATGCGACAATTTTATAACATGACCTCATTAAAAATACATTGGTAATGTTCTCTTCAAAGCTCTATTTATAAGGGTGCCTAAGACCGCAACCAGAGCAAAGACAAAATCCAGCCATAAAAACATGGTGTCTGGGTCAGCTGTAGGGGTTCACACCTATAATCCCAACACTTTGGGAGGCCGAGGTGGGTGGATCACCTGAGGTCAGGAGTCTGGGACTAGCCTGGACAACATAATTAAATGCTATCTTTATTAAAAATACAAAATTAGCCAGGCGTGGTGGCGTGTGCCTATATTTCCAGCTACTTGGAAGGCTGAGGCAGGAGAATCACTTGAACCTGGGAGGCAGAGGTTGCAGGGAGCCAAGATCGCGCCATTGCACTGCAGCCTTAATCATAAATTATAAGTTGAGTTTGGTGGCTTATGCCTATATTCCCAGCAGGTTGGGAGGCCGAGGTGGGCGGATCATCTGAGGTCAGGAGTTTGAGACCAGCCTGACTAACATGGAGAAATCCCATCTCTATTAAAAAGACAAAATTAGCCGGGCATGGTAGCACATGCCTGTAATCCCAGCTACTTGGAAGGCTGAGGCACGAGAATCACTTGAACCCGGGAGGTAGAGGTTGCAGTGAGCCAAGATTGTGCCATTGCACTGCAGCCTGGGCAACAAGAGCGAAACTCTGTCTAAAAAAAAAAAAAAAAAAAACCACACCCTAAAAAACATAGTGTCCAAACTGCGGCCTTGAAGCAGCAATTTGACTGAGGCAGGAATAAAGCTCTGTGTTTATTTGGGGTGTAGGGGGAAGAGAAAAACAAGAGCCGGCCTGGCACGGTGGCTCACGCCTGTAATCCCAGCACTTTGGGAGGACAAGGCAGGCAAATCACTTGAGCTCAGGAGTTTGAGACCAGCCTGAGCAACATGGCAAGACCTCGTCTTCACCAAAAATACAAAAAAAAAAAAAAAAAATTGCCAGGTGTGGTGGCACGTGCTTGTGGTCCCTGCTACCCAGGAGGCTGAGGTTGGAGGATCACTTCAGCCTGGGAGGCAGAGGTTGCAGTGAGCCCACAGAGCGCCACTGCACTTCAGCCTGGGTGACAGAGTGAGACCCCTTCTCAATTAAAACAAACAAACAACAACAGCAACAAAAAAAAAAAAAAAAAAAACAAAAAAAAGAAAGAAAAACGAGAGCCTAGATGACTTTAAAAATCATCGTTAAATTCAGGACAGCAGTTACTTTTAGAGAGAGAGGAAGAATGGAATTGGAGAGGGAAAGATGCAAAGGGAGCTTTAACTTTATAATATTCTGTGAAATATATAATAGTTACAAGATTTAATTTATGAAAAACACAAAAAATGGAAACAACTATAATAAAATATTAAAATTGGCCAAGGTGGGAGGATTGCTTGAGTCCAGGAGTTTGAGACCTCCCTGAGCAACATGGCAAAACCCTGTCTCTACCAAAAATAATTAGCCGGGTGTGGTGGCACGCACGTGTAGTCCCAGCTACTTGGGAGGCTGAGGTGGGAGGATCACTTGAGCCCGAGAGGTTGAGCTGCAGTGAGCCAGGATCACCCCATTGCACTCCAGTTTGGGTGACAGAACAAGGTCCTGTCTCAAATAATAATAATAATAATAACCATAATGATAACTAAGATTGAGCAATGCTGAGTGATGGGTACACGGTGTTACACTATATTGTATTGTTCTCTATTTGCTTTCATGAATATAGGTATAAGGAAAAAAGAGATTAGTGATGATACTCTAACAGAGCTTCACATGGTTTCCCACTCTCACTTTGCGTTGTCGAATTTTTTCCCTACTTCTGTTCCATAGGTTTCCCCCAGCATTGTATTCTGAAAAATTTTAAACATACAGTAAGGAATTTTACAGTGAACACGATATACCTACTACATATAGATAGACTCACTTTCAACTCCTTTTTTTGTATTTCAACAAATATAGAGTATGCCAAGGGTCAAAATGAGGAATTCTAGGGGGTTAGACGAAGTTGTCCCTGGTGGAATTTGAACGCCCTTCTATCCAAATGCAGTGCAGGAGCTGAGTGTCTTGGGGCTACCTTCCCACTTTACCAATAACACTGAAGCAGGAGGAAAGGAAATTATTTGTTTCTCTAAGGGCCACGTGTCCTGGAATACGGTACCTCACCCAACCCACAAAGCACACCAGAAAGAAACCGCAAAGATATTTCTAAAGTGCTCTTAGGATACTCTTGCATTTCAGGACATTCAGGTATTTTAAAACCTAGAGGACAGGAGAGAAAGATGCCTATGTTCCACTGACCATTCATTCCACACATGGGGTGATTTCCATGGGAACATTTCCATGGCTTCACGGGCCAGCAGTGAGAAATCACGTTACCAGGGCTTATCACTCAACATTCGATTGTCTACAAATGCCATATGAGATCAAGACCTTAATAAACACTAGCCCTAGAGTTCAACTAGGATGTAGCCAAAACCACAATAAGTAGAGTGACTATAAAAAGTAGGCATGTAGCCAATGACAGTGATTTTAACTACTCATCGTACTGAGCAAGGTGTCAAAATGCGATAGGAAGACCAAGGCCTTGGCCGGTCGTGGTGGCTCACGCCTGTAATCCCAGCACGTTGGGAGGCCAAGGCGGGCTGATCACCTGAGGTCAGGAGTTTGAGAACAGCCTGACCAACATGGAGAAACCCGTCTCTACTAAAAATACACAATTAACCGGGTGTGGTGGCACATGCTTGCAATCCCAGCTACTCGGGAGGCTGAGGCAGAATTACTTGAGCCCAGGAAGCGGAGGTTGCAGTGAGCCGAGATTGCGCCATTGGACTCCAGCCTGGGCAACAAGAGCAAAATTCCATCTCAGGAAAACAAACAAACAAAAACAAAAACAAACAAACAACAAAAGAAGACCAGGGCCTTGAGGTCCAAAGGCCCGAGTCTGAAGCCAGTCTCCACTGGCCTGTGAGGAGGTCAAGTGACCTGAGGCAGCCTCGATTTTCTCATCTTTGAAGCAGAGATCACCATCATACCTACCCTAGGGTTACTGCAAGAATCAAATGAGTTAGCAGATGGCAATAAACTGCTTTTCCAGGCTTATTTCCAAAAACTTATTATTATTTTTTCCTTTATGTTTTTCTTAAGCTATTGCTTGTGACAATGTCTCATTGCAGATTTGTATCCAGCAAGCCCTATAACAAAAATTGGTTTTTAGAACCAGATTCCAGATTAGGCCTCTGGTCAACCAGAACCCAGATAGCAGCAGATTCTGTCTAGTGGCCGAGGGGCATCTGACATGAGTTTGAGAAACTGCCAACCTCCTCAGCTTCCCACCCAGGGCCTGCAGGGCCTGCTTTGCTTTTTGTTCATGGTGTAGTTTTTGGTTACAATGGCTTATGAGACATTCCAGAAAACATAAACCAAATGTTTCCATTCACTTCATGCATGAGGTGATGATGGGCCAACGCACATTTAGGACATTCCCTCCACTCCATCCTCACTGACATCCTGGCTTTATTGCTCATTTTTATTTCTATGTGTAATGATTACATAGTTGGATCTGTATTTTTTTTTTTTTGTTGTTCACTTAACATTATAACACTCTTCCATGCTCTTGAAAACGCTCTGCAAAAATACTTTTTTCAGCTTGGTGTGCTTTACCTAATCATTCTTCCGGCACCAAATGTTCCTCACTCCCCCACTTTTTGCTATTATAAAGAACGTGCTAATGTGCAAAGTTTCAAAATGAAGGTACCATTTGAAATGCAACACAGCAAGATCGTTTCGGGGACAGTGCCATGTCTTTTTAATGCATGTCTTTTAGATACTTTAGAGTAAAACTAGTCTTTTATGAATCGAGACTTCTCTATTGAATTATTTTCATTTCCATAATAAGAGTTCTGCAGAATTATCTGATATATTCTGCTGTATCTTCGCATCTCATCAATTTTATGACAATTCAGGTATACAAGCATTCCCATGACTATATAATGGTTTGGAAATCAACAGGTCTTTGGCAATTTACACATAATGTATTTGGTTGCAGCACGTGTCATGGAAACACTTGAGATCACTAAGAAAAAGCAGAAAACTTTTGGCTGACCAGCTATTTATAGTTCTCATCTCAGAGCACAGTTAGACATTCTATCGAGATGGAAGATGAAAATGCCTGGCACACAGTAGGCAGTCACTGAAGCTTAGCACCCTTCCCTTCCCCACTGCCTTGTCTTCCTGAAAACAAACTTTGTTGTTCAGGATTTCATCATTTCCAGATGCCGGTGCTCCAAGTGACATGCAGAGCAATGCACGCTGATGTCAGAAAGCCTGGAATTTCTGGTGGGAAATCGGCCGTCGATGAACTCATTGGATACAAAGATCCTGTTTTCATGTCAATATCCTCAGTAATAAAAGATGAAGGAAGACAGGAAGTATAGCATATAAATATTCTCCACTCACTATCATTGTCCCAATTTTTACTGGAAACAATTCCCATAAATTAAGGTATCAGTCATTTTTGAAGAAGGAAAAAATAAAAGAAAACTTAATAAGTGAAAAAGCCATTGATTAAGGTGAGCTCTGTAAAATGCCTTCACTTCTATGTCACTACATTTCCTGACCATCTATCACCACAGAAAAAAACTGTCTTCCCCGAGCCCACAGGAGGATGTTCCAGAAAAACTCTTGTTGTCAATTCATCATCCAGGTGTTTTAATAATTTTGTACTTTTGTTTTCATACAGTGATTGTTTAAGAAAAATCTACTTGTAAAAGCAAAAGAATCCCTTCAGTGACTGCCTTTCCATTCGCTCTGTGCTGCAATTTCTGCCTTGCCACCTTGATCCTTTGTCCTGGTGGCCTATAAGTAGCAGGTAGACTATAAAGGATGGAAAGCCCCCTTTCGAGTCTTTTCTGTGAGAACTGGGCCTCCAGCCTGCCTGTCGTGGTGCTGGCAGACACTGCAGTGACCTGGCCCAAGGGCAGCTGGTGAGACCTGGGCAGAGAGGAGAGAGGAGCAGAAGGCTTGGGTGAGAAGCCATGGGAAGAACTATGGAGAGGCTAATAATTTTGTAACATTCAAAACTGAGGTTGACTATTGACTTTGTACCTGCAGGACAGGGGAGAGCAGCGGGTGAAGCCCGGAGATGTGGCCGCCAGAGACACGGTTTAACAGTTCAATGCGTTCACATGGACTCAGGCAGTTCAGTGCTGGTTCAACCAGACTTACGCCACTCCAGGAGCCCGGCTGGACACAGCCTCCCTGGGAGATGTCTGATCCTCTCTTGCCATCCTAGCATGTCCCCAGGGAGGTGAAGGGGCTCAGCCTACCCCAAAGACCTTGGCAAATATTCCTCGCAATCATAAAGTACATTTTCTGAGGGACATTCTCCTAAGCACAATTTTCTTTTTGTTGCAGTCCCATTTTACACTTAAAAAAAAAAAAAAGTTTTAAGTGAATGTATAGTTCTTGCTCTGATAACGGTGACTTGCTTTATCAAGGGATCACTGCTGGGCTGGCCTGGCTCTGGAAAAAGAATGCCCCACTGAGAGCAGCTGCTGCTATTCCCTTCCTGGACTAGGAGAAGGTGGAGGGGACAGGAGGCACAGTGGTCCCATCTGGCCCCAGTGTCAGCCTGCCTCAAGACTAGCCCTGTGGACACTGTCAGCCACCCCACAACCATCATCAACTCCACACCCTCAGTCTCCCCATATACGCTCACTTGGCAAAGTGGAAACCCTTTCACTTCTACCTCCCCAAGATGGGAAGCTGACTTCAGACAGCTTAAGACAAATGGTTGAGAGATGCGTCAGGTTGAGGGGAGCCTGAGCTCTAAGGACTCTGCATTGGAATCTGCTGTCCCCAGCACGTAAGTGAGAGGAAACTTGCTCAGATAGCTCAGACAAATAAACTGCATCACCAATAGAGTCAGGAGGGGAAGTATCTCCTCCATGTGCTTTTGGGCATTGCTAATTTACCATCCTTTAACTTAGTCCATGTCTGTGCTCTCTGGACAGGGTCTCCACATGGACTTTCTTGCTTTCTTATCTACCCAAGCTCCCTTGCAAGTAATACTGCATTCTTATAAAGAAGCATGAGGCTGCAACCTTATCATCAGGAACTTTTTGAGACCACAATAAGCCATCCAGGCCCCAAGACTGCTATTCTTCTGAAAAATTACCAAGTGATTTATAGCTACATACAAATCCATGCCAAAAATCATAGTCAGATTCATAACAGTGAAAACTGGAAAGAATTCAATGTCCAGCAATCACCAGACGAGAAACAGTGTTCTATATCTTCAGTGTAGGGGTGATCGCAAAACTGTATACAATTGCCAAAAGCCATCCAACCACACATTGAAAGTGTTGAATTCTATTGTATGGAAATTATACCCCATAAAGCTGGGGGAACAAGAACCATGAGCTGAAATAAGACAAAACAAAACAGATTCTAAGCCAGGAGTAGATCTTGGGATAGAAATGTCTGAGGACACCCAGTTGGAATTCAACATGGCCAAGTGAGAAGTCGATTCAGAGAGAGGGCTCTGTATTTGCCAGACTTCAGTGAGTCATTTTTCCTTTCAAATTATTATTATTTTTTATAAAAGCGGCATCAGACACCCTTCTGGTCTATATAATTCAGACCACCAGAGACGTGCACGCATACTCAGGCCAAGTCAATACAGATCATCGACAGCAAAAATAAATGGCAATTTCCAACACCGAGAAGTGGAAGCAGAGGTCCCTAGCGCTGAGCCGAATGAAAAGCGCTGGGTGGTAAGCCGAGGAAACTGCGGCCTGCAGGCTGCCTGCAACGGGGCTCGGCTCCCACAGCCTGCACTCTGTTAGCAGAGCTGTTTCCATCAGAAAGGAAGCAGCACAGGGAATTCTAAGTCAGGATGTCTACATTACGGGTGGTTTAAACTAAAGCCAGCGACAGGATTCAGGTGGTAAGTGTCCTAATCTCTCATCCCTTCAACCTGTCCTGAACAGAACTACCAGCTTAATCTCACCAAAACTTGCCCACAGACTTTCAAGGGCTCCCGCGGCCCATAGAAATGAATGGCTTGAAGCTCAGCGTTCAGTCTTCCTTTTTCAGCTTTGTCCCTTGATACTCACTGCAGTGCTCATGGTTTCTCCTGGCCGTCTCTCACTGTTTGCCTTTATTTCAGGCTCTCTTTGCAGAATTCCCCCCAGACATGCAGTTCTAAGCCCTATGACCGGCACAGAGTGGGTAGATGCTCAATAACTGCTGAAAGAAGGGCGGTCTCCTCCACATAAAGACACGCACTGCATGGAGGCTGTACAGAGGCTGCATCAGCAAGCACCTTTGACCACAGAGGCTAGTCACAGGGAAGCGTGGAGGCTGGAGGACAGAGCGCGGACCCTGGGGACCAGCCTTAAAGGTGGGGCAGGTAAGAGGGTGTATATTTTGTCTATGCAAGACTAGCTTCCCTGAGTGGTCTGAGAAACTTAGTTGGTCCCATCTGTATTATTGCCCAGCTGCCGGTTTTAAAGGAAGGATGAGCTGGGCATGGTGGCTCACACCTGTAATCCCAGGACTCCGGGAGGCTGAGGCAGGAGGATCACTTGAGCCCAGTGGTTCAAGACCAGCCTGGGCAACATAGAGAGACTCTGTCTCTACAAAAAAAAATCAGAAAGCGTGGGCATGGTGGCACATGCTTGCAGTCCTAGCTACTCAGGAGGTTGAAGTACAAGGATCACTTGAACCCAGGAGGTCAAGGCTGCAGTGAGCCATGTTCACATCATTGCACTCCAGCCTGGGTGACAGAGTGAGACCCTAGCTCAAAAACTCAATAAAAGAAGGATGGCTTCACTTGCTTTCAGAAAAACTTCTGTAGTTACAGCTGTGAGTGAACTTGGGTTAACACAAGGAGGTGCAATAGAAAAATGCACACTGTGACTGTTGGCCAGCTTCCGTGCAATAGAAACCAAGCTGCTGTGTTTAAAACTGCCCTGCAGTCATGGGATGGTGGGTCATGAAGGAAGTACAGGCCAAGTTGCTCAGCCACCAGACTTTATAAAGAGGAGGAAAGACCAGTTACATGTAATTTCTCTCTCTTCCTATGGGCCATATGGAAGGAAGGATATTTAATTGAGTATGGGAATCCAGCCAAAATGACTAAGGTGAAAGTGATGCCTGATGTCACAAATAAATTTCAGTAGAGGGAAAAACAAATACAGTATTCTCTCCCTTTTGACATTTAGAGAGGTAAACCTTGGGAGGAGGGCTGGAGAAGCCTGCCAGAGCAGCCCAACTGCATGTTTTCGAGGCGGCCGACAATGGCTCCAGCTGCAATGGTGCACCCGGGAAAAGCCGGCGTTCCCGGGAAGGGGCTCCCAGACAGCTGTGAGGGCACCAGGCCACGCTTCCAGCTGTGGTGGCCACACACAGCTTCTCCCTCCCTGCAGTATCCACCCAAAGTGTCTCATTCAAACAGGAAACTCCTGGGACAACTGCTGTGGTGGGCACGGATCCTGCTTCACGTGTAATATGCTTGTGGTGTCTTTTATGGCTGTGCACTAGTGAGACCCCAGCTCCTCTCCCCGTGGAGTACCCACTGGGAGAACTTTCTTTGTATTGCTGATAAATCCTTCATTAGCCACGGAAAAGTCCGGAAAACAGAGACACTGTCTTAGTCTGAAAATATTAGAAAAATACAGTTTTGCTCCCAATACTCCAGCCGAACTGCTAGAGAATAGTTTATACTTAGAAAATACAACTCACTGTGCCCTCGCACTGGGATGGGGATCAGAGGGGATATCTACTGCTTCATGAGCCTTGCTAATCAAAATTGCCAATTCGACTCAACAGGAGGATGCCTATATTTTATTTGGGGTTTGAGACTCTTGAATATTTCTGAGATTATCTCTGTTTTGCTATTTGTTAATCAAATATGGGGTAACTGTGCAACTAGGGGACACAGTTTGACCAAACCTGTTTGGCAAAAGAACTACGTTTGCAAGCAAGGACTTCCCCAAATAGCTAAACCTTGTCAGATGATGACTGCATTTGGAAAAGCAAGGAGGACAGGCCCATTTTATTGTAGAGTCACTATGAAAAGTCACTACAAACTGCTTTGTATATTGTCAAATTTTGGAAAAGATTAAGTGACGTGTAGCGAACACTGAGAAATACTTCTTAAGATAGATAAGCCTTTTTAACTTTTTTCCTCCCCCGGTTATAATGATCTAAAAGAGTTAGGTCTGGAATGAATTGTGTTCTGGTACCAAGTTTATTATAGATGTGAAGTGTCTCAGTATATGCAGCTAAAAGAATTGGGATAAGCAGAGATTAAAATAACAAAAAAATTGGCCAGTAAGAGTTCTTTTCACAATAATCTCCATCTGCTGTGTCTCCTTTTAAATCAGTTGGTATATGTTTTGGGGGCGACTACTGTTTGCATTAACTTTCAGCTTTTTATGGTTCACTAAACCCTAGACTGTGATATGAATGTAAACATTTCATGAAGAGGAGGAATTCACATCCCAGACGGGTAGCTGCACCAGATGAACTTACGGTTTCCTTCCTCCCTGAGCTGCTAAATCTGTAGTGTTATTTTTAAAGTGTGTATTGATTTTGAAATCAATATGTGACTTTTGATTACAAATTCACCATAGGAATCTGAGGGTTTCTATTACAGATTAGCAAGTTTCTGGGAAGTGACTGTGGCAGGAATGTTGGAAGATGATGAAGGTGATCAAAGAGAGTGCTGTAGATGGCAAATGTTGCCAGAAAACCCATGCGTGCGTCAGACTGGTGGGAGTTTCGAAGCACAATCACATTTGTATGATGAATCTTGAACTACCCACCACAACAAAGTCCACCCACTTGAAAGTAGTAAAAATGCAAAATTTAGAACAGAAGGTAGGTACAAAATGCCAAAGATATGTCTTAAAAAAAAAAACAAAACAAGAAATGAACACCAATAACCTAGGAAAAAAAAAAAAAGACTCCGAGACCATGAGGCTCTATTCAGTTGTCTCTTCTGCATCCAGTTAGCTGAGGCGTCTTTGCCACAGAATAACCTGCCTCGGATAACTTGGAGAACTATTTATAAGACGTGGGGATGAGCTCATTTCCAATCACCAAGGCCTCATTTGCAATCACCTTGCCCTCACTACTCCAGGCCAGCTCCTCCCTTGGGCACTCAGGGGTCCTTTTCCAACAACTCTGTCCTTCATTCAGGTGTCCTGTGTTCACCACCCTCGCTTCCTTTTGTCCACTTTGTTTTATTGTATTCTTGATGTCCTATGCACACACACTTGATCTCTTCCCTGTGCTGACATAACATGCACATCCCAGATGGCAAGAATTTTGTCGGTTTTATTCTGCATTACACAGCCAGTGCCTTGCAGCGCAAGAAAAGTCTTCAGTAAATATTTGTGTGTGTTTTTGTTTGTGTATTATTTATAACATCTGAGGAGTCTTTCCTAGGACACTCTGCCAGCTATTATTTGTGTCAATCCTGCACGTTCTGCACATGTATCTCGTTTGTTTAGAAGAAATAAAAAAAAATCAAGCATAAAGCAAACTGAAATGTGTGCTGCTTCAAAGTATTAAATAAAGCAGAGAAAAAAAAATCACTCTGAAAAAAAAACAAAGAAAATTCTCAGGCCTCTAATATTCAGCGAGGCACTGTGCTGGTTAGGATAGAGATTGCCAAGATGAAAAGCAGCATTTTTACCCCAGGAGTTTTGGTTGACTATAGAACAGGACCACATGTAACTCGATTTCAATGTGATGAATACCTCACCGCCGACTATGTGCAGAGTAAGTACGTGCAGAACTTCAGAAGACAGTGAGGATTCCCCAGTCATCGTGGCCCAGAGAAGACTTCATGGAAAAGAAAAGTAGGACCTTAAAGGATGGGAAAGGCTTTGAAAAGCTGCGACACTTGTGGGGCTGAAAGACTTTATGAAGAAAGGCTAGCAGGAGCAAAAGCCACAGAGCTCAGAGGCACCACACTGTCTTAGAAATGTAGAGTTTCCAAGCGAAACAGTAGAGAAATAAAAGGCTGGAAAGAGCCATACTGTGAAAAGGCTTGAATGACGAAGGATTCCAGACAGTGGTTTCCTTGGACGGGGAAGGCAGGGTAATGGGATATGTGGAACTCGGAGGTGGAGGTGGGCACCAGCGCTCTCATGGTGAGAGGTAAGTGGTGAGTTCACAGTGTTTATCTTACTATTAAATACAAACAAACAAAAAATAGCATTAAAAAATAAAATAAAGGAGTAAGGATCAATGAAGAGAACGTGTGCTGAATCAAGGACTCTAATTAATCCGATTCTGTGTGTCTGAGGTTAAATAAGCAAATACACAGATAGATGCACTTTGGAGTCAGACTTGGGTTTGAACTCTAGCTCTGCAACGTCACTAAACTTTGCTAAGCTCCAGTTTCCTCAACTGCAAAATAAGGCTACCTATGTTGAAGAGTTACTATGAGGATTGAAAGAGATAATTAAAGTGGCTGATGCCCAACCATAATAACAGTTAACATTTATTGAGCACTTTGTGTATGCAAGGCGTAATTCTAAATGCTTTACAGGCACAGTAGGTTGCAGCTGCAATGTCCATCTCTAGTGTGCTGACGTTAGATGTGAAGGCAGCTTGAGACCCCTGTTCCCACTCAGACGTCCTTTACAACACAGGCTTCCCATCCCACAGCCAAGCACTGCAGGTTACCTAATGTTGACCAGTGGCTATGGTCTGAATGTTTGCGCCTCCCTCAAATTCATGTTGAAGCCTAATCCCCAATGCAAGAGTACTGGGAGGTGGTGCCTTTAGAAAGTGAGCAGGTCATGAGAGTGAAAATCCTCACAAATGGGATTAGTGTCCTTATAAAAGGGACCCCAGAGAGCTCCCTCACCCCTTCTGCCATGTGAGGACGCAGAGAAGGCGCCATCTATGAACCAGGAAACAGGCCCTCACCAGACATGGAATCTGCCTGGATATTGGACTTCTCAGCCTCCAGAACTGTGAGAAATAAATTTCTATCGTTTATAAGACACCCAGTTTGAATGATATGTTGTTACAGCAGCCTGAACACATTAAGATAGCAGTTGAGAAAAGTTTCAATATAATTTAAACTTTCTCTAAGACTATGGAAATGAGGTACTAAAGATTTAGCCACACACAGTCTGCGTGTTTTCTTCATGTAACTTCCTAACTGTGTTTTGTAAGAATACTAGTATTGTAAAAATGTCAGAAGATATTGTTCTGTATTACATGAGATCCTGATGTTTAAATTACAGGCTAATAATTTTTAAAAAGGAATAACAGAATGATTGCTTTTATCCCTAATCTTGAGTTCTTGATCATATTCACCACATGATTCAACAGCTTCTCTTGGCTCCACAGTTACAAATAGCATAGGGACATTGGATTTGTGGATGGAAACTACATGTTAGTAGTAAATTCATCCCCATTTATGCTGGAGGTTGCAATTCTGTGTGTGTGTGAAAAATCAGACCTTGGTGATGACCTTGAACAGTAGGATATAAATAATTCCCACATGGTTAGCATTCCACTAATGGAACACTAGGCAGAAATGGGTTATGAAAATAATACACAGTTGTCCCTTGGTATTTGTGGGGTTCCAAGACCCCCACCTTGGATATCAAAATCCATGGATGCTCAAGTCTTTATATAAAATGGAGTATTTGCATATAACCTAGGCACATCTTCCCACATAGTTTAAATCATCCCTAGATTACTTATGATAGTTAATACAATGTAAATGCTATGTAAATAGTTGTTGTACTCGATTTTTTGTACTTTTTTATTGTTGTATTTTTATTTCATTTTCTTGAATATATTTGGTCCACGATTGGTTGAACCTACAGATGCAGAACCTGCGGATGTGGAGGGCTGACCATAATCATTGACTATGAATCAGTAACGTTTAATGTACAAAAATGTTAAATGCAAAGTTATTTACAGGAATAGGAAGCAGAAGACTTGTATTTAAGGGATGCACTAACTACCATCATGGCCCTCAGGGAAGTCTTTCTGCCTCCTGGGTCTTTTTCCTCCTCTATAATGTGACATTTGTCCGAGTCCTTCTCCAACTCTGAGTTTTTTTTTGTTTTGTTTTGTTTTTGTTTTTGTGGTTGAGATAGAGTCTTGCTCTGTAGCCCAGGCTGGAGTGCAGTGGCATGATCACAGCTCACTGCAACGTCTGCCTCCCGGTTTAAGCAATTCTGCCTCAGCCTCCCGAGTAGCTGGAATTACAGGAACACGCCACCATGCCCAGCTAATTTTTGTATTTTTAGTAGAGACGGGGTTTCACTATGTTGGCCAGGCTGGTCTTGAACTCCTGGCCTCGTGATCTGCCCGCCTCGGCCTCCCAAAGTGCTGGGATTACAGGCATGAACCACCATGCCTGGCCCCAACTCTGAAATTCTTTCAGTTTAACACAACAAAGGGCAACCGGCTGTATCAGGGAATTGTGAGCATCTGCGAAGGGCTGACCTACACTGCAACGGAGGAAGAAAGTGCTGATGGACATCGTGGAGGCTTCGTGAGTACAGGGGAGACCTTTCCCTTTGGTTGGCTGGGGTCTGAGGCCGTCATATGCTCAGACCATTCCCCAGCCCAAGAACCTTGGTGGACACAGAGTCATCTTCCCACCATAGCGTCTACCGATACTTCCCATTGTCCCAGCGCATGTGGATTCTAGGGAACAGGCAGCTGTTCAGACTGAGTCAATGAGAGCTGGGCTGACTACCCAGGAGTTTGAACCTGACCCTACTGACAGAAAGGGCCAGGGATGGGGCAGCCACATTTAGTTTCTGGCAGGGGCACGGCCTTGGTGGCAGCGTCCTGGCCCAGCAATGGTGGTCAAAGTAACACCTCGCCAGGCCAGTTCTGTGTGGGCAGTGTGACTGTGGCATTGGCGACATAGCCCCCTTAATATTATTCAATAAATTCCACTTCTGCATAAACGAGAAAGCCTCAGTTTCCCTTGCTGATAACTAAGAACCCCTCCTGTGACCTCTGGCGACACGTGCTTTGGGGCTGTAAAGAGCTGTTGGTGTCCTTTGGTTTTTCTAAAACAATCTTTTTATTTTCTCAGTATAATATGCAAACCACTTGGTGTGTACATTAAGCATAAGATTAAGGGGTTAATTTTATTTCTGCAATGACAACAACAACAACAAAAGCATGAGCAAAAAGTCCAAACACTACATACTAACTACAGTCACATTATCTGGGCACCAAAACAAATGCTTAAGCACTTTTCATTAGAACGCCCCAGAAAAACACTTCCCTTACTAATGCAGGATTGCACCAGAGGGCGACAGACAATCCAGCTCTGCCAACACAAGGACATATAGTTTCTGGTATCTAAAAGTGAGACCGAGCGGAGGGCTGACCACCATAATTTCCCAAGGGAATGGATCTAAACTGTCTCATTCACTAAAGCAATCTTTCTTTGATAATTAGTCAAATGGAGGAGAAGGGGACCGGGAAAGGGGGCGAACTCACGCATCAGACACCATACCTGGAACTCTGCCGATGTCACTTCACTCTCCAAATAACCTGCCAGTTACTCTCACTTAACAGATGAAGAGGGCTAGAGGCTACAGGTGGATGATGCCAAGATGGAGGTGTCAGGTGTTAGGTGAGTTTTAAGTGAATGAAAGACGTTCTCCCTTCCTCTGGACACAGCTCAGTCTGGTGCAGTTCTCAATATCGGGAAGCAGCCTCCATCCCACAGGGCCTCAGTATTCTATTCCCTTTGAAATATCCCCAGACCAGATCATGCAGCTCCACTGTTCTGGATGGCTGGCCCAATGCTAGGATTTCCAGGCCATTTATGAACGAAAAACATGAACTCTGCCCTGGGAAGTAGTAGCTCCAGGAATAACATGGGCCAGAGAAGCAACCTGTGCTCCCAACGTTGAACCTCTTCCAAAGGAGCCGAGAGCAGCTCTGTGGAGAACCACGTGCGAGTCTGAGCCATACCAGGTGCCACCTGCCTTTACATTGATCTGCCTTGTCTTCCTGAGAAGTGGCACATTTGCTCAGACCTGTAATGAGCCTGTGTTTGTCACTGAGAGCTTGGACATGTTGACACCTATCCAAAATACACATCTTCCACGCAGGGTTTTGTATTGCTGACTACTTATTCTAGTTCTTCTATTTTCTCCAAAATACTAGCATTTTGGTAGCAATGAAATATTCTGCTCTTAAATAGAGGAAAAAACAATTACATAGTGAGATTTTGGTTATGTTTAGAAAATGATCAAGTATTTTTCCCTTTTAATCACTAAATGTACTTACATTTAAAATGTACTCTGAAAAATCGGCATAGAAAACATGGATATTAGTTCTTCTGTTCTGAAAACAGGCATATTTTTAAGCCCTAAGTAAACACATTCAGGAAAGGGGTTTCCCAAAGTTTTAGGCTTCAAGCTTTGTTGTTTTCTCACTTTTCTTTTGCCAACGAAAATGCTGTTTAGAATTGATATGGAATAGTGAACAGCTGCAGGCTCTGGCTGAGTGCTTTACTAGAAATACCAGTTTGGGAAAGAATTTCTACCCATTTCCCTCTCCCATGAGCCACTACAGTGGCTGGAGCTTATTCCTCTCATAGACCATGTCCAAATGCCCATCGGGACAGTCGAGTGTCTGGGAAACAATGCCAGTGTGTTGTTTGTAGCTGTGGTGAAAGAAGAGAACACGTCTGATCTACTGAGCAGGGGAGTGAGGCTCTCCCCAAACATAGCAGAAAAACTCCTCGCTTCAAATTCAGAGATGCAGGACATCCCGCTGTCTCACAGGATCGCACACAGCAAAGAGGACCTACCCCCACAGACACTCCATCTCGGAAGGGTTTGACCTTTCTAGAGCTACTCCGGAGGCGGAGGAAGACATAAATTCTGGATTAATTCAGCTCTGGATCACTTAGCTCTGTAGGGAGATTAAGAAGAATTACTAAAGGTCTTTCTAGGCTACAAGGTCATTGAAGATTCCTTAATTTGTATCTCTTGTACAAGTAGCACGGTGTCTCACATTTGTTAAATTGTGAAAATAGGATTAGAATAATACAGTGTAGTGCTTAGCCATCTACTAAACCTAACACACTACTGCAGCTTTGTGGCATATAAAATTATTCTGCCTTTCATGAACAAAGATTTAGCTTCATGCAAGATATTCAAATGCAAGCCCTTTGGCTTACAGTAGCTGTCCAAAGGAAGTTCTAAAGTTGTCTTGAAAAGGAATGGCAGAATACGTGCATATAATCTTGAAAAATTATCTGGAAGGACAATAATTATGGAAGTTCCAGTGTGTTTACTAGACAGCCATTTGTACATTCAGAATATGTGAATGTGTTTACCCCAGGACGATCTATTCTGGATCAGGTAGTGTGCATTTGATAATTTGATTCTATGTGGAGCTGCTGACCTATACATCTAGTGGCTTCATCCAAATGCACCGGGTTCTGGAGCACACGTGGTGACGGGAAGGGAAAGGCCCCATGAAAACATCCCAGCAGCACCACAGTGTGGAGGACAGAAGCCCCACGCAGGGAGGCCCTGTCTGCAGCACTGCAGATGCTCTGAGGAAGAGGCGCTGGCCACCTGGATTAACGAGATTCCCTTTGCCCGGGGCTGAGAGCAGGTTCACAGCACCCTGGCCTCCTGTGCAGCAGGAACCCAGTGGCTGGGACTGAAAGGAGTATCTTGCCGCTTGTCCAGAGCGTAATTCCAGTGGCAGGAATTTCAGGTTCCGTGGCAAAGGGGGCCTCCTCACAGCAGGCAGCAGGGAGAAGGAATTCCGCAGAATGGGCAGGGCCCTGCGTCTCTCAGATTTCAAAGGAGGCGCCATTGCTTTTATCTGAGCAGGGGCGGCTGAGATGAATGCACAGATGCCATTTTAGAGAAGACAGTAGGCCAGGCACTGTGGCTGACGCCTGTGCCTCTCCCAGCACTTTAGGAGGCCGAGGCGGGTGGCTCACCTGCGGACGGATCACCTGAGGTCAGGAGTTCGAGACCACCCTGACCAATATGGTGAAAACCCATCTCTACTAAAAAAAAAAAAAAAAAAAAAAAAAAAAAAAAAAAAAAAAAAAAATACAAAAATTAGCAGAGCGTGGTGGCGGGCACCTGTAATCCCAGCTACTCAGAAGGCTGAGGCAGAAGAATCGCTTGACCCGGGAGGTGGAGATTGCAGTGAACTGAGATCGCACCATTGCACTCCAGCCTGGGGGACAGAGGGAGACTACATCTAAAGGGACGGGGAAGGGGAAGGGGAAGGGAAAGGGAAAAGGAAACGGGAAGGGAAAGGGAAAGGGAAGGATTCCAATAAGGCCTGGCCTCATACTTCAACGAGTTCATTTTAGCGAGGATAATGAGCCATTATCAACTAACCTCACAACAATGGTTACAGACATATGGATAAGTGCCTAAGTGCTGGAGGCCCTGAGGTCAGCCCCATCTTCCTGCAGAGAAACAGGCTCTTCATGAAAGAGGACCTTCTTTTATAGGGTGGCTGCAATTAACGAGCCTTAGTACTTCTAGGAAACACTTTTACTGCTGCAGAATGAAGCTTTGCATAGCTATCACCAGGAGCTGCCTGGACTTTTTTCACCCCCTCCTGAGGTTGAACAAGAAGGAGAAGAACCAAATGGCAACAGTGTTTGGTGGAGGCTGCAAGGTAGCGTTATATTTTAATTCCTTTCCTATTACTTTTTTTTTTTTTTTTTTTTAAGGCTGTATTAGTTTGCTAGGGTTGTTGTAACAAAGTACCACAAACTTGCTTAAACAGAAATCCACTCTCTCGCAGTTCTGGAGAGCAGAAATCTGAGGTGAAGGTGTGGGGCAGGGTTGGTTCCTTCTGGAAGCCAAAGCCACGAGGCAGGATCTGTCCCAGGCCTCTCTGCTAACTGCTGGCAGTGGCTGCTCATCTTTGGTGTTCCCTGTTTTGTAGAAGCTTCACCCTGTCCCTACCTGCGTTGTCACGAGGCGTTCCTCCTGTATCTGTCTTCACATGACCGTCCTCTTATAAAGACATCTGTCACATTAGATTAGGGGCCCACTCCACTCCAGTATGACCCTATCTTAACTGATTACAACTGCAATGGCCCTACTTCCGAAGACGGTCACGTGCTGAGGGCATTTAGGACTTCAACATGAATTTTCGGAGAACAAAATTCAACTCATAACAAGGACCTTCAAAGAAGTGACAAATTTATGAAGAGTTGCATGCTACTAATTATATCTTGTAAGTTTTACTCATTTTTAGTCACTTGCAACATTGTATAGACACCACGTAGGACCTTTTTACTGACCACCCTGGGTCTTCTTTATCATTATCTCTTCTAGAGCCATAATCCAGAGAACAGGACAACATGCCATGATCTGCAGAACCTGCACCTGTGAAACCGTGGCCAAGGGTCCCTCATAATGGAGCTGCTTTGCTGCTTAACTTTGTCTAGAAAAACCCACATTGCTAAGCTTTATGCAATTTATACAGCTGTTCTTCTTCACCTGTTTCATATACTGTTTAATATTAGTTAAGATTGTGTAATGAGGCTGGCATTGAGATTAATCAGGAAAATAGGTCTTCCTGCTGCTTCCAACCCAGGTGGCTCTCTTGAGCTCAGACCCAAACATGCAATAGGAAAACTCTAACCGGAAGTCTCATAGCCAATTTAAACTGAATGTGTGCAAGCTGCATGCATTGCCTCTCTGCTAGCTCTCCCCTTCCGAGCCCTTGAGAATCCTATCTGTGCAGCTGCCAGGCCAGAAACTGCAGAACCAGTAATTCTTGACTTCCCTCTTACTGCTTTATCTCATCATTTTATTTATCCTGTTTGTCATTTTTTGCCGTTTTTCGAATCTGTAACTTGATATCTTTCATCACTTTGGGAAAAGCTTCAGTGACTATCTCCCTGGATATTGCCTGCCCTGTTCTCTCTCCCTTCTTCTGGAATTTGGATGGACTTTGTCAGACACTCTTCCTCCATCCTGCAGGTCTTCCTTCACTTTCTCTCCTGGTCCTTATCTCGTCTCTCTGTCCTACACCTGGGATGACTCGTTTTCACTTATCTTTCAGCTTCAGGTGTGTCTAATCTTGTTAAACATGACTCTGAATTATAAATTCCAACCATCGTATTTTTCATGTCTATAAGTTTTCATTTTAAATCTGCAAGATTTTCTTCTTTAGTTTTCTGTCCCCTTTAGGTGTTTTCAAAATTTTACTTTCATCTTTAAACATCGTAAGTGTTATGGATAGAATTACATTCCTGATAGAAAGATGTAAGTCCTAAGCCACAGCAACTCAGCATGTGGGCTTATTTGGAAGTAGCGTCACTGCAGGTTTAACTAGTTGAGAGGAGGTCCTCCTGGAGTGGGGTGGGCTCTTAATCCAATGTGACTGCATCTTTATAAAAAGACGGCCGTGTAGACAGGGAGAATACCATGAGACGATGAGGCCAGCAACACCAGAAGCTAGGATGGGACAGGGAAGGACCCCCTATAGGTTTCAGAGGGAGCATGGCCCTGCTGATGCCTCAATTACAGACTTCTAGCCTCCAGAGCTGTGAGAATAAATTCCCATTGTTTTAGGCACCCGGTTTGTGGCACATTGTACCGCAGCCTTAGCAAACCAATACAGCAGGGATAGATGTTTTTGGCTGGTCTGTTTTTACTATTTCTTCTTTCTGCTGATTTTTGCTAATAGCACTATGTTTTCTTGTGTGTTTATTTTTGTCTGTGAGTTGCCCATTATTCTTGGGAAATTGTAAGAATGTTTTGAGACCCATGATGAAAGTGCATTCTCCCAGAAAGGATTTTCATTTGCTTCTTCCACAAACCTAGGGGAATAAGATGATCAGCCTGGGACCACCTTAGAACAATTCATTGTGGTTTTTTCTGGCCACCTTATGTGTACTGTAAAACCCAAAAGGGTGAGCTTGTAGTTAAATTCTCAGGGATGGGCTCCCCTCTTTTAGTTCTGTTTAACATCCAGGCATGTTTTCTTGTCTGCTCTGGAGAGTGGGGTGGGCAGGTTTACTTCTGCTTCCCTGACACTGGGGTAGAGCCTTCCTGGAAGGAGGTATCTCATCAGATGCTCCCATTTCTTTAGGTCCTGGCCTTTGTCTTCTGTCTGAACCACTCAGGCCTTGAAGTAGGCTTAAGTTGGCCAGGTTTGGCAAATGACTTGATGGCAAAGCTCTTTAATAGTTCACAGGATTCCTGCCTTCACATAAGTTTGAGCAGAATATGTGTTTATTATCTTGTCATTTTACAGATGCTTTAAAAACTATTGCCAAGTTATTTTATTTTAGCATTTTTAAGTGTAAGAGTCAGTCCCAGTACCAGACCAATCCCATTCCTGGACTCCCTGTATTCCATCCATCTAGAAGGCCTATTGATCACCCCTCTTTAACATCATGAGCCTGATGTTAATATTCTAGCACAGGCCACTATAATATCTAACCTGAATTACTGTAGCAGCTTCTGCTCTGGTCTCTCTGCCTCTACTCACACCTCCTCTAAGCCCTTCTGCACACAGCACTCCACAGTCCTTTCTCAGTCACATCAGGACACTCCCCCGCCCCAAATGCTTTATGTCCAGGGTACAACCCCAATTCCTAAGCAGACTCTTCAGCAGCTAGTTCCAGACCGCATCTCCGACTCACCCATCTCCTCCCTCTTGGCTCAATTATTGTTAATTTATTTTAACTTCCGTGGTCTCGCCTTTTATTTATTTATTTTTTAAGTGCACAGGCAATTTTCTCAGCCTGGAATATAATTTCCCTCAGTTTTGGTCTTTCTTCAGGGAGGGAGAAAGGGCAGAGTATGTTCTTCTTAAATAAGTAACAGTGTGGATCTAAATAAACAGTGAAACTATTCTTGCTGTTCACGTAGCCCTTACGTGGTTTGGGAGGCTTCCCGTGTGGGGGCTCCCTCCTGCACTACCCAGGGCCTTAGGCAGCAGTGCTTGTGCATCCAGATGGGACATCTGTTCACCTCGTTAGACTGTAAGCTTGGGGTGAACAGGACTGGGTCTCTAAATTGGCTCCTTATGGAGACAGACAGTACAGACCTCTTTTTCTGCTGTTGTAATAGTAGTAACCTTATCACCTGAGGATACAGAGACAGCTCCTAGGTCTATGTATGCTAAATGAATGCCTAAAAATATTTTTTCACTGTGTGTGTGCACGTCGGTCTTTAACATCTGTATATGGTGTGATGTGCTTTTGCATTAAAATTAAAATGAAAGCATTGTAGCTTGTATTTTAGTTGCAATTGATGTAGGTCCTAAATTACCTATCATTTCCATTAACAATTGTAATAACAATCATGGATAGATTTGCCTGTCGCTTGATAGGAGATCAGCAGAGGGAGCTAGTGAGTATTACAAGTGGATTTGATACTTGCATTCTTAAATAGGTACCATTTTTTAATTTTTATTGTAGTCAAGCAAGATTTTTGATCTATAAATGAAAAAGGTGATTTAAATGCGCATCAGGATTTGGGAGGAGAGCGCATATTATTTTTTCCGTAAATATTTTACTAGAATAGTTTCAGGCTTTCAAAAAACGTTACTCATTTTTTTTTTTTCTTGAGGGAAACCGATGTCAAGAACTTGGTACGTTTAATACTGCATCCTCTCTTCAGTCTTTGTACAATTTACTTTTCTCTTTTGTATCAGTCGGTCTTTGACTTTTAGACCCCTTACTTGAAATGGAACATTTTGGGGAAGTATGCTTTATTATTAATGGGGTACCAAAGAAAATGCTTGAAATAGCGTTTTTAAGAGAAAAAGTGGAGGGATACATTCTGGATTATTAGGAAAGACTTGAACCATCATCAGACAACTAAGATTCATGAGGGGACAAGAGTGACAAGGAATATTTTTATATACTTCAAGCAAACATCACTTCCTTTTATGTGTAACTATTTATTATAATTCTTCAAAAACTACTTTTTGTACTTGTAACTCTATAATCAAGCCTAATTTCCCACAGGAAGATTTTTTCATATTAAGTCCGCCAGATGGATGGGGATACCAAAAGGAGGTCATGGACTTTTTTTTACTTCTTTGACATAAGCAATTTTATTTATCTTAACCTATAACCAAGAGAGATAATATATCTTAATGTAAATAGCACATATGACATTTTTATCTCTTTTTAAAAAGGTTTCTCAATAATTAAGATAAAAATTTTATAAATTTAGATTAAACAAGAATTAATCTAGCTGGCATTAAGCCACTTTCAAATGAAAATTCACTCTAAGAAATTTAGATCTTTATTAGGATGGTTATGACAAAGAGACTGGACATATTTTTTTAGAAGCAACGGAGTTTGAGATCTCGACAACATTTATGAAATGGATTTGGGAACATTTAATGTGACTTATAACAAATAAGCCCACCTCAAAGCCACTAATGAAATATGGTGTTTGTCAAAGGAAATACTTTATTTGACTTAACACAGGTCATGTTAGTAAACACTGACATCAATCCATTGAAAAAAATGTTTAGCATTTCATTCTACAGGGAGAAAACAGGACACAGAATTACTGGCAAAAATATTATCAGGCAAATGTACTCATCTATTGTTTTACAATTGTATCCACTCCCTTTTAATGTTGTGACTTCTATCTTGACCTTCTGGCATTTTTTTGATGGGAAGATAAAATATTCCATAATAATACTAGAGAATGAAAATATTTAAAAATCAAACAGCATAACAGTTATATAAACTATTTCTAAAAACTCAAGGAATTTTTTTTTCTTAAAAAATAGTTACTTGGATATTTCCCAAGCTACCAGTAAATAAAAAGCTCTTCCCTTCAAAGTCCTTAAGGTTCCATATGATGTACAGTGCAGCTTTAAAATATGAAATTCTTTAGCAGATGTTAGGCTGGTTTGCGGTAGTACAAACTGTGAAAGATTCGGGAATCTCTTAAGTTTGTTAAAAAAAAAAAAAAAAAAAAAAACAACAATCCATCTGCTCCAAATGTCATTCACACACGATTTCACAATGAACACAGATAAGTTAGAATGAATGAGTACTTGGAACTTTTTTAAGCCACCTAAATAAGAATGCCAAGCACCTGAGAAGTCTCATGAACAATGAAGATTTTTCTCCTATTAACTGTGATCCTTCCCACTAACAGGGTTTCTGTGGTTCTGTGTCAAACAGAAGTTACACAGCTGCAAGGAGAAAGATAATTGTCCCAGATAAGGCCTTGGCTGTGGAGGCCCGCGTCCTTTAACTCCTGCGCTTACTCTATCTACCCGCAAATGAAAACACAACTATAATGCGGGGGAAATGGCTGTTTCCCAGGAAAGGAAATGGCCTGAAAACACATATGGCAAAGAGCTTTCTGTCCGTTTTGGCAGTCAGATACTTATTTTTAACAAAATATACATTTGCTCACCTTGTACAAAGGGGAATTCTACGGAGTCAATGCCCAATTCTAAGGGGATGACACTTAACTTGTACTCTAAATATATCGGGCCAGCTATTTTATGTCAAATGCTATATTTATATTTAATTGCAACTAGAACAGGAAATTGTGCTCAACTTCATCTCAGAACTGTTTCTATTCTAAAACATACATCATATTCTTCCAGCGATCCACATTGGATGAAATTAAACCAGACAAAGCAGAAAAGTTATTTAAGCCCAAACAATGAAAGGGTATGTAGAATGCACATAGTAAGATTAACTGATCCATTTAGACAATATGTTGGATTTCCAAGGATTCTTTCCTAAGCTAGCAAGTAACAATTTGAATTCAGCTCTGCATTAATGATCTGGTTTCCGCACTTGTAATAGGATGGTCCCGGCTCAGATGCCCGAGGTCCACATGAGATGTCTGGTGAGCTTTCATACAAGACCCAGTGGCTCCAGCTCAAGAGAACTGAAGGCCGCTAAGAGTCTCTGGCAGTGAAATGGCTTCTGTCACTCGGGATGTGTGTTTGTGCTGCACAGAGGTGACGGCCAGTACTAAATGGTGATTGCTGATCATCTCTAAAGCAGGCTGTATTTGCCATGTTAAAGAGGGGCAAAATTATTGCTTTCAATTCTCCTTAAATTCATAACCATTAACATAAAAGACAGACACACACAGGCACTTGGCTAAGGGAATTCTTGTCTCTCTCTTCACGGAGCCTTGATTTCCTTGTCTGTTATAGGGACCAAAGCTACCTTACATGTTTATACGTGTGTGTTTATATTTTTCTTCCTTTTCTTCTGTCTTTACGGTAACTTGAAGGGGCTTTCCTTTGGTACTTTTTTGAAATCCCATGGCTGGAACTGTCCTTCCTCGCATTCCAAAGTCAGGATTTAACACTAGTGTAACATGATGAGCAGCACTGGGGAATGGAAATGGTTGATGCAGCAACACTTTTGCAAAATGGCTCTAGACTGCATTTGTGGGTCTTCAAATCTGGTTCAACATATATCAAAATGGAGTCGAAACAGATCTTCCAGGAGGCATATAAAGGAATCACTATATAGGGAGCCTGCCTTCAGAAAGAAGATTTTTTTCTTTTGGCAGAGGGGCAGGTGTTGTGCCAGTTGTGGCTATTTCTCTAGTTCTTATTAATTATTGCATACGATTTGTGGGGGGAAGTAATAAAAATAACTTTAACAACAGTTTTATGTGCAGCTAACCTTCTAATGGTTTTCCCTGTATACTGAACATTAAATTGTATATATAAACATGTTGACTGATTTGGATGGCCAAGATGTCTCAAAAGTCCCTCCCAGCTTAGTGTGCCAGGCGCCCAAGAGTCCCGAGTGTGCCCCTCTGTCTGCAAATGGCTCAAATCAAAACATAGTGTCCCAGCTTCATTTTTTTAGACTGTTTCAGCCGTGGAAGTTCCTCATACATCAACAAGGCACTTTCCAAAAATTAAGGCCAGGCTGCCCAAATAAGTCTGCAGCAGTCACCGCCTCCAAGGCCTGCAGGCAGGGGCAGTGGGAGGAAAGCAGACTGTAGCCGGGCAGGCCGTGCTGAGGACGGCAGGCGGGAGACAGTCTCAGGAGGGGCTGCCCAGGCCTGATGGAAAACGATGTCAGCACAAAATGCCGTATAAATGCAGGGCAGCAATGTGCCTTTAAGTGTGTCTGAGCCCTTTCCATGTGTTTTTCAGCTCGGCAGGGCTTTTTCAAATTGCACGCTGGCAATGCATTGCTGGGATGGTACAGGTTGGAAAAGCAAAACGACCCCGGGCCTGGGTCAGGCTGGTGGCCCCATTTCCATCCCTTGATCTGGATAAATGCTGAGCATTAAACTGGACAACAGCAGGGGTCACGGGGCCCACAAGCAAATTCTGTTTGGCAACCCATAGCTGGGGGGCTGCTCCACTTTGTGCTGACTTAGCATCCTTTTTTGGTTTCTGGTTGCTTATGAGAGCTGCACGGATTGCTCTGGGGGAACCTGGGATGGTCTGACTGTCATAAGTCCTTTTCCACATTCAGCTAGCGATGGGTCCACATTCCACATTCAGCTAGCGATGGGTCCACATTCCACATTCAGCTAGCGATGGGTCCACGCGCCACCCACTTCCACGGTCCTCAGGAGGCCCTTTGGCTTTTCTTGTTTGCGCCTTAGGGCCTCCAACTGGGCAAACTGAGCCAAAAGGGCTGGCCACGAGATTCTTTGTAACACTGGCCTCTTTCTGGGAGTAGGTAGCTATGGTTTTTCTGGTGTCGTCAACCAGGGTAATAAGAACTTGAGACAGTTCCACAGAGAACACATGGGAACCTCTGAAATGTCAGTTGCCGACACAGAATATGGGGGAGAAAACAAACAGTATTAAGGAAATAAATTGCACTATGCACAGCTGTTCAGCAGAACTATTACAGACAAAAATTGGGTGGGTAGGCAGGTGGATTTTGGGAACCTGTAATAATGTTTCTCATCTGACAGTCTCACTTGCCTCTTGTGGTCCCGTCAGTACAGCAGGGAGGAACACCCAAGATTTTCTCTGGAGTTCTGAGATCCCCCTAGTCAAGCCTCATTTAGAGTGAAGGGGTCCCAGATGGGTGGCCTCAGACCCCCAGGCTGCATGGTGGTGTTACTGGACACCCACAACTCCAGGCTTTGCACCTAATGCCTTCAAGGGCCTCCCATTGGCTCCCCGAGGCTTCCTGGTCAGTGGCCTGGCAGACCATGTCTCCACTTCCCTAGGGGCCACAGCTGAGCGCCCATCCATGCACACTTGCATCCCAGGCCACTTCCTGGCCCCTCTCCCCACCTGGCATCCTTAATTCACTTCAGTGTGGCACTTTCTCTAAGCACCTATTCTATCCCGTTAGTAAGCCCCTGTAAGCAGCCACACAGAAGGCTGAGCCGAGGCACCAGTCCTCCCCTGTTCACACGGTGGTCACTGCACCGTGTGCACTATCCATGGCCTTGCCGATCAAACATGGTCACCGCACCGTGTGCACTATCCATGACCTTGCGGATCACACATGGTCATCGCACCGTGTACACTATCCATGACCTTGCGGATCACACACGGTCACCGCACTGCATGCTCTATCATGGCCTTACCGATCACACACGGTCACCGCACCACGTGCACTATCCATGGCCTTGCTGATCATACATGGACACCACGCCACGGGCACTATCCATGGCCTTGCCGATCACACACGGTCACCGCACCGCGTGCACTATCCATGGCCTTGCCGATCACACACGGTCACCACACCGCGTGCACTATCCATGGCCTTGCCGATCACACATGGTCACCGCACCGCGTGCACTATCTATGGCCTTGCCGATCACACACCGTCACCGCACCGCGTGTACTATCCATGGCCTTGCCGATCACACACGGTCACCGCACCGCGTGCACTATCCATGGCCTTGCCGATCACACATGGTCACCGCACCGCGTGTACTATCCATGGCCTTGCTGATCACACATGGTCACCGCACCGTGTGCACTCACTATCCATGGCCTTGCGGATCACACACGGTCACCACACCATAAGCACTGTCGATGGTCATGCCAATCACACATGGTCACCGCAACACGTGCACTATCCATGGCCTTGCCGATCACACACGGTCACCGCACCACGTTCACTATCCATGGCCTTGCCAATCACACAGGGTCACCGCACCACATGCACTATCCATGGCCTTGCCGATCACACATGGATACCACACCACGGGCACTATCCACGGCCTTGCTGATCACACATGGTCACCGTGCTGTGTGCCCTGTTAATGGCCATGCCGACCACAGGTGGTCACTGTACTGTGTGCACTCTCCATGGCCTTGCTGACCACACACGGTCGCTGCACGGCGTACAGTGTCAATAGCCTTGCTCGCCACACACGGTTATTGCACTGTGTGGACTGTGGATGGCCTTGCTGACCACACACGGTGGTTGCTGCACTGTGTGTACTGCTGACAGCCTTGCCAACCACACACGGTCACCACACCGCGTGCACTGTGGACGGCCTTGCCCAGCACCTCCTACCCCCACAGACCACCTAGGCTCTCAGAGGCCAGCAAGCTACAGTCCAGGCCCGGTTTCTAACAGCCTATGAGCTAAGAATGGTTTTTAAACTTTTAAATGATTGCAGAAAATAGAATCTTTCATGATGTGAAAATTACAAGAAATTCAAATTTCAGTATCACGAATAAAGCTTTATTGGAGCCCAGCACGCTCACTCAGTTAATGCTGTCCCACAGCTGCTTTGCACCGCATTACCTTTGAGTGGTGGCGATGGTGGCCGTATAGCCTGCAGAGCCGAAAATAATTACCATCTGACACTGGACAGAGTTTGCCAACTCCGGCTCTACTAGAGCTTCCCCTGACTCTCTGGTTCCGATAATTTCCATTTAGGAATCTACAAAGAGCTGTTCCTTCCATGTTCGGAACTTGAGGGAATTTGAAAAGGATGGAGTCCATGCCAGCTGCACATGGCATATTGTGCACCCGGAAGCATCACTGTCTTTCTTTGTGCTCCGACTGCTCTCTCTTACCACATCCAATTTGTTTATGGGTCTCTCCCTCTCCATACACTATTAGCTTCTTTAGGTCAGACACCCAGTTGCCTTAATCTCTATCCCCAGTGCATAGCATGGTGTCTGACACAAGGCTGGTAGACAAAAAGTACTGTGGTGTGCCCTCTTTCTATTTGTTCCTTTTAAACTACTCTATTTGCCTGGAAGACAACTGAATGACTTTTAAAACCATATATGCAGGCCAGGTACAGTGGCTCACACCTGTGATCCCAGCACTTTGGGAGGCCAAGCAAGAGGATCATTGGATGCCAGGAGTTCAAGACCAGCCTGGGCAACAAGAGTGAGACCCCGTCTCTACAAAAAATAATCTTGAAAAAAGGTAAAACCACATATGTGATATTAATACCTTACAATATGCTTTTTCAAACAGGAAATAAAAAAATTGTACCCTATGCCACTGCCACTGCTTTGCATTCAGAGAATAGCAGAGTTATACTATTTGATGGTGGAAGAACTGATCCCCATTTAATGGAGCATGCCTGTAAAGAAAAGGAACAAATATTTCTAAACATACAATTATATCTTAATCCTAAAAACCCTACAGAGAAAAAATGATCTCCATCTTATGACTAGGGAGACTGAGGCTCCAAGAATGGAAGCATTTGCTGGAGGTCACACAGAAGCAGGGTTCTAACACAGGTCTCATCTTTAAGACCTATATGCTTTCTTCGACGGTGCACTGTCCGGATGGGTATAGCATCTTTAATTGGTTCCCTTAGTGGAAACCATGTCCAGAACCTTGGTGGAATCATACTACCTCTTCTACTAATGAGATCCTTCCAGAGCATGTCTTCCAGCTTTTCTGTGTGACAGAACCCTTTGGTTGTCTGGTGAAGCCTATAAACACCTTCTCAAAAGAAGACACATGCTACTTTATTCCAATGTTCAGTAGCAAGATCTAGGGCTGGGTTTAATAAAAATGTAGTTCTGAGTATTGTGGCAGCAAATAAAAAGAGCTGATTTCTGAGGATGAGAAAGTCACAGATATTCACACTGTTGTTCGTTAACTATTCATTGATAAGGGAAAGGCTGTCTTTCGGTTAGAGCTTAGTAAAAAATAAAGATCTTTTATGGGTAGATGTGGTCTGTTAAGTCAGTGTACCAGCTATTCAGCGCTCACTGGGAATAATAAACCTTGTACCTTGAGAGATAAACCGCAGCAAAGGCAGGGGGCTTTTTCCCTATGTACACTTGGGCTGCTGAGTTAACATATTATTAATCTCTGAAGTATTAAGTTTTAGTTGTTAAAGGAAGTGACTTGCAGAACTTACAGAGCCATAGGATTGAAGGTGAAAAATCTTGTGAGTGCACCCCTTGAATTGCACAGATGAGGACATTAGAGCTTAATTAAAACAGGGAAGTGACTTGCCCGAGTCTAATACCAAGGGGGACTAATGTAATTGATAATGTGTTACAAAATGCTGAGATGTCAACAAATTCTGACACAATAAAGAAGTTTGTGGGCCAGGCATGGTGACTCACACCTGTAATCTCAGCACTTTGGGAGGCCAAAGGCGAGTCGATCACAAGGTCATGAGTTTGAGACCAGCCTAACATGGTGAAACCCTGTCTCTACTAAAAATACAAAAATTAGCCGGGTGTGGTGGCGTTTGCCTGTAATCCCAGCTGCTCAGGAGCCTGAGGCAAGAGAATCACTTGAACCCGGAAGGCGGAGGTTGCAGTGAGCCAACATTGCCCCACTGCACTCTAGCCTGGTCGACAGAGCGAGACTCCGTCTCAAAAAAAAAAAAAAAAAAAAAAAGTTTGTATTCCTCTTTCTACACAGGCACTTAAATTCTAATTTCTCTATTGTAATGTAATGAACTTAATCAGTACAGTGTATTTTTAGAGTGAATATCCAAGTGGAGTTTTTTTAAAGAATAAAGGTCAGAGCTCAGAAACTGATGTTTCTAACGTGACTTAATAACAGATCTTTCTATCCAACTGTTCGGAAATGAAAATCTTTTGTAACTTGGCTAGTGGTTCAAGAATCAACTAAAATCAATGAATCTATTTTTCCCTCTGAAAAGGCACACGTTTACAGGAGCCAAACTTCTTCCTCTTTATTTGTAATAACAAAAATAAACCGAAGTCCTGACCTATTTGTAATATTTTTATTCCTAAAGGAAAAAACAGGAACTTTCATTGTACTTCAACATTAAAGTTATTACCTCAGATATTTTGCCAGCTTAGCACGGCAAAAATCAGTTTCAGACAAAAGAGATCAACTGCTCTCTCTAGGAAATACTTAATTGGGGTGGTGCCTAGGAAATGCCCAGGGGTCCTGTAACAGATCGGTTTTTCCCAGAGGGTTTCTGCAGCATGGGTCCTGGTTGGAGGGCAGGCATTCTGCTCTGATTTTTCCTGTTGCCTGGCTAGTGACCCCCTACAGGAAGATAACGGCTAAGCCAGGAGGGCGGAGCAGCCCACTACACATGTCTGGCTGCTCTTATCAACTTATCATATAAGGAAAGGAAAGTGATTGATTCGGATACTGACACTGTAGGATCTGGGGAGAGAGGAACAAAGGACCGTGAAAGCTGCTCTGTAAAAGCTGACACAGCCCTCCCAAGTGAGCAGGACTGTTCTTCCCACTGCAATCTGACAGTTTACTGCATGCCTGGAGAGAACACAGCAGTAAAAACCAGGTTTGCTACTGGAAAAAGAGGAAAGAGAAGACTTTCATTGACGGACCCAGCCATGGCAGCGTAGCAGCCCTGCGTTTTAGACGGCAGCAGCTCGGGACTCTGGACGTGTGTTTGCCCTCAAGTTTGCTAAGCTGCTGGTTTATTACTGAAGAAAGAATGTGGCAGATTGTTTTCTTTACTCTGAGCTGTGATCTTGTCTTGGCCGCAGCCTATAACAACTTTCGGAAGAGCATGGACAGCATAGGAAAGAAGCAATATCAGGTCCAGCATGGGTCCTGCAGCTACACTTTCCTCCTGCCAGAGATGGACAACTGCCGCTCTTCCTCCAGCCCCTACGTGTCCAATGCTGTGCAGAGGGACGCGCCGCTCGAATACGATGACTCGGTGCAGAGGCTGCAAGTGCTGGAGAACATCATGGAAAACAACACTCAGTGGCTAATGAAGGTAGGAAAAAAATCCATCTGTCTTTGTGAACATGCTATTAAGATCAGCTTGGCAGCAGCTCAGGTTTTAACAACCAAAAAAAAAAAAAAAAAAAGAAGGAGGATGAAGAGGATTAGAGCTGGAGAGCGGGTTGCTGGTACCCTCAAATGAAAGATAATTTCTTTTATTCTATCCCAGGGTGTGTGGGTAGTCCCCGGGGTGAAAATAATTATTTGGAAAGAATGCCAGAGTCAATACAGAAAATCTCTAAAGTTAGAAATCTTTATTAACAAGGTAGAGGAAATATACTTCCCTGCACAACTTGTGTGCCGTTCTGTTTGTTTACATCGTTTAAGCTCAGTAACACCCATCACCAGGGAGGCTCTCAGCTGGTTGCAGGCAAGTGAGGGAAGGCTGTGAGCCGCAGCAGCCCGTGAGCCAGAGAGACCGTGACAACCATGCTGATGACCGAGGCATAACGGATGGAGTAAAGTGCTTTACCAATTTCCTGAATTTATTTACTAAAATAGGTTGTGACTCTTGGTAAACGAGAGGAAATTAAATAAAGCAGACCTTATGTTTCTCAGAATCTCAGGGCCCTACCACTAAGGGCTTGCCGTCTGTAAACAGGGGCACAGTTCCCAAGCGTCCCAGAGGTATTCAGCACTGCAGCCCCCGTCAGTTCCAGCAACCGGTGCGGAATGCGTCCCCACGTGGGACGGTTATGTTCAAGTCATGCCACGACAGGACGGTCTGTCTGACAGTTTGTTCTTGGGGTGATTCCACTGTTTCACAGATGATCCCACTGTTTCCTAGAGTTTTTATGGAGACGTAACCAAAATAGGATATTGAAAGCTCTGTTTTTCTTTCATAAATAATTTTTTTTCACATGTAAACATGGGAGCTATTTATACAAAATCCAAAACGAACCTGGAATTTTCTTTATATGGACTATATATATTCTAAAGGAAGTTTAAACAAAATGCATAAATTAATTGTTAAGTAGCATGATGATGCCATTACATCACAATGCTTACATGGCAGGGAATGTGATTATCTAAAGCTATGTAAAGTCTTTTAAAAGTTGGTGAGCCTCATTTGACGCATGACCCTAGAAAAAGCACAATTATTTTCTCACTCTTTCATTTCACCATAAACCTTTTGTTAGGACACCTTATCTGAATCTCAGAACGGATCTTGGAGCCTAATCGGTGCTCCTCATTACCTCCCCTACCTTCAGAGAGGAAACGACTAAGTTATTATTTGAGTCATGAGCTTAAATGAATGAATGTGAATGAATGTTCCCAGCACCACTGGTTACTGTGTCAAGAGGAGTCATTTAAAACAACAAAAACTTACCAAAATGACCTATCAAATGTAGATTTCATGTGACATAAAACTCACTAGCAATGTCTTTTTAAGCTCCTGGCTAAGCGCTCCAGTAAGTTTCCCTCCTTTCCCAGGTCACTGTGGTTTGCTTTTAAACATCTTCTAAAATTCATAGCTGTGTGAATAATTACGCTAAGCTTAAAAAGTATGCAGCAACACAGGTTGAAATATGTGGAAGGCAAACTATATCCTAAATATCTGCTTAACTTGAACTTCCTATTTCTTTGTAAACCGTCAAGCTGATGGTTAATGGCTTTCCCACATCCACCGTGGTTACAGAGTCACAGCGAGGCATGAAAGATGCACTGCAGTAAATATTCTAATCTGCCCGACAGGCAGGTCATCTCCTCGAAGAAACAGCCAGGAAACATAAAAGAATGCTAGGCCAAATGCAAGGCTGCTACATTGTATTTGCTTAATTAACTTACATTAGGTATACCTGAAACTCCATAAGCAAAGCTCATATTTCTTTCTTAGGTAAACTACCCCTTCTCTTGGGTCTTTGAGATAACATTTAAAGACAGAAAAAGACAACGAGTTCTATGTTAGGCGACCAAAATTTCTTCCTTTCCAGGTTCACTTAGTCAATATTTGAACAGCAGTAGCACAATGGTATTTCAAAAGTCCGTCTTCAGCTGTCTAGCTAAATACCGTTTCCCCAAGAATGACTTAATGTTTATCTTTTCACGGGCTCCACACCTGTTCTCCCAGCCTATCTCAGCAACGTGCACCTGAGAAAGGCAATTTGCACTCTCGCTCGGTTTACGGCTTCTGGCTTGGGAATGAAAACAAAAAAGCAAAGATGAAACCCACTTAAAGTGATTAAATGTAACCTCACTGTTTGTTTTTCTCCTGTGTTTTGTCACCTGTGATAATAAACACTGATTTTCTCATGAGGAAGAAAATAATATAAAATGGAATGAGAGATAAGCCACACAGTTAAAGGGTTATCATTACAACCTAACACCCACTGATTTAATTAGCACAGAAAGCAGCAGCACAATTCTGGGTTTTTCATGGTTTTACATATTTTCTTTTGAGCTATTTTTTGAAAAAAATGTTTCCATATCTCCTTTCTCTCCTGGATCAGCACTAAAAATGAAAGATTCAAAAACAACCCACTACAAAATCCGTACACTTTTAGGAAATTAAAACATGTGTCAGGAAGGAAACTAAGACCAAGTTTCTGGTTCATTTTAGGGCAAATAAATAGTAGTTCAACCTCTGAGTGGTCAGCATAGCCTAGGGAGCTTAGACTAAGAAAGCAGGTTTCACATCATCAAAAGGTCCCACGCTGCCCCTTTAATCTGTCCGGCAAAGGAAGTGTCAGGCTTCTGAATGAACTCAGAGGAATATGAATGGAACAATACAGGACAGCTTACTCACTGTGTAGTAGTTAAACAAGGATCAGATAAACTCATGATCGCTAGCACACAAAACACACTGCAGTGGACCAAACACTACTCATGCTACGTCTCTCTTGCTAATCCTGCAACTAGTGTGAACCTCTGCCCTGGTGATATTAAACACACTTTATAAAAACTCACAAATAATTTAGCAAAATGGATTGTATTTTGCTAGGAGACCACAGGAATTTTTTTTTCTGATAAGAGGAAATATGGAAAGGAAAGAACTATTTCACACTGATGAGTGCCTCATACCTATAAACAACTGCAGTCTATGAACACGTTAAAACAGAATGATTTGAAAAATAAAGTTGATGCCTACTACGGAGGCAAACATTTCCTCTGCCATCGTTTTTTGTTTGTTTGTTTTTTAAACAACACAAGAACAGGCTGGAAAGTGTAAATGTGAATTGCAATCCTTTTCTTTCTTTAAAAGTAATAATAGTGTATCTTTTTAATAATATATGAGAGCTACTACTCACGAATGAATGCATAGGAAACCATGCAGTTATGCTCTTCAAACATAGCTGCCGTCACTGGGAGAAATGGATGGTGAGGGGCTCCCAGGGGAACCCAGCCCGCTAGCCCCACCCTGCCCTTGCTAGGGACTCTGTGTGTGTGTGTGTGTGTGTGTGTGTGTGTTGTCGTGTGTGGCTACAAAACACTCAATAGCTGTATATTAAAACAACAACAATAAAACCCAGGGCTTGGTTCATTAGAGGAAAGAAAAAAATCCCATCCCATTCACAGCCACTGGTCTCCCGTGGTCCTCCTGCGGAGGACAAGAACCATTACTGTATCCGCTGGCTACATCCTGAGTGGTGAAATATGATTGTGCTCAGTGTTAGTATTACTATATAGTAAGGAATGCAGTAAGGAATGTAGAAGAGACAGTTTCACTATGGTAGGGGAACTGCAACATATTTAATTTTGGAAAATACAAATATAGTTTACTGTATCTCTTATGCGATATGTATATGTATAGTATGATATGTGCCTATACAGTATATAAAATATAATACATGTTTACTCTATATGGATTATATATTATACATATATCATATGTTTTCTATGGTCAAGTAGTCTTTGTTTACTAAATGGGGTTGTCTGACATACTGGATTAACTATTTAGATATCACACTATGGGGAGATGATTGTTTGCTTGCAGAGTTTAGAACTAGGAAATGGATTTCCATAACCTTACCTTCTATTGAGACACTAGATAATCCATATAGTCTAAATACTGAACTCTGAAAATCTTCTGATTTTAATCAATGTGGCTCTTTACAGTTGTCAAACAGGTTGTAATCCACAAGTTTATCTGTAAGCCAGTTACCGTAGATGAAACTTGAGAAGGATAATGGTCTTACCATTGGTGATCAGATGCTCAGGATGGTCTGGGGTGCTTATTTTAATCCATAAAATAATTGAAATTTTGTACATTTAAAATTGAAAAACAAGAGTTCAAATCAACTCTACCGCCATGGGAGTAATTTAAAAAATAAAACAAAAATGTTATGAAAGTAAGATATGGGCAAGGTAAAAAAATATGTCAGGCTATTAAAATGGTGGAAATAGGAAGTAGATTCTCTTTCCCCAGTCTTCCATCCCTTTCTTGGAGATTAGCACTCAGAGATTTTTTTACCAGCCCTTTATTTAAAATGCCAAATTTAATATCAAATGTACAGCGTTCCTTCTTTTTAAAACACGTACAGTGGCATTATAGCATAATCAGGATCTTTCCTGGCCCAAAAATGACATGACGAGAGGTTGGAAGGAAGACTGTACTTAGGAACAAAGAGCAAAATTTGAAAGACTGAGGTAACTAAAGGTGCGTGTGGGGGCAGGGGCAGGAGAGACAGAGACACCACCTGTGAGGGAGTCAGTCAAGATGAGGAAGAGGGGGAGGACGTGGCACAACTGTTTTGACAGGGAAGAAAGGAGGTGGTTTATATCTTTCCATATCTGGCCACAAAATGACAGCAGGGCCTGGTCAGCTTTGTGGATTTCCTGAGTTGAGATCTAGAGGATGCATACAATGAATCATGAACACGGACAGACTGTTTTCCAATTAGCTGTTCACAATTTCCAGGATGTTTACGGTACTTAATGGCAAGTCAGCAGGCAAACCATTCTATCTCTCCCTGTATATATGTATGTGTGTGTGTGTGTGTGTGTGTGTGTACACACACATATATATCATATTAAATATAAAAAATATATATTTGTTCTATAGGATGGCCCTGTAAGATTGGCTTCATTTGGCAACTGATACAGTCGACTCTAATTAAACAGGGCCCATCTAGACAGCCAACACCTATTCTCTTTTCACTACATCCTCCTTTGGCTTGAAGGAACCTAACAATGAGAATTTTCTCCTAAATTATTCTAGAATTATTCTGATATAAAGACAGCCACTGAACTTTGCAGCCACACCAGTCATCACGAAGGCAGCAATCGCAACAGGGTGGCTCTGAGTCACCTTAAAGCACTTTCCACACCTCACCTCATTTTGCCCCGAGAATATCTCTAGTACACAAGTATGGTAGGTATGGTGGATGCAAGCCTGTATATTTTTTTAAGTCCCTTATAAACACGGGGCATGCTAACACCAGTACCCTCTGCAGTTTAGTAGCCTTGTATGGATTGCCCAGCGGTAAAGCAAACACGGGAAAGCACGCATATCCCCTCCTCTGACAAAAGCAGAATTTTCCGTGGGGCTGGGAAGACTGCAGAAAACTGCTGAGAGGAGTGTGAATGAACATGAATTTGGGCAGAAGTGCGTTATTTCTCAGTTCATTAGCGTAAGTGAGTGAACACCATATGACCCCGCCCACCCCTCCTAGGTGGGGTTTCCAGTTTGGGGCAGGAGCCATGCAAGTTGATTTATTTGTTCAAAAAATATTTATCGAGTGCCTTCACATGTCCAGGCAGTGTTGGTTCTAGGTGCCTAGAAGAAGTCAGAGGGGGAAGAAAATGCCTAAAGCCAGGCACAGTGCCTCACACCTGTAATCCTAGAGCTTTGAGAGGCCAAGATGGGAAGACACTTTGAGGCCAGGAGTTCAAGACCAGCCTGGTCAACAGAGTGAGACCCCCATCTCTACAATGGCACGCAGCTGTGGTCCCAGCTACTTGGGAGGCTGAGGTGGGAGGATTGCCTGAGCCCAGGAGGTCAAGGCTGCAGTGAACTATGATGGTGCCATTGCGCTCCAGCCTGGGCAACAAAGTGAGACCCTAAAAAATGAAAAAAAAATAAAAAAAGACAATTCCCAAGAGTCTTGCCCCAGGGGGACACTATGCTTTGGTCAGAACGTGTAGTGTAGCAGCAGCTAGTATGTGCTGCACAGAAGGGGTAAATGAATGAAATGAGAAATTAAACACAGCACAAAGGGAGTCAGGCGTGTGAGGGACTGTGGGGTGGGGATGATGTTAAGTCCTTGGTCACTACACGGAAACCCTTTTATAAAAGGAAAATCAATTAGAACTATTTCTCAATGGTTGCTATTCCTATTACCCAAGTAATATATAGATACTGCAAAAAATGGAGAATATACAAAGAATGACAAAAAGTAAATATCAGGTATAATTATATGATTCTGAAATAAACATTCTTAATATTTAATGCCTATATGTATGTAAACACTGTATATGCTGTAGTACTTATTATATAGTACATATTTTAAATTACCTCTTTAACAATTTGTTTTTATTAAAAATAAAAAAAAAAGTGAGCCTGAGAAGTTAAGTCACTGGTTGACACCCTTGGTTAGTCTTGGCAGCAATTCTCGCCCACTGGGACATCGATCTTGAGACGAGTGCAGGGCACTCCTAGGCCAGCATCAGGCCTGAGATACCAAGTCCCCACAGCAGACTTGACAGATTCCGATTGCTGAGAGCACAGCTTTGTTCTCACCTCTAGATAGGTGAGATGCCAGCCCTTCTATGTGAGGATGGTGCTGAAGCTGCTAGGAAAACAAGCAAAAACAAGCAACTGGGAATATCCTGTTTGTAAAGGAACGATAAGAAATTCCACCTTGTAATAGAATTGGTGCAATTGGTATAATTGGTACAACTATTTAATCGTTCAGAAGACTAAAAACAAATTTATGTGGCTGGGTGCAGTGGCTCATGCCTGTAATCGCAGCACTTTCGGAGGCCGAAGCGGGTGGGTCGCTTGAGCTCAGGAGTTCAAAACCAGCCTGGCCAACACGATGAAACCCCGTCTCTACCAAAAAATATAAAAATCACCCAGGCGTGGTGGTACATGCCTGTAGTCTCAGCTACTCAGGAGGATGAGGTGGGTGGATCATTTGAACCCAGGAGGCACAGGCTGCAGTGAGCCAGGATGGCACCATAGTACTCCAGCCTGGGCTACGCAGTGAGATCCTGTCTCCAAAAAAAAAAAAAGGGCAAACCACCCCCCGTAAAACAAATTATGTTATAACCAAGAGGAAGTATACATGGGATATTCTTACAAACCATACATCTAGTTACAGCCCTGTTCTGGAAGTTGACAGGGGGAAACGCTGGATTTCACAGGACACCACTTGAAAGGCAGGACGACGAAATTCAGCCTCAGGGAAGTTCCATGTGGCCTTCTCTTCCCACTATTAGAGTTTGAAAACGGTTTGATTGTTATTGTCCATCTCACATTCTACAGACTGGATCACCAAAAATGGCCTGGCACTTGGATTATGTTAATGCTTAAAAAGAAAATGATGTGAAGTTGAATGATTTGATGTAAATAAAAAGAGTAAAAAAAATCATGGGTAGTGGTTTAGAATACCAGTATGAACCATTTGTTGGAATTAAAATGACTGTTTTATGTGTGGTTTAAAAAAAAGGGGAAGGAACTCTGCCTACCACTGCCTGGACTCTAGGTCAGGTGTGCCATCCGACTATCTTTAATATTTTAATTAGATATTTCTCCATGAAATCACCTTTCTTTTCTGTCCTAATCCTTCCTTGCACCACTTGACAAAAGATGTGAAACCTATTAAAAAACTCCTGAGAACTGGACTTAATCCTTTTACCAGAGCCCCTCCTGCAACCAGCTAAAACCTTTCTCTTTGCAATTCATCTAGAACCTGATTGAAACCTGTGGACTCTCCCGCTCCCTCCGAGGGCTCCTCTGATGGTAATTACTTTCTCCAAAATCAGACTGGTTCTCCCTCTGAGCAACTTTCCACATGTCTGTGAATTATTTTTGGAATCTTTACATTAACCTGACAACTTACCACCACAAAATATTCATAGTTGATATTTAATATTTTACTATTTTAAAAACCAACAACCAAATTAAAAATATACATTAAAAATTACCTGTCATGTAAAAATATGTAATTTTATAATTTTTTATGGACAATGGAGCTTTTTAAAGAGATGAGATACTAAGATATAGAAATCTTGGGAAATGGATTATTTTATCATGTTGACGATGTCTCATAGAGAAGCAATCATTTCCTGTGGGCTGATAAATTATAATCATAATTGGCTTTTGGGGGCGAGAACGTGAACAAAGTCTTAAAAGGAAGCAAGCAGCCAGCCTTTCCATTTTTTTTTTTCTCTCTTTTTAAAATCCAGATCTTGTAGGGTCTATTTCTCAATTTTGTCACATTTAGTCCAGACCACCTGGGCATTTGTCACACTTACTCCCATGTTAACACTCTTGATGACTTGAGGTGGGCTATCCAGGTGGTTTAATCTGGTGATAAGACTACTATTAGTCTAATATGGGTCTTATCACAAGGCTACTAGATACCACCCATATCTCCCTGTCTGAAGTACTCAGTATTTCAGGAAATACATTAGCACCTTCATTATGACTGTTCCGGCAAATTTCAGGGATGAAGGTTAAACCTGAGTTGTGCGCTCGTCTCTCTATGTCACTAACAGTATCCAACTGGACATGCTACACACAGAAGATTTCTATTTTGTCTGCCCAAACCATATCTTGGTAGTTATATTCAACAGCAAAAGGCGAAAATACGCCATGAAGTTGTCTTACATGTAAATCCACAGCCAGTGCCATCCTCAGTGGCTGAATCACGTGGGACTTTATAAGGACCGTCTGACATTCGCTTTTCTGCTCAAGAAGTCCCAAAAGGGGATGGGGAAACTGCCATTTCCCCTCTGCCTGAGGGGCCTCGTAGGCCCCAAGACCACCAACCAGAAGGAAAAGGGGAGAGGTAAAAAAAAAAAAAAAAATTTTGAGACCATTTCAGGGATTTTGTTTCTGGCCCCAGCCAGCCTCAGGAATTTAGCCAAACTATGGCAAAGGGATATGTTCATGTTCTCCCGTTGTTTGAATAAAGGCGTTCTATACCAAAATAAGAGGTATCTTGGACATGATCAGATTCAAGAAAATCTAATTTTTAAAAAAATGTTGACGTGTGAAGCCGACGCAATTACCATTAGACCAGCAAGCCTCTGAAGTTATTCTCCCGGTGTGCTAGTGTACTTTTAACTATGTAACCATCAGAAGACCCTAGTGAGGGCTGGCTAGGTTTACTGGTGCAATCTGAAAGTACACAATAACATTTTGTTGTTGTTGCTTTACTTGTTCCTTTTCATATGTAGTAAATGATTTTTTAAAAGACTATGTTTTTTAGAGCAGTTTTAGGTTCACAGCCACATCGAGAGTAAAGTGCAGAGAGTTCCCATATCCCCCCTCCGTGGCACACACACAGCCACCTCCCCTACGATCAACATCCTGCACCAGAGTGGTGCACTGGTTACAACTGATGAATCTACATTGACCCATCATTATCACCCAGAGCCCGCAGTTGACATCTGGTGCTGTACATTCTGTGGGTTTGGACCAATGTATGAAGCCATGGATCCACCATTGTAGCATCACACAGAGCAGCTTCACTGCCCTAAGAATCCTCTGTGCTCTACCTGCACAGCCCTTCTTCCCCTTAACCCCTGGCAAACCCTGATCCTTTTACTATCTTCAGTTTTCCCTTTTCCAGAATGTCATACAGTTGGAATCATAAAATATACAGCCTTTTCGGACTGGCTTCTTTCACTTAATGAGTGAGTTAAAAAAAAAAAAGCAGGAATAACTGTAGAACAATTGTTGAGTGATCTCTTGCCTTAATTAACTGGCCGAAACAATCACTGTGTATCTTCAGAAACGGTACCAGTTTTCTTACCTACATCAGTGAACTTGTAGGGTTATTATGTGTTTCAAATAAGATGATGGCTAGCACAGGGTGTTGGAAACTGTAAGATGCTACACAATTGCAGGAACGGTAATTATAATGAATTTTAATAGGAACACCAGAAAGACACTTATCAAGATCTATACTATATCTCACATTAGTTAAAGGTTATAATTCCAGTCACCCTAATCGGGTTAAATGTTCTAACTTCTATACCTCAGAGTTATATACCTCAAAGCACATGTTTACTCGAAAGATAATGAATTCCTTTTCGACAATGAAAAGGACCATCGTAAGTGTGTGTGTAAAATGTCTGTATTCTGCATATTGCATGAGTGCCTCTGTGGAAACTGCTCCAGTACTGTCATTGGGCAACACACTGCTGTGACTGCGTGAATATGGCCACATTCCATCGTCATATGTAATTTCATCCCTTCAGGTTCAGTGTGAGTCGTAAGCAATGCTGCTTCTGCATGTTGTTTCTATGGCAGAAGAAGGCAGGAACTAAATGAGTATTACAAGATAGCCCCAAACTACCTTCTAAGCAGGCATTTTGGGGTTAAGCAGTCAAGCCACATATCTTAGTAGAAAAGATTCAGAATTTCTTAGAGGTACCATTTCCTCTGATTTTCTTTGGGTTCCTGACAGCATTTTCTCTGCCATAATTTCTGGAATCAACAGATGATATCAATTCTTGGTCATCTACCGGGTAATTATAAACATTAGTCTGAAGATAGTTGAAGTATTAGAGTTTTATTAGACTGCGTAGTCTTTGGAATCTCAAAAAATTATTACATACAGATGTAGCTTAAAAATTCCCTAAACAAACTGGTCTTAATGGGAAATGTTGGTGTAAAAATTCTGCTCGAGAAAGTACGTTATTGTATTTTGCTGAAAAACAGAAAACCATCAAATCCCAACCACAAGCTAATTACCTATGCTTAATATTTGGGGGTATATGAAATTCCTTACTATTTTTAACTATTAAGGAATAGGTTCTTAAATTTCCTTAAACTTTTCCAACTTTAATATAAAAAATTGTTAATGACAGGAATTCCTGACCTGAATCATTTTTAACTTAACTGCACCAGTGACATGTTCTTAACAGTGTTGATGACTGGGACAAAAATGTTATGAGTTAAAAAAAATTAAGACTAATCAGAACACCAGCCCCTCAAACAACAACTGGTGATTTTGTGATGTGAAATTTTGCATATTTTCAAGTACAGCATGGCTCCCTTCTGGGTAATAACAAACACATAAATCCATGCATGTTTTTTCCTTTAATTGGACAACTTTTAATACATATAATTTGTTTACAGTTACATAATTGGCCTGTCCCGTGCCATGAAGGCGTTGCAGCTGACATGCATAGAATTAATTGATGGCACACTATTCTTCCTTTCCCCTTCTTCACCCCTAAATACCGCTACCACTAAAATAAACAGTCTCTGCATGAGAAAGAAGAAAAAAAAAATCACGAATAAGCAGCCCTCTCAGCTTAACTAGGACCCTTTCTCTATCCAGCTCAAATTTAAGTGATTTAAAATCCTAAGTCAGCATCAGCACAGATGGTCAGCTTCGAGTCAGGGGCCCAGGAGCCGTGGAAGGTAAGCACCCAAGGAAATCCCTTACCTAGCACACTTACCCCTTCTCAAAACAAGGGCCTTGGAGTGCCTTCACTTGTTGGTTTCAAAAGTCTACAGGGTTCTTGTAGAAAGGACACTGTTTATTAGGACAGCAGTCAGAGAAGGTCAAAACAGAGAGAGGCACTCCTTCCCCTTGGGCTCCTTGGGCTGTAATTGTGAAACGACAGTGGTGACCACGCTGCTGACCATCACTGTGGTGGCAGCTGGCATTTATCAGGTGCACGCCATGTGCTTACATCGTCTCACTCAATTTCACAACAGCTTGTCCTATATGGGTAAGAAACTCCAGCTCTGAGAGGTATCAGAACGTACACAGGCCGCAAAACTCTGATAAAATTTCTTCCTTTCAGAGCCTCTTACAATAAAACAGATTTTAAAAAGATTTCAATATAAAATCCACACCCCCTCGTGTGTGGGTCAGGAGGGCCGACAGACTTCACCACCAACGCCCGCCACCCTACACAGCCCACAGCTGTCACACCAGAAGCACACCCCTCACCCCGAGTGGGAACAAATGTGGAAAATCTGGGAAATGGTGAGCAGGCCAGTTTTGGCACATACCCTTGTTTCCGCTTCACCCCGGAGGGGAGGTGAGGACGCGCTGGATGCTGAGTGGTTGGCTTGGTGCCAGGGCAACAAGCGGCTGTAGAGACGGGGTCACCGCACGTGTCTGGGTGCAGCCCTACAGTCGGGGGTGTGTGCAACAGCCCCACGCCACACTGCCTCACTCCCAGGACCCACACACATAGGGAGAGGCAGATGCCCCGGGGATTCAACCTCCCCATGGCTGCTGCCTGAGCTGCGCATCAGTGACGCCGCCACCCTTCGCAGCCACCTAGCGGTAGCCAGTGAGTAACATCTGGAGATGGAGCCGACGCCAGGCGAGGGTTTCCAGGTTGTGCGGGGAAGGGATTCATGAGGAGGCACGATAGTTGGTATAAAATTGAAATGTAATTCTTTTGAAGACAGCGTTGTAGAAATAAAGGGTGGGCAACATCAGTGCTGACAGCAGGCACATCTTCCATTCACAGCACGTCCCCCGTCCCCGAATGATCACCTGGGCAAAGCCAACCCCAACCTTTTCATGGATCTAGCTGCTGGCATGGCTATAGCTAGCTCAGACTCGAGCCCTGCTGTCTCTGTTTTAGGGAATCTAGCTTTTTCTTTTCTTTTCTTTTTTTAGATATAACTTACACAGAATAAAATTCACAAATCTTGAGTGTACAACTTGGTAAATTTTTGTATCTGTGCGCACCTGTGCAATGACCACCCAGCTCAAGATATAGAGGACTTGCTGCCCTGCACGTGGCTCCCTCACGCCCCTCCTCATCCATATCTGTGCGCACCTGTGTAATGACCGCCCAGCTCGATACGGAAGGCTTCTTCCCCTGCAGGCAGCTCCCTCACGCCCCTCTTTGTCTGTATCTGTGCGCACCTGTGTAACGACCGCCCAACTCAAGATGCAGAAGGCTTCCCGCCCTGCACGCGGCTCCCTCACGCCCCTCCTCATCCATATATGTGCGCACCTGTGTAATGACTGCCCAGCTCAAGATACAGAAGGCTTCCCACCCTGCACGTGGCTTCCTCAGGCCCCTCCTCGTCAATATCCCCCTCTTCTCAACGCCAATCCTGACTCTGCTCTGTCACCCACCATGGGTTAATTTTGCTAGGTTTTGAATGTCATGTAATTGGAACAATCAGTACATACTCCTTTTTGGTCTCTTTTATTATTTCTGTGATGGATCCATGTTGTTGTGCATGTTAAAGTTTCTTCTTTTCCATCACCGTGCAGTGTTTCGCTGTATAACACAATTTACGTACCCATGGTACTGCTGTAGATTGACATTTGTGTTCTTTTATGGAAGTCAACACTTCAACACTCAACTGTACAAACCCATGTATCATTTTTCTTGTACTGCTATCTCTGAAATCTGTGGAGTTGGACTGACTGAAAGCTGTTTTGACTGAGTTCCAAGACTAACCTGCCTTCTAATGAAATCCACTCTGCAGAAAATACGCTGAGTGGTCTTGGTGTTTATTCCGTGATGCCCAGAACCAACTTTTGAGGAATAGATTGATTCATTAAGTACTGGTTAAACATAATTCCCCCCAGGTTATAACCAGAGGTTAACAAGGAGGTAGTGAAATACAACAGGCAGCTAAAAAGTGATGAAACTTTATCAACAGCCAATGGAAAAGAGGGTGGGAATAAAAGGAAGGACCCAAGGGCCTATCTGCTGCTCACTCTGGTCTTTCAAATCTTCCCTCCCTCCCTGATAGCACCTTCTTTTTTTCCAGCATCATCAGAGAGAGATGCTTGTTATACACAATAATTTTGCCAATGGGAGCTTGCTTCTGTGAGCACGAGGACTTTTCTTCCTTTTTTCAAATCTTTCTAAATTGCATTAAGCTTCACCTTCTATGACTTACGGCCATCATTACAAAAATCCATCAGGTGTACTTTCTGTACCTTGGCTCATCAGCCTGCCTTGCAAGTTTGGCTGGTCTGATCTTTCCTCTTGAGTGCTTGCTGGGACCACTGAAATGCAAGTAAGCTGCAATGAAAAACCCAGCATTTTCCTCGAGCTGGGCAGAGGAGAGCTAGCGACCACTGGGGATAATGGTTGAGATGAGGATCAAAATCCTAATTCTGAGTTATCACTGCCATTTTCGGGAAATTTCCTAGGCTAGCATGGACTTGCCCATGAAAGGCATCTAAGTGGCAGGGGACCAACAGCTGGGAAGTGACGCACGAGTAGAGTCCTGTCAGGTCTACACACACCACCTGAAAATGCCAGGGTGCAGGAAAGGCATTTTGGACAAAGCCTTCACGTAGGTTCTAACTTTGGCCTTCTAAAGTCAAAGCGTGCCGCCTCAAGCCACTCCAGGAGAAGGCCAAGATTCCAGTGGAACCAACTACTCATAATTTGAATCCCAAAGAGCAGCCAAAACTCCAATGTAGGTTCTTCCGCTAGGGGGGATTCAGTAAAGACACTAAACCACAAAGTTTAAGCTGGCACTTGGACCACTTAAATGTGAAACTAAATTTCTACAACTGAGGGAAGCGTTCAAGAATTCACTGCCACTGATAAAATTAAACTGGCTCGTAGGAGTCATAACCCAAACTAGAGAAGTAACCACAGTGAGTTTTGGTTAAAAAAAAAAAAAAAAATGGGGGTAAGATGACTCACTGAAACAAACAAACAAACCTAACAATAGGAAAACCTCTGCCACGGCTCCCTTCTTCCGGTGCTCCCCTGGCCCCGCATTCCCACCGGCATGGGAGCTTTTGTTCCCACCGAGTGAGTCAGTGGAGATGGGAATCTCTAGTGACTTGTGTGAACCAGTGTTGCTGCAGCTCTGAGAAATGGTGCTGCTGTGCTGTGTGTCACACACCGTCACTCAAAGGCACTCACTGTTTGATAGGAACATGTGCCCCTCTACTGATGAGGCAAGTGAGTCAGCCATTCTACGGTGGTCCAAAGTGCTACTGTGACTCTGCGCCCCTTTGATAAACAGAGAAACATCTCTGGAAATAACTTCTTCCCCTTCCAGTTGTTGAGTAAAAATTCAAGCATGCAGAAGAAAACGTCAGTTCTGAATGGCATGCTTTTTATAACTTATGGCAGTGGAGTGAAAGGGGAGAGGAAATTTCCACTAGCTTCCATTGCAAGAGACACATATGCAAGGCAAGAGGGTTAAAGAGAGGGGGCGGACCTCCAGAACTGAAACTAATTATGGGAAAATGATTCAAGTCTCTGTACTTTTACCACAAGCATTTGGAGAATCACACTGAAAGTTTACTTCCCGAATTGCTGTGGCATGCAAGTAAATTTGACTTTTCTGTATAATCTAATGGTATAAAACTAGTTCACCTTAGAGCAAGTGAGGATGGTGAGGAGGCAAACTATAAATTACAAGCAGAAATAGGCCACATGAGTTTTGTAAAACTGGCACCTATCTACACTTCCAAAAACGCATTAGCCCGAAGGCAACCACGGTACACACGGAACACGTGCATGTTGCTCTGAGAACGCTTCTTCCGAGGTACACCGTGGTTATAAATGCTGTTCACCTGAAAGAAGACAGGACTAACCAGCCAGCTTGCAAGGAACATGGCTGTTTTTCCTAGTGATTTCAGAAGTTAGGAAAACACGGAAGGGTACATCTTAATGAAGGTCTTACACAATTTATTAGTTCTTTTTGACTTACTCGCTTTCCGATAAACATATCAAATCATAGAGATTACAATTAAAGGCAATACTTGGATTGGGGGAAGGGGAGGAAGAGGGTACGTTGAGTTTATATCCTACCAAGTGCAAGCTTCTAGGCTAGTTGTTCTCAAACTTTCTCAGCTCATGGGACCCTTAGTGATTCACTATTTTTTCTCTATTTATCTCTAGGCCAACAGTTGCTTGTATTAAGCGGTTAGCTCCAAATAATTTAAGTATTTATGTTCTGACAATTTAGTAGCTATTTGAAAATACCAATATACATATAAATTGAGTTTTAAAAAAAGATCCTTTATTTTCTTTCTTAAGTAACCCCAGTGACGTATGAATGGAATATATTTGCCAGTTAGGCACACCTGGCTTCTCAAACTTTGGAATCAAATTGGACACTGCCACCTGCATTTTACGCTCTATGCTAATTTTCCTGTAGCACTTGCTTTTCACAAACAGCAACCACCAAAAACCTAGCTTTACAGAGGTACAAGCTGATACTGTTGAAACGGTGAACTGCTTTGAGCTATGAATTCTTCCAGTGGCTGACAGTCATTGAACACTGCTGGGTTGCCCTTGAATATTCAGACTGTCTCCCTTACTCCAATTTGTTTGCTGCAAGGACCCAGGGTGCCTTGGCACACAGTTTGGGAATTGTGCTAACTCATTCCACTTAATTTTCACACTAGCATAGCACAGTAGGTATTTATATACCTGTTTTACCAACCAGAAATGTGATGTTAGAAAGTATTGAGCCAGTAGTTCCTAAGGAACTGAACTGGGACTCACACCGGGTGTGTTTGATTCTCAAATCTGTACTGTAATGATGAATCTGTAATGACAATGGCTTCCAATGTCACAAATATCGCTACTTCCCCAACTCAATTCAATATGAACAAAGTTATTTTATTCAGTTTTTTATACTATGTCTCAAAAGTCAGAAACACTTGCATTGCAGTAGCTCAAAGCAGAACTAAATTCAATCGATTTCACTTTTCTCAGAGTAATCTTGTATTTATTCCAATGGGCAATGGGTAGAACTATTATTAATAGCACAAATCATTTTCTTCCTATACTTGAAGCCACTGAAATCCAACAAAATCCAATACATGACTCAGACATTTATTTATTTATTATTTATTTTTAGACTAATGGGAACCACATGAATTCTTTCTTGGTCTTCCAAGAGCAAATGCCTTTTATGCTTGATCCGGAAAGAATCGTGTTTTGGAATGTCAGATTACGAATATACATTTTAACCCTCATCAGATGGCTGGAATGGTTTAATCCACAGTTCTCTAAGATAGTTACTTTAAAATTACTTTTCCAAAGTTCATTTCATTAGGCATTATTTAGGTGCTCCTAGATGAAAACTGCAGAGACAAATAAAACCACCCATAGTAACTAGGGTCATAGTGTCACAACAAAACTTGTCAAACATTTCATTTCTAAATGTCTTTTAGTTTTTAAAAGAATTTTTGAGATATAAAACACAGGAAATGGATAAAGTATACTAACCTGAAATTTACAGCTTGATAACTTTTAAAAATATGGATTCACTCATGTAACCAGCACCGAGGTCAAGATCTAGGAAACATTTTCAGCACTCCAGAAGGCTCCCTCGTGCCACTGCTCAGTTCACAGCCTCAAACCCCTCCCACCCGGAAGACATTATTCTGACTTCTATCACCTTTAGTAAGTTCGGTCCATTCTTGAGCTTCATGGAAATGGATCATCTAGTAAGCACTCCTAGGGTGTGGCTTCTGTGACCCAACATGATGTCTGTGATGGCATTCATTTGACAGCGATCTATTATGTTATTTGTTAAAATGGAACTGCAGAGCATGAGCTCATCATACCAGTCTCCATGGAGCAACATTTAAAAATCAAAATAATAATTCCATTGTGAGAACAAAACTAGTGAGACTACTGACCAAAGAATCTGATGTTAGCAGGTTCAATCTGAAATGACATAATTGGCCTCAAAACATATTTCGAGTCTTCCTGATGTCGACAGTTCAGCAGATGTTATAGATTCAAGTCAGGAGGTAAGGGAGGCTCTTTTATGGCAAAGTGTAACTCTAAATGCTGTATCTGTGTCTTTATCTTAATGAATTCCTTCTTAGAGTGCCATTTTCTGTAAAAATTACTTTAGAATGAGGAATCCTATAGAAATAAAATATGTGCTTGCGCTTCATTTCATGGCCAAGTTGTGCATGTCGGTTCTTACTCAACCCTCTCCCCCTCCAATACATGAATGACACACCCTGAAAAAAACTTCGACAAACTCTCTCCGAAAATGACTTGGAAACATCCCTAGAGCTGGTATTTTGTAAAAAACAGTTTGACGTAACATATATTTTGTAGTAAAATACTCTCTTATTTTGGGTTAGGAGGTCTTGGAAGACATAATTACAAGTTCAGTGATTTGCCCAAAGTCATAATCACCATGTGCAGTTCACAGTCTCTCTTTCCAGCACAGTCAAACTATAATCATCACGGAACACAGTGCATGTGCTTTTAGAACATTTTTGCTGGACTGCTGGCCACAGACAGAAGTAGAACGTGTTTATGGGGTTTTCTATGGTCTTCCATAATAAACAGAGGTCCCAGCTTCACTATCAACATTTGAAATGGCAAATGGTAAATATGTTGATTCGTACTTGTTACACTTCCTACCAAATTTCAGATCAAGAGATGAAGATAAAAGTTATGTTTGGAAAACAAAAAGTTATACTATTCTCTGTCTTGCCACATCATCTAGGTATTGAATATTGTTTTGCTTTTGCTCCATTGTTTCTTATCTGAAAACATTCTACTGCTGATCAGATCTAAAACAAGGTTAAAATGCTTAAAATATATTGCAACTTTAAAGATTAAGGTGCAAAACATAGCCCCGTTAAATAATCTGTGTTTCTAATGTGAGTTATAAAAAGATTGCGCCCTTTCAGCTTCTGCAAAGCCCAGGCAGATGTACAGCTCCTTAAAGTCCATGCACACAGGGGGTTTAAATTATGTAAATAAATATGAAAATATGAAAAAACTCGCAGCTTTAAATACTTGGGAGAATGGGAACTGAACCAGAGGTCGAAGGGACAGATCATCTCATCCAATACAAGGGGTAGATTATCTTCCTAAATAGTTCAGAAAAGCACGAACTTCAGCGGTTATGAAATCATTACATTAAAAAAAGCTGCACCTACAGCTTTATGAACACAAAAATCAAAGAGGAAAGAACACATTTCTTTTCTGAAAATCCCCTGGCCTTATACGACAGCGCTTTTCCCTATGGTTTGGGCGGGTTTATTCCGCAGATGGGAGCTGGATGCTCCCCACGACCCACGCACATTGCCCGTCAGTGCGTTTTGCTCACAGGAGTCTCAAGTTGCTGCAGAGCACGGAAATGTGTGTTTGCATCCATTTACTCTAACCCAGGAAAGCACAGAGAGAAGGGTGTCCAGGCAGGAGACGAGGAGCAGTTCGTTGGAGAGCCATCACCCATACTGAGAAAGTAACTGTACAAACACATTTGCGGACGGCGGGTCAGTAGTGCATCTTCATGTACAGAAGATGGCTTGTGTTCCCGCTGAGTCTTCGTGTAAATTAATCCTGTGTATTTTGAGCATCTTCCAATATTATCTCAAAAATTCTATCCATTGGAATTCTTTCAACTTTTTGGGTGCTAGCAGAAAGAGGAGATAAAGAAGCAGAAAGTCTTGGCTGGGGGTGGAGTTGCGGGGGTTTCTGTCCAGAGGCAGTGGGACCCGGCAGGGCACGCACAGCCCTGCTGTGAGATTTCTCAAGCATTCCCATCAGCATTCCCAAGTCCGCTCCTCTCCCTTTTTAAAACAGAAACAACACACGCTTCCTGCCGGCCTTATAAAGGACAGCAAAAACTAGTTTGCCTGGAAAATGTCTTCTAGAAAATTATCTAAATTTAGAAAATCATCTAAGTTTCGCTAGCCTTTTCCCTTTTCTAGCCATTTAGGATAGTCATTGTGACCAAGTAAATTCAGTTTATTGGAAAAAGAAAAAAACTGCCCACTTCAGAGATGATCATGCTACCTCCTCCACAGAGCTCCACCCAGTATTTTGGCAAACCCATGTAACACAGAAAGAGACAGCAAAAACAGGGCAGAGAGGAGACGTAAAAGGCCATCAGTATCTTTATACTTCATTTCAAAAATGAAAAAGTAAGAATGTTAATGCTCCTCAGACAGCACTTTTTTTTTTTTAAGATAAGAATAGGCATATCAGTACAGCGATGAGAGTGCGGGATGGGGTGTTGGGAGACCAGGGTTTAAGTTAGTACTCTGCTACCAGCTAGCACTGTGACCCAGGCGCTAGCGTCCCTCTTACAGTGACACTCCGACAATATTACAGGGTCTAAAGCCTCCCGCCATTGCCCACCAAGCTTTGGAATGTCTATTTCTTAGAGAACTGAAACACACACACACAAGTTTTGGAATGTCTGTTTCTTAGAGAACTGAAACACACACACATACATACACACACACACAGATACACACACACACACACACACCCCTACCTCACATGTGTAGACAAATGTATGCATATATGTCTCTAGACAGATATACATAAGATTCTATTTGGCATAGAAAAACACTGAGACATTTTGTTACATTATTATTATTTTTTCTTTCAGTGTGCCTTAAATTCAGAAAGGCAAGAACGCTCTAGTTTCATTTAAAAAGGAAGTTCCTGGTATATTGTAGCCTAAATGCATCAATCTCATTCCTAGAGCTAAATTTTAACTGCTTCTATTTGTAATCATTTATCATTCAGTACTTTTTTTTTTTTTTTTTTGAGATTGAGTCTCATTCTGTCACCCAGGCTGGAGTGCAGTGGCACGATCACGGCTCACTGCAGCCTCAACCTCCTGGGCTCAAGCAATCCTCCCACCTTAGCCTCCTGAGTAGCTAGGACCACAGGCATGAGCCACCATGTCCAGCTAATTTTTAAAAAAATTTTCTGTAGAGATGGAGTCTCGCCATGTTGCCTAGGCTGGTCTTGAACTGCTGACCTCAAGTGATCCTCCTACCTTGGCCCCCTAAAGTATTGGGATTACAGGAGTGAGCCACTATGCCCGGCCCTACATTCAGTACAGTTTTAAAAAGAAAATAGTTTTATATTTTCTTCTATCTCTGTAGGGAAAACATCACTACTATCTTCTAAGCTGAGAATTTAACAAAGTATCCCAAAAAATAGACGAATGGCAGAAGTCTGCAGAATAACTCAGAGGCCACCAAGGACCTGCCGAGCGTCTCCGCATTCGCTCTGCTGCTGCAACCTCATCTCACTCCTGCATGACAACCCTGGCTTTGGTTTCCTGTCTCCAGGCCTGCCCTGCCCCAATCTACTAGAAATATTGTCTTTCTCAGAGCACTGCTTTTCCTCTCCTCTCCTCTCCAGCGCTGCTGACTGGGGGCTATAAATACAAGCTCCCCTTCCACGTGGCCCCGAGTTACCCACTAGCCTGTCTTTAGCCACTGCCCACAGCCTGGGGCCCATGAGACTTGGGGTGGGCACTGACTTTCTCTAAGCCTCATTTTTCTCCTTCATTAAAGGGGCCTCAAAGCATCCCCTGCTGTGTCAGGGAAACCCTCTGGTGCTGCTCAGAATTCACCCTCTTGTGCTGCTCGGAATTAACCCTCTGGGCCCAACTTGCTCTTCAGGACATCTCAGAGACAGGCCTTGCCTCAGGCCTTCCCACAAACCCCCAGGCCATGCCTAGGGACGTTGGCTCCAAGCTGCCTCGGGACACCCATGAGAGCCTCCTCGGCACTCTCGCAAGCACAGCTCCAAAACCTGGGTCATGAATGCCCACTAGGCTCCACCTGCCCCCTGGGGACAGCAGTCCCCATTCTTGCCCCAGGTGGATGTTCTGAGACACTGTCCCAGGGCTCCTTGGGAGATCCTGTGGGGCTTCTTACCAGCCAGCGCGGCGGTGGCCGCCTGAGTCCACGTGTGCGAACCACCCTGCGGCGCCCCTGCCTCCCGCGCCTGTTCGGCATGGCTGCGCTCTGGGACCACTGCCTAAATAAACTTCCTGCATGCCTGCCTTTGTCTCAGGCTCTGCTTTTGGGGAAACCCAAGCTAAGGCAGTGTGAGAATCTGGTGAGACAGAGGTACACACACATACACACTGAGAAGCATTTTGTCATTGTAAGCTGCTGTAACTATTCTTGCTGTGTATATATCTATATATGCAGACGTGGCCTGACAACGTCTGTTGCACTGTATTTGCTCCTCATCTTCCAGGAATCTGTGCAAGTGTCAGGTATGCATAACGTGCCATGAGGCTGCACGCTCACAGACATCTGGTAAATATACATGTGCCCTACAAGACCTCTAAAAGACACTCGTGTAAAATGTGACACCTTTTGCATATGAAATGCCCAAAGAAATTTACATGAGGTTACTACAGCAGTCTCCTTAAACTTACATATATTTAAAATGCCTGCTATTGATGAGAAATAGCCACTTTATCAGTAGAAAATAAATGGAACATTTTGAAGGGAAAAGCACATTTCCTTATCAAATTTTGGAGTAGTGGTAAGGGAAACACACAAAGAGGTAAAATGATATGAATATATGTGGAAAAACATATATTCAAATATATGTGAAAAAAATTAATGCAAAGAATATGCAGCTGCACTCAAAGAAGAGCAAAGCGGATAGGATTTGCCAGAGCACAGACATTCTGGTACACTCAAATTACTGTAGGGTGTACCTATCCACAGGAGGAGAGGCATGGACTATTAATGTTAGAATGCCACCAGCTGAGGCCCACAAACTTATTTCCTAATACATCTTGGAGTTATATAGTGGCCAAAAGTGAACTTTCAGTCTCTTATACTAGCGAAAGTAGGAAAGGGGTTGGTTATCTAGATACAGTATCAGATAGTCACTCATAAATTATTAAATGGCCAGGCACAGTGGCTCACACCTGTAATCCTAGCACTTTGGGAGGCCAAGGCAGGCAGATGGCCTGATGTCAGGAGTTTCAGACCAGCCTGACCAACATGGCGAAGCCCCATCTCTATTAAAAATACAAAAATTTCCCAGGCATGGTGGTGTGCGCCTGTAACCCCAGCTACTTGGGAAGCTGAGGCGGGAGAATCGTTTGAACCAGGGAGGCAGAGGTTGCAGTGAGCCAAGATCACGCCGCTGCACTCCAGCCTGAGAGACAGAGCGAGACTCCATCTCAAAAAAAAGACAATAAAAAAGTATGACTAGAAAAAAGCAAAAAGGCTAGATCAGAACAGATCCATTTCAGGAAGTGCTTAAAAGACCCTATGTGGGCAGGCGTCCATGTGGTCAGGGCAGGTGAAGGCAAGTGTGCTCCCTAAGAGAAGTCACAATACCCACTAGGAAATTGGCACCAGAGGCCAGGCTTCCCTCCCTCGGCCTTTAGCTTTTGCCTCAACTTCTAGGGCCTTACACTGAACGTGAAGAAAAGGCCAAGACTATAAAAACAGTCAACAGATGGCAAGTAGCTTTGGCATGGGCTTTTCTAGGTTCTAGAAATTCAAATCTGGCATCAATATATGGAGAAAACTTGCTTCCCACGTCACAGGGCATGTGAACATCACCTCTCACTGTGGGTACTGTGCCTACCCCCCAGGCTCTGGCGAGGGGTTTAGGAGGACAAAGTGCTGCCCAAAATCCGCATCTCCCAGCCCTTCCCTCTTTAGGCTCAGCCTCTGCCATGAAGTACTGCTGAGTACACAGCTGCTTAGGCAGCAAAATCTCCAGAATAAACACACACACACACACACACAAGCCCAACTCTAAAAGGAGGGGGAGGAGAGCCCAGTTTTGCCACTTTTCTGTCTGGAGACCTCAAATGATGTTTCAGAGTTTCCTCATGACAGGGAACCAAGAACATTAGGTCAAAAGCCTCCCAAATAGAATATCCCTGGATTTAATAATCTTACACTCAAGTTTTCAAACTAATTCTAAGAGTGGATGTTTTGCTTGTTGTTACTAGGGTGTATATGTAGAATGGTTGCAGAGTTTGAGGATTCTGTTCACTCTTCACCAAGCAAGCAAGAACATTAACCTATTGTCTGTGGAGATTTAAAATGAAATGACACAAATACAAAATGGTTTTGATATCAAAAGGAAACACAAAACGAGTATCTTTGCTTAGGGCATGCAATGGGGGATGGTGGGACCTGAGGAGGAAGAGAAGACTCAAGGAGGAGATACAAAGGCGGCCGTGGTATGAGGCCGCTGGGCAGCTGGGACAGCCAAGGACAGTGCGCGCCCAGGTCTGAGGCCCACAAGATCAGGGGCGCCAGTCAGGAGGCGGTGTGTGTCTTAAAAAGAAGGAATCTGGACCTTATCCTCAGGCAAACCTGCAAGGGAAGAAAGTGAGCTGCGGTCACCAGCTTTGCATGTGGATTCCTGACTCTGACAGCGGGATGAAAGGAGAGCAGCTGGGGGATGCGTGGCCAGCAAGAGACAGAGAGGACAGTGGACCCTGGGCGGGAAGATGGGATCATGGGGGGTAGAAAACGTGTATGTGTGTGTGTAAGACAGATGGTTGCAATATCTTATTTCTAAATAGAAGTGGGCAACAGTAAAATGTTTCCAAGGAAATCTCAAATTATTTGTGAATTTACTAGAAAAATTCAAGGGTTTACTAGAAAAATGGAAGGGCTGGGTGGGAAGATGGATGGATCATTGGGATAGAAAAACGTGTATGTGTGTGTGAGAGATGGTTGCAAAATCCTATTTCGAAATTGAAATGGGCAACAGTAAAAAGTTTCCAAGGAAATCTCAAATTATTTGTTAATTTACCAGAAAATTCAAGGTCTTTAGACCCTCTGATTAATTAGTTTTTGTCCACCTTAGGTCACTCAGATGGACAAAAACTAATTAGTAAAAAGGTCTAAGGACCTTGAATTTTATTTAAATAGAAAGGATCTCTCAACCAGCATCTACAGTTGGTGAGAAATCAACATCAGAATCTCCAAGTTGGGGATAGTTTTCATATATTATCTATGTTTTCCTTTACTGAGCCAGTTTCAAGATTACTTTTCTTTTGGTATAAAAAATAATGATGACAATCTTGGTGAGAAGGAAGATAGCCAGATAAACTTTTAAATGTGTAATCAATCTGCCATAGTTGCCTCACAAATGGACCTATTTTTCCTGTCAAATTTGATCATTCAAAACGTTGTGGGAGTAATAAAAAACTTCAGAACATATTTTGCACTAAAATATATATATATTAATGTAAACATATATATATATATATGTTGCATTAAAATATTTCATCCTGGTTGCTTGAGTTTCGATGCGCTGCCAAGTTTTAAAGACTATGTCTGGGGCGCAACTCTTTTAGCAAATCAAATAACACTAAGCAGCAAACCATGCAGCTAGAAGGATCACTGTGGCCCTCAATGTTAAACTTGCATAACTCACTTGAGTTCTGAGAAAGGAAGAACAGCCCAAGGCCCCACACTTTGCCGACTGTGTCAACCATCAAGAAGAGGACAAAATAAACACACACTGTCCTCGCACACATATACAGCAGGACCTATTCAGACACGTGTGCCTACAGATCACGCTCATGGAATAATCCTCTTCAGATATGAAGGCGATGGCAAACATTCCTGCGAAACATGAATATGTTTCACATGCTATGCATGTGAAATTGGAAAGAGCCGGGTCCCCTCCCACGGGAGGTTCAAGTATCTTGGAACTGTTTTGATGAGAGCAGTTCGGTGCAGATGACAGGGATGGGAAACATTCTCCAAAGGCAAGTGGAGTTTGGTGCTGCCAGTGGAGGATGGCTTATTTACTGGGTTGGTTTTTTTTTTTTTTTTTTCTTGTACTAAGACTTCCTTATACTTAGAATGGAATTTCATATTTCTGGGCAGGTTTCTATATTTCTGGGTTTCAGTCACAGCCAGTAAAAATAAGAGAGACACTAAACAGAAAGACATTCTAGGACAATAAACTAGAAAATAACTAATTCATCAAGGTCAAGAGACAGGGAAATTTCAAGGTCTGTCTATCCAAGTGGATGAGCCAGATGGCTTTGTTTCTAGGTTTGTTCTCATTATCCTTGATACGTGGTGATTTATGGAAAGGCTACATTAAATGGGACATCTTTATTTGGAAATGTTCATTTTTATACTATATGATGGACATCCATAGTCTTTCTGTACCTCTAAAAATTACTACTAATCTTTGGAAGAAAACACAGATTCTTTTGTCAGGATGCTCCCAGAAGATAGAATTGGCATTGGTCATCTTTAATTCTGGGCTTTTCTGGTGGTAAAAATGGCCCTCCACTGAGGGGTGGGTGGTCTGTCTGTTTTCTTAAGGCATTGTGAAGCCTGGAATTGGAAGGCATACTCAAGCCAATTTTGAGATATATCACTTTGGCTCTTAAAAGGCTGGAAAAGTATGAAGCGGCCTCTGGGTTGAGCTAACATTTTGCTGAGGGTCATTCCAGTGCTCAGCCCTGCATCCACCTGTGCTGATGTGAGGCGCCTGGGATCCCGACACAGCGATTCCCATACAGCACAGGCAGTGCCGGCAACCAAGAAACAGTACCTACCATTACTGTGGCTGTTCCTGTCGCTAGTGTTTCTGGGGCTAAATATACAGTATTCTTCCTTGTTTTTAAAGAGTACCTGACTGTCACATCATATATTTCTCTTAAAACCTTAATTTAATGACTTCAAGAGTAAGAACATAAGTATTTTTACTTTTAATTTTAATTTTTTTCTTTTTTTGAGACAAGGTCTCACTCTGTCGCCCAAGCTGCAGTGCAGTGGCACGATCATGGCTCACTGCAGCCTTGCTCTCCTGGGCTCAAGCAGTCCTCCCACCTCAGCCTCCCCAGTACCTGAGACTACAGGCTCGCACTACCAGGCCAAGCTAATTTTTTTTTTTTTTTGTATTTTTTGTAGAGATGGGTTTCACCATGTTACTCAGCCTGGTCTCAAACTCCTGAGAGCAAGCAATCCTCCTGCCTCGGCCTCCCAAAGTGCTGGGATTACAGGCATGAGCCATCACGACTGGCTCAAATATCTTTTTAAATCAACACAAAATATCTACTACTGCACATTTTTGGTTCTGTTCCATTCTTCTCCCAAAGACTTCAATTAATTAGCAATGCAGTCAGTATCACACAGAATTTTCTTTTATTTAAATGATACATGCTTCAAGAGCTGTATATATTTATAGACACTATATACATATATGCTATATACCTATCTGTATATACACACATCATGTGTATTTGTAATCTGCTTTTATGTAAGATTAACATAAATGGACACACATTAGCTCACCCACTGTGAACCTATACTTAGTCATCCTGAATAGCTAAAAAGTAGCAATTTAAAAAGGATCTTGCATTCTATTGTTTTTATGTTTAGAAAACAATATGGCAGGTTAAGAAATTTTATTTTTTAAAATTGGGCCTGTATGTCTTTCAAAGTTCCTAAGTTTAATTTCAAATTGGAATTTGACTTTAAGTTTTCAATTATAAACAATCCTCTCATATCTCTGGAGAGTTGCAAACACATCTGACTCAGTAGCTCTAGAAATGGGGGAAGGCAGTATTAGAGGATTCATTTTCCCTCTCTGGTTGTATGATTTAGAGTGACAAAATACAATAATTTTTATTTAGCTCTTAAGTACTGAAATCAAGAAGGAGGTTAAGACTTTTTATTTATACCACTTTGTAAATTATTATTTCTGAGTATGGGCTTAAACTAAACTCCAGCTGGAGTCTATCTCTATAGTTCCAAGCCTCCCGGAATGAAACTTTTTAAATATTATCTTGGCTGGGGTGCTGTGAGGAGTAACTAAGACAGTGCCTCTGGGTGACACACAGCTTTAACTGCAACCTCAAAAATTCCATTACTCCCATGGCGATGAGCGGAGGGGAGAATTACGAACTGCTATTTATGGCTTCTTTTAAATAGTTTATTTCAATCACAAAAGTTACAGTTTTATAAAGGCAGGGGAGGAAGGAGAAAGAATGAATTAAGAAAGATCACACACACTAAAAAGCCTGAGCTAACTCTGAGAAACGGTTAGTAAGATTTCAGACTCTTCACATTTTATGAAGCCTATAATAGAGATGGTTGCTGGCCTGCCGGGTATCAGTGACTGATTTTTTATTTTTTTAAATTTTTAAAAATTTTTTAATACTTTAATTTTTTAAAGTAGTGGTCTACTCTGTTTTGGTTCATATGGAAAACTAAGGCTTCAGCCAGATGTGCTGGCTCACGCTCGTAGTCCCAGCACTTTGGGGGGCTGAGGCGGGTGGATGGCTTGAGTAACATTTCAACAAAATGATTTTACACATGCTTGGAGCTCTAGTACAACTGTCCCTTGATGTCTGTGGGGGACTGATTCCAAGATTCCCGAGAATACCAAAATCCACGGTGCTCAAGCCTCTTCCGTAAAACAGGGTAGATCTGCATATAACCTATACACATCCTCTCGTATACTCTAAATCATCTCGAGGTTGCTTAGAATACCTAACACAATGTCAATGCCATGTAAATAGTTGCTATACTGTATTGTTTTACAATTTTTGTTTTTTATTGTTGTATTGTTATTTTTTTTTTAAAATATATTGATGGTGTGGTTGAACCCGTAGATGTGGAGGCCACAGATGGAGGGCTGACTGTGCCTCTCATGCATCCTGCTCATCTGACCCATCCAATATCCACGGGAGAACGACTGCCAGGGAGGCAGCCTTAGTGACCAGGCTGAGGGGCATGCAGGGAGCTGGGAGCTTAGAGAAGTGGGGCAGAGTCGATGGCGAGGGGGCATCGGAAACAGGAAACTTATAGTTCCAGCCTAATCCTAAAACCATCTGATACCAGTCACAAGACACAATCTATGAAATGCATCAACAAAGAAGCTCTAAGAGAGAAACTCTACCCTTCCCATCCTATTTTCCTACTCTTAAAGACAGAAAGCACAGAATTATTTAGTGGTTAACATTTTGGGGGAAATCATGTCTGATGACTGACTCCACGAATGGTTTCTCTATAAAGAATTCTAAGTTTTTAAAGGAGGGCACCAGAACCAGTTTTATAATCATCTTTCAATTATTCAATGTAATAAACAATGTTTGTTACACTATGTGAAAAGGAAGAAAACATGGTTTGTGCACTCACGAGCTTATACTTTGGACCAGGGAATGGAAGAATGGTTCCCATCATTAGATTATTTAAAAAAAAAAAAAAAAAAAAAAAGAAACTAAACGCTAAGTATCTGGAGTTACGCATACACAATGACTTTAAAAGCACAGCTTAACCCCTCTTTAAGACACTCCTCTGACCAACCAGAAACCCTATTTTACATATGAGGAAACTAGGGTCCCAAAAGGTTAAGCAACTTTCCTAGAACCAAGACTATAAAGCAGAGGGCAGGCTTCCCTGGCTCCAAGCCCAAAGGCTCTTCCCACGTACTCAGTTGTCTTGCAGTTATACATAATCATGTAATTTTACTGCCATAGACAGGGATAGCTATACCAATGGCAGTGAAATGAGCTTCTTCCTTCTCTTGTGTTTCAGTTAATGCTAAAATTAGTCAGCATGATCATCATCTTTAGTAACTGAGGGAGAGAAGAACCAGCCCATGGCACGTTAGGTGATAAATGGACCAAGGTGCGATTAAAAGTTTGCTTGATACATGAAATGACAAAATTGTGAAAAATGCATACATGTTAGGAAAAATTTAATAGGTCGAATTAACTCAATACGGAGGAAGGTGGGGAAGACCCCACAGAATGTGGAACTGAGTGGTGATTCCGTAGGTTAAAAGGAAAATCAAAAGGGTGCTCCTCTCCTTATATGCTGTCTTAGAGTGTCTTCTCAAGTCTATGTGGAGAAACCAAAAGTCTAGAATGTGAGAGAAATAGTGATGCTTCTTTGTGTCAAATTATCATTTCCTGACTGCATGGTCAGAGTTGCAGCTGGGTAGGACAGACACAACCCCACAGTGGCCGCACCCAGCAGTCCCTGTGGCTGCCCTCACCACCCTCTGTGGCCTGCCATGACATGGACTTCTAGAAGAACACAGAAGCAACCAGTAGCTTGTCTCCCTCCTTTACATGATGTGACTAAGTTGCCAGATTTTGCATAAAAATAAAATCACACTGTATTTTCCTAATGATAAAAAAAAATAGTAAGATTCCAAAAGGAAGGCAAGGTACAAGTCTTTTGATAGATTTTTTTTTTTTTTTTTTAAAGATAGGGAGGAGACGACAAACATTTAGGAATCAGGTTTCCGGTCATTTGACTAATGACTGCCTTCTAACACTGTTCTTTTCTAGCTTGAGAATTATATCCAGGACAACATGAAGAAAGAAATGGTAGAGATACAGCAGAATGCAGTACAGAACCAGACGGCTGTGATGATAGAAATAGGGACAAACCTGTTGAACCAAACAGCGGAGCAAACGCGGAAGTTAACTGATGTGGAAGCCCAAGTAAGTAATGCCACATAAAGCACACGGTGTCCCTGCAGCTAGAGACTAGCACTCAGTCGCGTCAGGAGCTTCCTCAATGAAGGCATGAGAAACTAAAGAAAGCACCACCACAGGAGAAAAGGAATGAATTGATAAGAAATTAAGGATGTATGGCTGCTTATGAATTAAAAATCAGTAAATCTGTTTTTGTTTTTAATACTGAGGTTAAATTTCATGTGTTCTATCTACTGAAGACATGTGAGTCATTTTCATGCCACGCATCCCAACCACTGCAAGATGAATACCCCCTCTGTCTCCCTGGTGCTTTCTGGACTCCGGGAATCATTTTCCATTTCTAAGTCCTAAAGTCTTTGAACATTTGAGAAATGAAAAGCACTGAGGCAAAGAGCTAGAAACTCTGGCCTTAAATCTAACTCTTGAGTTAAGATAAAACCTGAATCTCAACAGCTAACACAGCCTGTGGAATGAGTTTATGGAGAAGGAGACAAGTGGGACAGTGAGAAGCGTCTAGCCACAGAAAAGATGGTGCTACGCCCGAGCAAGAGCCCTGAGCGCTGCCATGGCTCCAGGTCCGCCACTAACCAAATAAATGCATCACAATGAGGCACTCACCTTTTCTGGGCCTCAAATAATATAAAGGGTTGGGCCAGACAAGTGATTGCTAAGTTCTCTTTCCACTGTGAGATTCTATGAGCTAGTGATTAATAATAACAGAAAGAAGACTGAAATAGTCAACTAGTGGCCAGGCGCAGTAGCTCACGCCTGTAATTCCAGCACTTTGGGAGGCCGAGATGGGTGGATCACCTGAGGTCAGGAGTTCGAGACCAGCCTGGCCAACATGGCGAAAACCCGTCTCTACTAAAAAATACAAACAAATTAGCCAGGTGTGGTGGCGGGCATCTGCAATCCCAGCTACTTGGGAGGCTGAGGCAGGAGAATTGCTTCAACCCAGGAGGCAGAGGCTGCAGTGAGTTGAGATCGTGCCACTGCACTCCAGCCTGGGCAACAGAGTGAGACTTCAACTCAAAAAAAAAAAAAGAAAGAAAGAAAGAAAGAAACTAGTAAAATAACAGCAAAATAGGAAAATTTCAAAAGAAGAAAATTCACCGAGAGACATGCTAAATGATGCACAACATGTGACCCAGCGAACGGCCTGGGTGGGAAAGGGAAAAGCTGCTATTAGCAGTACAAATGCAGACGCTCCAAGCTCAAGGCCGTGGTCGTGACTCTCGGCGGCCAAGCCCGCTTTCTGACTCCTCATCCTGGCTTCTTTACATGCTTCTGAAGTCAGTGGCTTCCTACTCTGGGCTATAAGGAATACTTTTAAAAAAAGAGCAGATTTAAGTGAAACAATCCCCACTCCATATTATTCCTAAATGCTACTTCAGCAAAAAGGATCAAGAAATGCTAGACGTCAGCCAGGAGAGGACATGAGAGGGGAGATGCCATAAGCCCTGCCACTCTCGTAAGACTCATTCTAGAAGGACACAGCTGTTCTTTCATTGTCTTCCTAAAAATGGTTGGATGAGGTCAGAGAAAACAGTAGTGAAATGATAGATTAACAAAAGACTTACAGATAAGAGAATAGAATAACAAATTACTTGACTACCAGGTCTTTCCACAATATCACAACAGTTCAAGAAAAACATACATAAATATTTTACATAACGGATCATAAGGTACTAAAAATTTAAATCTTAGGAAGTCATAAAAACTAAAGATTTAAAAGTCAATATATCAATATATATCTAAAGCGAATTATTAGGTTGGACCAAAAGTAACTGCAGATTTTGCCATTACTTTTTTTTTTTTTTTTTTTTTTTGAGACAGAGTCTCACTGCATTGCCCAGGTTGGAGTGCAGTGGTGTGATCTCGACTTGCTGCAACCTCCACCTCCCGGGTTCAAGCGATTCTCGTGCCTTAGCCTCCCGCGTAGCTGGGATTACAGGTGCAGGCTACCACACCTGGCTAAATTTCTGTATTTTTAGTAGAGACAGGGTTTCACCACGTTGGCCAGGCTGGTCTCGAACTCCTGACCTCAGGTGATCCACCTGCCTTGGCCTCCCAAACTGCTGGGATCACAGGCGTGAGCCACCGTACCTGGCCACCATTACTTTCAATGGCAAAATTGCACCAACCTATTAAAATAAATTAGTAATGATTAAGTCACATGCCCCACCTTTTGATACTAACACTGATGGGTAATTGAATAGCTCATCCAAAAAATGTCTCATAAGCATTTTTAAACTACAACATTTCTTATATTTTAAAATAATAGTTAGATCCAAGCATGGGAACTTGGCAAAAATTTAAAAAAATAAAAAATAATAATAGTAATGAAAAAGTGTTAGGACAGAGCAGCAATGCAAACCTTGCTACATCCTATAGCGGTCAGAGACTTCATAGCATTTGATGTACTTGTGTTGCGTCATATGATTTAAAAAAAAAACGCCTATTGTGAAACTAGATATCATGTTATCCAGGATAACAGGAAAATAAGAAAACAGATGGAAAGTAAGCAGTTTTTCCATGTGAAGCCCAATTAAACACATGAAAATGGCTGAGCCAGCTGAGCACGCTTGCTCAGATCTATAATCCTAGCACTTTGAGAGGCCGAGGTGGGTGGATCGCTTGAGATCAGGAGTCCGAGACCAGCTTGAGCAACATGGTGAAACCCCATCTCTACCAAAAAAAAAAAAAAAAAAAAATTAGCCAGGCGTGCTTGTGTGCACTTATAGACCCAGTTACTTGGGAGGCTTAGTGAGGTTACAAGAAGTGCTTAAGCCTGGGAGGCAGAGTCTGTAGTGAACAGATATGGTGCCACCGCACTGCAGCCTGGGCAACAGAGTGAGACTCTGTCTCAAAAAAAAAAAAAAAAGAAAAATGGCTGAGCTTAAGGAAGGCCGCAAAGAAACTGAATTATGTACCCACTCTGTTTGAAGGTACTTGCTGAGCAGTTACTGATTTTGTGAAACAGACTTAAATTCAAATCTGAAAATTTCTGATTAGAAGCAAGATTCTCCAAGCCTGTCAGAATGAGAGACGATCAAATTGAGCAACAATGGGTGGCTGGAGGTCTCATATCTTAAAGGGAATGAGAGATCAATACCTGGCCTGGGTAATTTACAGTCCCCTGCAGATGGACGCCTTCAGGCTGGTCCAGCGGTTTGATGCTCTCCAGAAAAGTGATGTGAAAATGGTTACAATTACTACTGGGCCAATCATGACTTATATGCCATCCTTCCCTGCCTCCACACGGAATTTTACTCATGTTATAACCCTTATGAATTAAACAGGACACAATTTTCCAGTTCCTTTTAGAAATAACCAACATAGAATGTTTGGACTCAAAGAAGACGTAGGCCAAATGTATATTCCAGGTGTTAATATTAAAACCCAAACAAAACCTTACGTTGGCCAAGGACTTTATTCTCACAGAAGACTTTTTGTGATAAGAACTAAACCAGCTCTAAGGATAAGACCATCCCTGAAACCCACGCTGTGGACCAGCCAAGGCTCCTGCAAATGACATAAAGACACCAGCAAACAATGATTCTTTCAAGGTCTCCGGTTCCTTGGCAACAATGCTGACTGACATTTGCATGTGATATCACATCCTGAATAAGCATGACATGGAGGAAGTGAGTAGTCGATTCTTCCTGCTGAAGGGCAACCAGGCGCTAGAGAATCCGCGGGAGAGCCGCACTGCTCATGCCACGCAGTAGCTCACAAAGGCCCGCACGGCAAGGCTGAGGCTCCGCTTCACACTCACGCTATACGGCTTCGATTGGTTCAAACAAGTTTTAAAACAGGAAGGAGAAATGGCAAGAAGAAATAAAAGTCTAAACAAGTGGTGACAAATGAGGAAATCCCAGGCTAAAAATTATCTATATTTTTATATAATGGAAGCATGTGACTTCCAATCTCTCTGTCTAGTGACAAATAAATATGAGAATAGCATTTTGTTTTCGGCAAAGGGAAAATACTTTCCACCTATGAAATATGACCATTTTATACTCCTACTTGTCTCATTGTATGAAATAAAATATGGCAGACTAGAAAAATAACATTTAGTATTTGGCACAGACCCCATTGTCCAGAACTACTAACCACTTTCCAAGATAGAGACATAACGGCCGGGTGCAGTGGCTAATGCCTGTAAATCCCAGCACTATGGGAGGCCGAGGCAGGTGAATCCCTTGAGGTCAGGAGTTCCAGACCAGCCTGGCCAACATGGTGAAACCCCATCTGTACCAAAAATATAAAAAATTAGCTGGGTATGGTGGTACGCACCTGTAATCCCAGCTACTGGGGAGAATGAGGCAGAAGAATTGCTTGAACCCGGGAGGCGGAGGTTGCAGTGAGCCGAGATCATGCCACTGCACTCCACCCCGGGCAATGGAGCGAGATTCCATCTCAAAAAAAAAAAAAATAGAGACGTGGGGAAAAGAGTAAAAAGGTTTAACACACTCAGATGTGATCTAAGACATTGAGCCTTTTCTGAAAATGAAAAATATGCCAAAATAAGATACTTGGGTTAATAAATAATGTTTTTGTTATGTTTTCCTGTAGCTTGGGTACTTTAATGAAAAGGAAGTTAGAAAGTTAAACTAATTAAAAAATAATTAATAGGAACTTCATTTTGTTACATTTAGGTATTAAATCAGACCACGAGACTTGAACTTCAGCTCTTGGAACACTCCCTCTCGACAAACAAATTGGAAAAACAGATTTTGGACCAGACCAGTGAAATAAACAAATTGCAAGATAAGAACAGGTAATAACAGTACTAAAACATTTATAATTCAGGACTGCACACTTTCCAGATATGAAAGTCGGTCTCAAATGATGAATTATCAGAATGGTGAGTTTCTTCATGTCTAGTGTAAGGGTCAGAAACCTCATGAGGGAGGAGAAGGGAGAGGGCTTGGAGAAAATTCCTGCACAGGCACAGCTCTCCTAACACAGTCCTGGATTTTACCTTTCATTCCCTGGCCCCTTAAAGATCCTCTTAGAGTAATCCTCCAAACCCTGCCTCAGTATTCTGCATGCTAATCTATTATAAAAATACAGCTAGTGCTGTGGAGTGAAAGAACCACTGGCCCAAAAGATCCTCTTAGAGTAATCCTCCAAACCCTGCCTCAGTATTCTACATGCTAATCTATTATAAAAATACAGCTAGTGCTGTGGAGTGAAAGAACCACTGGCCCAGGCATTTTATTTCAGTATTAACTTGACCAAGATCCTTTGCCCTTGGGGACTTAGCTTCACTCAACGCAGAATGGTCTATAGTATGAAAGCTACACTTATACTGTAAGCCAATGCACATTTTATGATCCAATGTTTCCTCTTCAAACACACGATAAAGTAAAACCAAAAATATTAAACATGATTATATTAATATTTAAATAAAATATAGAAAAATCTCAAGATCAACAATAGAAAAAAAATTGTAGGGGATAGGTGGGGACTGTTTTCATATGTCTGTTCCACTTGGGACAAAAGAGGATAATTTTATGCACATACCTGGTGTGCCTATTTCCTTGTTTTTAATGAAGACATGTATATACAACATGGAACATGGCTATAACAATATATCCTATTTCACAATTTAAATAATTCTTTATTCTTAACCAAAAATGATAAACTTCTTGTTCAATAATTGTTCTTTACTGTTAATCAAGAACTAAGCTGAAATAATTCTTTCTGTCCTTTGGATACCAAGTTTAAGTCATTATTGATTTAGGGTTTTGAAAAGCAAATAGATTTTTAAAATTCAAATATTTTTCTTTCATGTTTCAGATTTCTCCTCTACAAACAGTAAATGAACATTTGAGACCAATCATTGAGATATAACAATCCTGCTAATTTCATTTTCTTTTCTGTGTTTTTTTTTTGAGACAGGGTCTCACTCTGGTTGCCCTGGCTGGAGTGCAGTGGTGCCATCTCAGCTTACTGCATCCTCAACCTCCTGGGCTCAGGTGATTCTCCCATGTCAGCCTCCTGAGTAGCTGGGACTACAGGCATGTGTCACACACCCAGCTGATTTTTTTTTTTTTTTTTTTTTTTTTTTTAGTAGAGGCAAGGTTTTGCCATATTGCCCAGGCTGGTCTCAAACTCCTGAATTTAAGCCTTCTGCCCACCGCAGCATCCTAAAGTGCTGGGATTACAGGCATGAGCCACCGTACCTGGCGTCGTTTTCTTAAAATAGTCTTACTTAGTAATGTTCTCTTCAAAATGCTGCAGTGATTCCTGGAACACATGGGAGCTGGAGATTACTTTTCTCTTGCCTGTTATACAATGATGTCCGTGACAAACCTAGGATATGTCCAGTTTGTAGAACATACCCTAATACTGAATACTGTTTCCCCACTTGGGTTTCAAATTTAGCATGCTACAATGCTAAAACTACCAATTTGGGTCAATTATGTTCCCCAAATATCATCTTTGCAAATATTTTTCCAATCATATTGGCTTTCAACTATGCCTGTAGGAAGAATAAGCTTTTTCTCATCAGCTGTAGAAATCGTATTTTTTTGTCACAGATATGAAAGGAAATAAAAAGGTTTTTTTCATCAACAGCTATAAATAATAAAAAAAGAAAATAGTGTTGATGATTTTACAGGTGTATGAGTTCTGCATGCTGTGTTTTCTACCTTAATTCTGACTGGCCTATGATTTTATTTGCAAGTATATCATTACAAAAATATGCAAATGGTGTTTCACATTGGACAAACCACATTTTAAATAATCTTTTATAATTCCCCAAAAGTGCAATTGCTTTCTTTATAGAATAGATTCAAGCCAGGCACAGTGGCTCATGCCTATAATCCCAGCACTTTGGGAGGCCAGAGTGATAGGATTTCTTGAGGCCAGGAGTTTGAGACTAGCCAGGGCAATATAATGAGAACTCATTTTTACAAAAAATACAAAAATTAGCCAGATGTGGTGGCACACACCTGTAATCCCTCCTATTTGGATGGCTGAGGCAGGTGGATCGCTTGAACCTAGGAGTTTGATACCAACCTGGGCAACAAAGACAGACCCCCATCTCTCCAAAATTACATACTAATTTACAACGATCAGGGGGCTGGAATACATTTAAGAGCTACAATTGAATATCTAATAATTATTATTAATACTGATTGTTATTGCTTATGGGCGAGATATGTAATGGGTAGCCAGTTCCTTGGCTGGTTAATATTGTTTGCAGGGTTAAAGAGTCAGAAAATGTTACTGTCAAAAAAAGGTGGATTTACCAGATCATTCGAACTAAAAGGGGCCCGAGAGGCCATGAAATCGAATGCCTTCATTTTACATAGAGCTTTATTTAGATAGATATTCACCTAGACAGACATGCACCTGAGGTCCACAGCAGGGTGTCTGCCCTTGTGACACAGGAAGCCATGTGCAGAGGTGGGATTCCCAGCCTAAGGCTACTTCCTTTCACCTGAAGGTGCTCGTGACACCAAAGGTGACTTCTCAGGGTCTCCATTTTCTCTTCAGTGAAACCATGATCTTCATATGTATTCCCTGTGATAACTTCTATTTACAGACCTTACATGGCCACAAGGGTAGTTTTTCCTCAAGGGAGACATTCATAGCCTTGTCTTTTTAGCTTGATGATGTGAAGACCATCAAAACATCTAAATTTCCGCAGGCTTAAGACTATGGTTCATGATGCTTTCATTTCTTGATTTTTCTCCAAAACCCTAAAAAACACCTCGTACATGGTAGGTGTTCAATACATCTCTGTTAAACGGAAGGTAAGACGTGATCTGAACCCAACTATCACTCAGTGAAACGTGTATGTCAATTTCACATGCTTTCGGTTCCTAGGAAAGTAAGTGCAAAGTGACTCAGGAGGCTTCAGATAACTCACAGCAGTGTTAAATGGCCGGTTCAAGGTTTCTTTATCAAGCAGGTGGGAAAATAATGTTTCTCTGCTCTTCATATGCCTTCGCAGAAAAGCTAGTGAAATGTATAGAATATTTCACCAGCTTCTAATGTGACATTAACAGAAGCTGTGGTAACTTGTTAGTAGACAGAAAATAATTCTGAAACATAAAGATGCCATCATTGACATATTTCATTATTAAATAAGACAGCTGACTTATACGGGACTCAAAAAAGGGAATATGAGGTCCCCTTCCTTTAAAACAAAACTCTGCAATGTGCAAATTCATGTGTACTAAACTTTATATTGGAAGGAAAATGTCAGAGAGAGGAATCTGACATCTGGTCACTGTTTTTCTATTTTTAAAAGTGTCTATATTTTGAAAGCTTTATTTACTGGCCTTGTACAAACAAAATGAAGATATTGAAACATCTTTAGTTGCTGCTTTTCCTGCAATTATCACAGAAAGCCTCTTTAGGTGCTGAATAATGTAGTGTCAGGCTATCCAATTTTCCTCTTGTATCTTATTAAAAAAAAAAAAAAATGCCAGCCAGGCACGGTGGCTCATGCCTGTAATTCCAGCACTTTGGAAGGCCGAGGTGGACGAATCAGGAAGTCAGGAGTTCGAGACCAGCCTGGACAACATAATGAAACCACGTCTCTACTAAAAATACAAAAAATTAGCTGGGCGTGGTGGCACACCTGTAATCCTAACTACTCAGGAGGCTGAGGCAGGAGAACTGCTTGAATCCGGGAGGCGGAGGTTGCAGCGAGCTGAGATCGCGCCACTGCACAACAGCCCAGGCCACAGCGCGAGACTCCGAGACTCCATCTCAAAACAAAAAACAAAAAACCCTGCCAAATACCTTGACTGTGCATGTCTTTGAGTTTGTTCCTGGGAAACAGTTAACATTCTCAAATACATAGTCTCTACTCTCTTGGATTTGTTTCCTCTGGCTTAATGGACAGGAACTATTTTTAGTTTAAAAGTGGTATGCTCTTCATTGAACATATTTATAGCAATGTATGTTTATAAGTTGAAATTAGGAAGGCAAACTATATAACCATTAATAAAGTATCTTAGGACTTACATGGCATAATTTTACCAGCTCTCTAAATAATTTTTAAAAAGCTTTTCTGCCAGGCGTGGTGGCTCATGCCTGTAATCCCAGCACTTTGGGAGGCAGGGGCGGGCGGATCACGAGGTCAGGAGATCGAGACCACCCTGGCTAACACGGTAAAAGCCCATCTCTACTAAAAATACAAAAAGTTAGCCTGACATGGTGACATGCGCCTGTAGTCCCAGCTACTCGGGAGACTGAGGCAGGAGAATAGCTTGAACCTGGGAGGTGAAGGTTGCAGTGAGCCAAGATGGCACCCTTGCACTCCAGTCTGGGTGACAGAGCGAGACTCCATCTCAAAAAAAGAAAAAAAAAAACTTTTCAAGGGCTTGGCTCACATATTAACTGTTATGTATTAAGTACATGCCATAGCGCTGGTTAGATTTTTTAGAGAAGGAATGGGGCCACATTAAAAGGAGAGAAGCAGATTTCAGAGTCAGAAAGTTCTGGGATTGTATTCTGCCCCTGCCACCTGCTGTGTGTGACTTTAGGTATGTGATTCATTCTTCCTACATTTCTTTTCTTTTCTTTTTTTTTTTTGAGACGATGTCTCGCTCTGTTGCCCAGGCTGGAGTGCAATGGCATAATCTCAGCTCACTGCAACCTCCACCTCCCGGGTTCAAGCAGTTCTCCTGCCTCAGCCTCCTGAGTAGCTGGGATTACATTCATGTACCCCCACGCTTGGCTAATTTTTGTATTTTTAGTAGAGAGAGGGTTTCACCATGTTGGCCAGCCTGCTCTCAAGCTCCTGGACTCTAGTGATACACCTGCCTCAGCCTTCCAAAGTGCTGGGATTATAGGTGTGAGCCACTGAGCCTGGCCCTCAATGTCCCTAAGTTTCAATTTCCTCATTGGAAATGGGAATAATAATGTCTATATTAACGTTAACAAACATTCATTGACTGTTAATGTATGACAGGCGCTAGTCTAAGCGTTTACATTTTTTTTTCTTTTTTTTTGAGACGGAGTCTCGCTCTGTCGCCCAGGCTGGAGTGCAGTGGCATGATCTCAGCTCACTGCAAGCTCCGCCTCCCGAGATCACGCCATTCTCCTGCCTCAGCCTCCAGAGTAGCTGTGACTACAGGCGCCCGCCACCACGCCTGGAGAATTTTTTGTATTTTTAGTGGAGACGGGGTTTCACCGTGTTAGCCAGGATACTCTCAATCTCCCGACCTCGTGATCCGCCCGCCTCGGCCTCCCAAAGTGCTGGGATTACAAGCGTGAGCCACTGCGCCCGGCCAGCATTTACATTTTAAAACCCATTTGTTCCTCACACCAACCCCATGACCTAGGTGATAGTATCCTAATTAACAGGTGAGGACATTAACGCATAGGGTGACTAAGTAAACTGTTCCAAGTCGCAGGGCTGGTAAGCCAGTACTTGAGTCTGGGAGAAGTATTCACCTCCCCATGAAGGAGTATTTCTCACATAGCATTAAGTGCTATTATTATCATTAGGATTAATATTAAAATATAAATAGTTTAGGAGAAAGCTAATATCCTACCCAAGGGTCCAGCCCAGTTGAAACTCTCCCTTCTCAAAAAAGCACTTCATGAGCACTAAGCTTGAAAGAGCAGCACCTTTCTTCTGAGCGCTGCAGCATCTAATACAAAAAACACCCATATCCCACCTATCCTGGACCAGATGGGGTACCTTTTCTTGTGTGTATGCATAAGTCTGCATGTACATACATATATGCTTATACGTTTACATATATACACACATTTATATATCTAATCTTCTCAGCAAGTTTCAGAGATTCCTTAGGGCTCTGGTAACATCATATTACTTTATAACCACTACAATATCTTAACAGAGTACCTTGGAGAAGTAGAAATTCAATAAATATAAAATATTTCATTAGAATAGCCTTCACTAACTAACAATTCTTTTCCTTACAAGTTTCCTAGAAAAGAAGGTGCTAGCTATGGAAGACAAGCACATCATCCAACTACAGTCAATAAAAGAAGAGAAAGATCAGCTACAGGTGTTAGTATCCAAGCAAAATTCCATCATTGAAGAACTAGAAAAAAAAATAGTGACTGCCACGGTGAATAATTCAGTTCTTCAGAAGCAGCAACATGATCTCATGGAGACAGTTAATAACTTACTGACTATGATGTCCACATCAAACTGTAAGTTTACATATCATGCTTTCTTCAGCGTTAATAACCTTTAGTCAGTAAAACACTCAAAAGACTAAAAAATTCTCACCTTTCAGAAAAGGCGCTATTTCTCATATATTTCATATGAAATATCTACCAATTAAAATGAAGGAAGAAGAGAAGGGGAAATATATGTTATACTAATTATTATGAAGCAAACACCCCAAGCATACTTTTGATTCATGGCAGTAAAGAGCCTACTTTTAGTTAGTTCCATCATTAATTAGAAGGATGAGACTGGGCAAATTACTAAACCACAGCCGATATTCATTTATTTAGGTTTTACATGGGAAAAATAATATCAGACCCATGGGATGGCCATTAAGATTAAATGAGATAATACAATGGCACTTAAGAGATGCTAGTTCCCTTATCTTGCCAGGTTCTTAAGCACATTTTGCCTTCCTTATTATTGTTTCACTTTGCAGCGTCTCTTATATATTGGAGGGAAGGGCCAGGTGTGGTGGATCACGCCTCTAATTGCAGCACTTTGGGAGGCTGAGGCAGGCAGATCACTTGAGGACAGGAGTTGGAGACCAGCGTGGCCAACATGGTGAAATCCTGTCTCTACTAAAAATACAAAAATTAGCTGGGCTTGGTGGTGGGCACCTGAAATCCCAGCTGCTTGGGAGGCTGAGGTAGGAGAATCACTTAAACCTGGGAGGAGGAGGATGCGGTAAGCTGAGATGTGTCACTGCACCCCACTATGTCCTCAGTGGGATAATGGCCTGAAGGGGCAGGCAATGGGGTCATGATACAGATAACAGTGTTTAGGGACATTCTTTTTAAATTCTTCCATACTAAGTTTACCCTATTCTGCTCAAGATGAAAGATCTTCAAAAGTAATAATTTAATTTATGTGATTGTGAAGTACTTTCATTACATGTAATTGATCATCAGCAAAGGAAGTTTGGATTATTTGAAGTATTTTAATTACATGGAATTAATGACCAAAAAGTAAGTATTAATCTTTTGAGAATTAAGAAGAAAACAGGCTGAAAGGAAACTTTCTAGAAAGGTTAAAAAAGTGGTACAGCCTTTTGCTTACTTAAGAATTCCAAAGTAATAAAACTCACCAAATGATTGGCTCTTGAAATAACAAGTCTTTGTCTTTTCATGAACTCCGTTTAAATGCCTTACTATTTTTTAAAAGCAGCTAAGGACCCCACTGTTGCTAAAGAAGAACAAATCAGCTTCAGAGACTGTGCTGAAGTATTCAAATCAGGACACACCACGAATGGCATCTACACGTTAACATTCCCTAATTCTACAGAAGAGATCAAGGTGAGGTATTCGTCTCCCCTTACTAACTCCCTGGCTCTAGGCAGGCCACTTTAGTGAGTGAGGAACCAGAGAGCAGAAGTCTCTCCCCAAAGATCTTCCCCAGCCTCACACAGTACAAAGCCATAGTTACTGGGCAGCTACCTCGCCTAGAGTGCTTGCCAAGGGCTCTAAGTGCCGCTGCTGTGCAGAAAATACAAAAGCTGCATATGAATGATGTAGAAATGTCTATCTTATCTTCGGCAAGAAATACATTCTCCTTGCATTTTGCTTGAATAATGCATACTGTCAGTTGTTTTTCCTGAGGTGTCAGACTCATTTCCTTAAAGAAAGTATCTTCCAAAAACTGAAGGTTGAACAACCATAGTGCATCAGCCATAGAGGTGTCATGAAATTAATAATTTCTACTGCTGTGTCAAAGTCATTTTTCAGTGATATTATTGTTCCTTTCTTTTTTGTGTGTGACTGCATAGTGACTTGTACAGTTAGCTACCGCTGCCCTGCCTCACACGGGGATGGTGGCAGTTTTACCCACCATGGTTTTTGCTCTATCTGAGCAAACGCTAACACAGTGCCACAGACCGGTGGTGTCTTAGCATCGTGAAAACAGTTTCAACCTGTGGACTTGGTGACATGGTCTGAGGGACACGCAGGATTCTGAGGTCCACACCATGAGAACCGCTGGGGAAGGCGATTCTAACCTCATCTAACGCAGTCTGGAAGACTCGAAACACACCATAAAGACAGTGTTCATTTTCTTCTCCAGCAGCGGAGTTCACTTCAAGGCATATGTCCAATTACTGCATGTAACGTGAGTGGACAGTCAGTACTCACAGCAGGCAAAGCCACAACACAGCTTACCTCAGTCATTCCTAGTTCTGCAGCCTCACTCAGAGAGCCTGACTCCTGAAGGTGCTTTGGGAGACACTGAACTTTAGATAAGGAAAAAAAAAAACCCTTCCGGAGAATATTTCAATGTGGCTTCTCTTAAACATTTGATAGGGAAGAATGATATTACAGGAGAATCAGTGTGGTGAAGTGTTATGTAACTACTGGATAACTGTATATATTAAATGTCTATAAATATGTTTGCATATAAATGTAAAAGCAGCTACATATTGAACCAACACAAATAACTACAGAGAATACAGTGGATACTGTACCAAAGTGGAAATTTTCGAGGCTCTTGGAAGTATTATCTCTTTAAATTGAGTATTATCCTAAGTATTTAAAACAGTATCAAAGAAAAACACTTTAAAAATACAAGCATTAGGGTTTTAAAGACCTGGAACTTGAAACAGTAACATGTATCTTGATTATGAACGGAAAAGATAAATATTGTGCTATTCAACATAATGCTTTCCAAAGAAACCTTTCTAATTCATTAATGCTGTGTTAAATCAACCCTGAAAATTAGTTAATGTCCCTAACGCCCTAGAAGCCATACAACAGGGAAGGAAGGGAACAAACCCACAAACAACACAGTCTGCTGCAGATGAAAAGGCAACGAACAGACTCTAGGCTAAGCCTTTCAATCTCTTTTGCTATCTGGTTTTCATGACAATTCTGTGCATGCCATTGTCTGTCACCAGATGTTGGCGTGTTCTTGGCCTGGGGACAGGAGTGTCAAGAGGGGGGACAGAGGATGCATGTGAAATGGGGATGCCATGGACACCGATGCAGAGGGACAGCCGCTAACCATGCAGCCCCATCACATTGTTTCATCTATGTTTCTCAGTCTAAGTGCAAGCTTCCCACCCCAGTGCACTGTCCCACCCCATGGCCCCCAGAATAACTGAAATATTCTGCAGAAAGATGAAAATATATAGTACTCTGGGATTATATGAGCCTCAGGTCATGGTTGGAAACATTAGGATTTATATTCCCTTTAAACATTTGCAGTAAAAGAAACTCATTTACACAGCAGGGAACAATAAGCTTTCACAAACCTCAATTTTCTCATCTTGAAAAATAAGTGGTGTCAATTGTTACTTCTAAATTCCCTTCCAGACTTAAGACTCTGTAAGTCACAATCTGATCCAGGGAGAGATAGACAGACTTGGATGTAAATTCTAGCTCTGCCATTTGTGGCTCTGGGCGAGTCATTTAACCTTTCTGAGAGCTCAGTTTCCCCATCTGTAACAGAACAATGATACCCTCAGCCTTGGGGGTTGTGACAACACAGGGACAGCCCCTGGGGTAGAACTTGGGACAGTAAATGGTAGTGGTCACCATTTTCACTGCCTTCAAAGACTACCAGACAACTTCTCTGCCTGGCAGGAGACCCGATTCTGCACTCATTTATCTAATTCAAGAAAAGAATGTTCAATTGGTCTTTGAGCACATCTTTTCCTGAAAGGCCAAAATACTGCAGCTTTAGTTTTGAAAAATTCATTTGGTTCTTCTACGAGAGAGAGACTGCAAGATGGCATTTATCAAAAGCATGTATGGTCATTTCCTTCCCTAAATTTCACAGGACACCTGACTCCTAACGGTTGTCTCTATGGTTTGCTATTTAACCCGTCACTTAATCATTGCCTCAGAGTTGAAGCAAGTCAAGTATTATTTGCTGAAAAACATCAAGCTTTATAGAAAGATATCAGGTTCCTGCACCATGCACCAGTGGACAGATTAAAGATATTAACTGCCCTTAGGTTTGTTGTAATTGGAGTGGTAAGGTCTTGGGAAGTATCTGAGGACTTCTGCTTTGCTGATCCTGATATAATCAATTTCAGCACTTTTACTCAGTATCTTCTGGCTGGGTAGATAACTCTATTTGAACACTATCTTTCTCTGCAAGTTTTATAGTCCAATTAACCATAATACTCCAGTTTTTACAAATCCTCTGTTCTTTTTTCTAAAAACCTGGATGAAGTACTAAGAAAATGTTCTAATAACCTTATCATCATCACTAATGGAATCAAAGCGAATACTCATATGGCTCAAATCATTTATGTGCTGGCAGTGACTCTCAGACATTTAAGAGTTTTGCCTCTGACTTCCATAACAAGATAAACTTGTTCTCTGAACAAGATAGAACATGTATTTAAGTACTGGTAACTTCATAGCAGTAATTTTGACACTGAAGAATCAAACATTCTTGGAACAAGGATAGGCTCACCAAGAGCCACGTCAATGCTTTCAACCCAAGAGCATACCATTTAGGATACAGAATTAACTTCAATATATGTACATGAATCCTCAAACCAAAGTAGCTTATTCAGCTGGTTTATGAAATAGATTTTTAAAAAGAAATATTGATAGAAGTGAGCAGCACTGACCATTTTGTTGACTGCAGGCAAATAAGAGGCAGTATTATTCATGAACTGATTTAAACTTGGAACTGTGTTGAGGGACTTTTGGCCTATTTACCAAAGGGTCAGGTTTCTCTGTTTTTGGCAGCATGATGTCAGTGGAAAAAAAACATAACAGGAATCAAAGAGACCTTATTCAAATCCTATATATCACTTAGAAGGTGAGTAACTGATCAAAATCGAACTTTGCTAAATCTTTTCTCCTTTCAAAAATGCAGAATTATGATACTACAGCAGAGTTGCTGTGAGATTATAGATAATATACACAAAGTATCTGGCAGAGTACTTGGATGAGAGTGGTGTGTAGCAATGATAATAAAAATCATAGCAATACAGAGCGGTAACAAGGGGTTAGCTTGTGCAGACTGATTTTCTACATCAGATTAATTTAAAATGAGGAAATAATTTTCTTCTTAATAAATGTAACTTTCATTAATGGCACCTATGTTTCCAAACATGAGTGCCACTGGGGAAGGCAATACGAGCTGGGTGACCTTCCTGGAGAGAGACCAGAACCATGCTGGGGAGAAGTCCCCTGCAGACCAGGCTGTTCCAGGGACAGTTCTCTGGTTGCACTGGCAATGAGGCATCAGGCAGCCACTGCACTTCCTCTGCACCCCTCTTTCCTCATGTAGGAAATGAAAGAACAGGAATAGCACTCTCTTGGTTCTCTTTTCGCTCTCCTCTTTAGGATTCTAACTCGTAAACAGAGAACAGTGTGCGTTGAAGCTTACCCTGCCAAATCGCCTCCATTATTCTCAAAAAGACCATGGGACACAACACAAGAAGAATATTTACAATTGGTTTTGAACCTTAACTTCAATATTTCCTACCTTGTATGTGGCAGAAAATTTATCTTACTTTCTGGAAAACATGTTTCGTTCTACTGTAATCTTTATTATTTAAAACTATTTATGTAATCTTATTTTCAGGGGTTTTTAATTTCATAATAAAACTCCAGCTGAGTTGAAATTGAGCATGCATGCGCTTAGCTTAAGAAAGAATTCTGTGTTCTGGACAAAGTTTAAACCCACAGAGCCAGTTTAAGAGCAGAAATAAAAAGAGTTGCTTAGAGAAAAACTGTGGGCAGTGAGCTATGTACAGAGAAGCGTGAAGTCATGCCCTTGAGGCCAAGGTGCTAAGCCAAGCCCAGGTCACACACCTTGCACCAGGACACTGGAGCCTCAAGGCCCTTGTGCTCAGATGTGAACCAAAAAATCTGATTAGTATTGCACATAAAGGAAGCCAAACAGCCCCACAGTACGAGAATGTAACAGGAGTCCTCCAAACCCTATGATCAAAGAGTATCCCCTTCACATAGCTCTCTGTGGAGGGGCAGGGGCTGGCATTTAGTGAAAGGTTTCAAGGCTGTGAACACAAGTCAATGGTTTTCTACAGGATGGAGATGTGGGGTTCGGGGCCAATCTGCCAAAATGTGCCATTCATAATGAATCTCTAAAAAAACAGCAATCTCTGGACCAGCCATCAGGGTGGGGTCTTTAGCCTGGAACAGATGATGACAAGTGAGTCATATTCTCATCAACACTTTATATTATATTACTGTTTATGTTTCACCATCATTTTAATCCATCACTTTCAATTTATTTGAAACCATCTGTTTCTTAGACAACCCCGATGGTCTACTCCGTGCCTTATATCCCAGAGAACCCTCTCGGCTGAGTCCTGCACTCAGGGTCTACATTCCTCCTGCTTCTGCTACGTAAGGGGGGAGTGGGGGGGCTCTGTCACTTATACCCTGCATTCCTGTTTGCAGGCCTACTGTGACATGGAAGCTGGAGGAGGCGGGTGGACAATTATTCAGCGACGTGAGGATGGCAGCGTTGATTTTCAGAGGACTTGGAAAGAATATAAAGTGGTAAGGACATTCTTTAAGGCATCAGAAAAGAATTTCCCTTGTGAAAAATAGCTTTCAAGATCTGCGGAACCTTAACCACCAATCCCAAACTAACCAATGACTTTTGACATGGTTTTTAAAATTGGTGCTTCAGTCTCCCCTTTAAAGAATGGCCAATATAAGGTAAACTGTATCAAAACAAAAGCTGCAGCCAGACGTGCTGGCTCACGCCTGTAATCCCAGCACTTTGGGAGGCCGAGGCAGATGGATTACCTGAGGTCAGGAGTTTGAGACCAGTTGGCCAACATAACAAAACTCTGTATCTACTAAAAATACAAATATTAGCCAGGTGTGGTGGTGCACACCTGTAATCCCAGCTACTCAGGAGGCTGAGGCAGGAGAATCGCTTGAACCTGGGAGGCAGAGGGTGCAGTCAGCCAAGATCACACCACTGCACTCCAGCCTGGGCAACAGAGTAAGACTCTCAAATAAACAAGGCTGCCACTACTTAGCTTATTTTTAAAGGTGGACTCAGCATTTTTTTGGTAAGCCGACTGTTTAATGGTGCTTCACATTCCCATGAACTGAGCTGTTTATGCCAAGGCTTCTGCTGGTGGCTCCCCAAGTAGTTCTCATTATCCTAATACAAGTTTTCTTCCAGCAGCAGCTTAGTGTCTAATAACTGACCTATTTAAAATCCATTTTCCTTTGGGAAGGACCCTAAATTGTCACAGCACCAGAAGGAATTTCTGCTATTTGATAGTTATTCTATGTTAAGTTGACGGACTATCCACTTCAAATATACAAAGAAAAAATTACATGAAATAATTGAATTTAACAACTTGCATTACAGGGATTTGGTAACCCTTCAGGAGAATATTGGCTGGGAAATGAGTTTGTTTCGCAACTGACTAATCAGCAACGCTATGTGCTTAAAATACACCTTAAAGACTGGGAAGGGAATGAGGCTTACTCATTGTATGAACATTTCTATCTCTCAAGTGAAGAACTCAATTATAGGTAAGTGAGTTCATGGTAATTGAAAGAAAAAATTAAAAGATTTGTGGCCGGGCACGGTGGCTCACGCCTGTAATCCCAGCACTTTGGGAGGCCGAGGTGGGCAGATCACGAGGTCAGGAGATTGAGACCATCCTGGCAAACAAAGTGAAACCCTGTCTCTACTAGAAGTACAAAAAAATTAGCCAGGTGTGGTGGTGGGCGCCTGTAGTCCCAGCTACTCGGGAGGCTGAGGCAGAAGAATGGCGTGAACCCGGGAGGCGGAGCTTGCAGTGAGCCGAGATCGTGCCACGGCACTGCAACCTGGGCGACAGAGCAAGACTCCGTCTCAAAAAAAAAAAAAAAGAAAAAGAAAAAGAAAAAAAAAATTAAAAGGTTTGCTGGGTGACTATTCCAGAAAATGAGAAACACAATGATTTAACCAAGATCTAAACTATTACTTCTTTAAGTTTCTCTGGGTTTAAAATTCTAACTTTGGTTATAACAATATAAAAGAAACTTCATACAAACAGTATTTTGTCCATTGTGTTTACTGTGTATCTTCAAAGCCTAGAAGAACTCTGCCTGGTAGATAATTGGCTTTCATAGGTATTTGTAAAATCAGTGAATAGTAAGTGTTCCCATGATAATATGTCACATGAATAGCATAAATGATGGATACTTGTGACTGTGCTGTTTTATTCCAAAAGGTTTCAAAAGTTAGTCTGTCTTTATGAAGTTTAAACACATTCAATTGTCTTCAATCTCAAAGTCAAGATTAGTTGTCAAGTTTAGAGATGGCAGAGTTAGGTGGGATGGTTAGTCAACTCTGCTCTCCTCTACAGGAAATACATCAGATTCACAGCATTCCCTGGGTGTTTACCTTGTCCTCACCCATTTGGTAGCAATAATCATAAGTAATAGCATGGGCAACCTTGACTGGGAATTTACTTTCTGCCTCTAAAATGCCATGAGAGTAGAGAGAGAGAACAGCAATGGGACTTGACAACCTAGTGTGCAAGATAAGTACGGTGAAGCCACATGCACAGTAATGCTGGTACACAAGGCACATAGAGGCACTCCGAAATGTGTGTGCAACGGGAGGGGCAGAGAAGTGAGACTGTGTGCCCACTGGCACCAACGCCAGCCTAAAGGAGTCTAAAGAGCACAGACTGGTGGCGCCTCGTGATCATGGAGCACACATTATGAAATACCCACTTTGAGGTCAGAAATTAGCAAATGAAGGTCAACACGAACATCACAAAAACAGTCATCATCTGACCTACAGTCTCGTCTTCATCTCATTAATGCCCAAGTCAGACACTCCGCTCCACGACCTGAACAGTCTGAAAGGAGACACAATGTTAAAGTCCTTGAGCAGGCTGCCCAGGGGAGGATTGTGGTGGGCAGCACGGAGAAGCGGCTAAATGTCAAGTTGCCTGAACAACCAACTGAAAACTCTACAATGCCCAGTATGTCCTGCTGTACAAACAGTGGATGAAAATTCAGAAGCATGTTTGAGAAACAGATATACATGGATGTGACTCTTTAAACATCAGTGAAGCATATTCACTATTCTCATTATGGAAAGATCAGGCTCTCCTGGAGAGGCAACAACCGAGATGAATGAGAAGATAGGTGTTTGGGCCTCACAGCAGTTCCAACTTGACTCCAAAGAGATCAAAACTTCAATGAATTTTGAGACACAAGTGGTTGGTCAGTGTTTTACCTCCAAGTTAAATATTTTTTCAACTGGCAACAGTTAGGAATCTACAACAGAAGAATTAAAAAAAAAAAAAAAAGAAGCACAAAAATTAAGGATTAGGCTGTTTGTATAAAAAGATTTTTACAAAATGGGTCATTACCCTTGTACGCTGACATTATAAAAATATTTTAAACTGAGATGGTTCTTAACAGATATTTCCTTTAGAAATGCAATCAATTTTTGGATAGGCCATTTAGAAAAACACACACATTGGTTTAAAGCTTAATTTGCTTGGCAAGATAAAATAGATATTACATCGAAAATTATTATCCTAATAAAACATGATGCTAGCATGATAAGAGAACTGTGAAGGGACTGAAACTTCTCATAACTGCAAATGCTTTGAGACGCCAGTTGTATGCAGCATGTAAGGGATTTTTTTTTCCCAGAAGAAATGTTCCCCAAGTGTTGGAAAACTGGAAAATACATGTTATAAGAAATGCATAAATGCATCAATAGAATTTCATTCTTTCTAGTGAAACTAAAAGCTATGCGTACATTAAATCTTAAAAATTCATCACTTTTCACACACATTCTGGCAGTTTTATATAACACTGAGGTTTAATTGTTAATGTTGATGTTACCTCTTTACTCCACTGTTATATAAAATCATCCCTGGCAAAGCTGCAGAGATTGAAAAAAAAAAATCAACCCATACCAATGTAAAGCAACTTCAAGAACGTGGCCATTCTTAATAACCAAATTTTAAAGAAAGCACTTTAAACCAGTGGGCCACAAAAGGACCTAAAATTACACAAAACCTTTCTAACAGAGACTCATAAAAAATAGTATTCTCCCTTATTTTTCTTGCCTCTGGGGATAATTTAACAAGTTCCATGAGAACTAAACATGTTCAAAGGAGACAAGAGAGAGTTAAAAGATAAGCAAGGGAAGTGGTTCATCTCAATCCTGTCTATGATTAATGGGAAGACAATGGAAAGAAAGTACAGTGTTTCAAAATCCCAACAGAGATGAGTATTTATGACATTAGCATTTTGCAGCAGGCATTTAGAGACTGAGCTACGGCCAGTCTCACTTTTGAAACATGTGGGAAAATACTGAGACTCACATGTCCAGTTCATGCCTTAGGATGAAGTTTCTAGGGCTGCCTTAATACTGAAGTCACTTAGGAGCAACACTTACAGAACTCCACATCACATGGCCCTACCCTCATCTTTTCACAACTTCTTCAACAAACAAACATCTCTGTTTAGGTGTGCACCAGTGTTGAAACACGGCAGAGGCATTTGCTGCATCTGGTGCAAATCCTACCTCCATGACTTAAGAGTCTGACCTCGGACAAGTTTATATCTCTGAACCTCAGTGACTTTCAGTGCCAAAACAAAGATGGCGGCCACCACTGCAGGTGGTTATAAGCATCCAGTGTGCATGCAGGTGTAAGCACCTGGCCTGGCCCGACCAGCAGGTAAAACTAAAAGAACATTTTCTCTCTTCTTTGTATTCTTCCAATACAAACTGTTAGAAATTATATTATTCCAATGTGGCAGCTTGCAAACATTAGCAGGTTTTACAAAGAAGGGCATCATCTTGGTGCTTCAAGTACACTTCTCCTGCCACCATTGCAGGATTTGCTTTGTAGGCTCCTCGCCTGGGTCTTCGTGTGCCTGTTTCTCCATCAGGACGTGAGGACCCAACGTGCCAACATGGCATACCCCATTACGTGAATGCCTGCTCTGATCTGTCCTGAACCATCTGCCAAGAAGCTTCTTTGCAGCAGAAACTCTTGAGCATAGTTATGGAAAATAAAAAAAAAAAAAGAAAAAACAACCTCAAAAATATTGTCTTCTCCCTTCCCTTATATGCTCCTTGCTGGTACACAGATGACCGATGTAAGCCGTATTTTTGCAATTCAGCTTACAATGGTTCAACTTAAGATTTTTCGACTTTACGATGGTGTGAAGGTGATACGCATTCAGCAGAAACTACACTTTGGGATTTAAATTTGGATCTTTCCCTGGCTAGTGATATGTGGCACGATGCTCCCTCATGATGCCAGGCAGCGGCAGCGAGCCACAGGTCCCAGTCAGTCCTGTGATCCCCAGGGTGAACAACAGACACTGCGTGCACCGTGTTGCCAAATGGCTCTGTCTGACTGTGGGCTAATGTGAGTGTTCCGAGCACATTTAAGGAAGGCTAGAGCTAAGCTATGATGCTCCAAAGGTCAGGTGTATTCCATGCATTTTCAATATACAACATTTTCAACAGAAAATGGGCTTATCAGAACATAGCCCCATGGGAAGTCAGGGATCGTCTGTATTGTAAATAGTGTCTAACTTACTCCGACATTTGTTCCTTTCTCAATGTCTAAAAGTTTAATTACATTACCCTACTATACAGACATGAGGAAATGTAGCCACAAGGATTTATTTTCAGCACCGTTCTGTAGATTTCTTCCCCAAACTCAGTGGCCATTCCTTGTCTGCTGCATTCTCCATCCCCCCCGGGGCCCCCTGCGGAAAATAATGTTTGAGGTTGTCCAGTTGTCTCAGGACTCCGTCTCTATGGAAGATGACTGGAGACCTGGGAGGAGGAGCCTGGTGCTGCATTTCTTTCTCTTCTGTTTATCTGAAAGCAGCAGGAAAATAAATTACAGGGCTCTACAGTCGCTTCTGATAGTTGTGCAAGTGATATGTGTTGAAGGTTTCATGAAAACATCCCTCTTTGCTGAAGGATTTGATGATAAGTTGGTTCCTGTTTATACCAGTGCAAAATATTTTGTCCAGAGTATGCATTAGTCCATTAACGAGTACAGAACACGCTTCTGTAGAATGGAATTCTTCATCACAAAAAATTTGCCACTACGGTAAATCAATGACCCTAGCCAATGTGTTTTTTTTCTTTGCACGCTTACAGGATTCACCTTAAAGGACTTACAGGGACAGCCGGCAAAATAAGCAGCATCAGCCAACCAGGAAATGATTTTAGCACAAAGGATGGAGACAACGACAAATGTATTTGCAAATGTTCACAAATGCTAACAGGAGGTAGGGATGACTTTCTGTCTTCCTATTTGTATTGGCAAGGAATGATTTCATAGAGGGAAAGGCTGGCAATTTGGACTACAAATTGTGATTTGTAACGATGTCCACAATTTCATACGTAGACACACTAGCTTGATATAGGTAAATGTGTTTTTCACTTTTTTTAGACTAAGTTTTAAGTGAGAATATGATATGGAGCTAGACTTGTCAGCAAGCCAACTGTGTCTCCTCAGGACCTAGCCCTGGCAAGGAGAGGGGATATTTGATTCTTAGCAAGCTCTCCTGCGTTTGTGCTTGCTGGATACTAGAGAGATGGTTTAATTACATTTTGCTTTATGTAAAAAGTTAAAAATTCCAAGTAGCAACCACAACAGTAATATAGATTATAGAAATATTTCCAACTAATAATTTAATGTTCAAAGAAGGAATTTCCAGCTGTCATTTATTATTTATTTATTTACAGACACAGTCTCCAGTTGTTTATTTATTTATTTTGAGACAGAGTCTTACTTTGTTGTCCAGAAGGGAGTGTGATCGCAGCTCACTGCAACCCCTGCCTCCCAGGCTCAAGCGATTCTCCTGCCTCAGCCTCCCCAGTGCTGGGATTATAGGCGCCCACCAGTGCACCCGGCTAATTTTGTATTTTTAGTAGAGGGAGGGTTTCACCATGTTTGCCAGGCTGGTCTCGAACTGCTGACCTCAAGTGATCTGCCCGCCGCAGCCTCCAGAAGTGTTGAGATTACAGGTGTGAGCCACCACACCCGGCCCCAGCTGTCTTTTTAAAAAAGATTCCATTAATATATAGCAACACCTATAAACACAAATGAGTTAATCCACCTTTTTTAGTAAATCAAATTAAAATGAGTCATCTTCTACTTTGAGACCTTTCTTGTATTGTAGGTTTGGTATTACACTGCCATAAAACAGACAATGAAAACCACACTCATAAGCCAAAAACCATTGTAGTAGTCACTTAAAACAGATGGGTTGGTATTCAGAAACATTTGAGAGTTCAAACATAGGAATAAAGTTTTAGAAAATGTTATTTTTCTGGCCGGGCCCGGTGGCTCACGCCTGTAATGCCAGCACTTTGGGAGGCCAAGGAGGGCGGATCACCTGAAGTTAGGAGTTCAAGACCAGCCTGGCCAACATGTTGAAACCCCATCTCTACTAAAAATACAAAAATTACCTGGGCATGGTGGCTGGCACCTGTAATCCCAGCTACTCCTACTCAGGAGGCTCAGGCAGGAGAATGGCTTGAACCTGGGAGGCAGAGGTTGCAGTAACCCAAGATCGTGCCACTGCACTCCAGCCTGGGGGACAGAGCAAGAATTCACTCAAAAAAAAAAAAAAAAAAAAAAAGAAAAGAAAGTGTTATTTTTCTGATTTGTTAAAAGTTTAGAAATTCACTGACAGGAACAAACGCTACTTAGTGACTGAGACAAGAAAAAAGTGTGACAAATGCTGTCAAGTTAGTTCTTGAAAAACACTGAAAGATTTAAAGTAGCAACAAAAACTCTGCCAATAGTGCAAAATGAATGTAAAGAATAACAGGAAAATTGGCAGGGTTTAATTTCTAGAGAACATAAATCATATCTGCAAAAATTAATATGTTACCCACCCAGGAAAACCAAAGGTAACAGCTATGGTCAACATGTTTTATAAATGAAAGTTACTACATTAAACAAATGGATGACCCAAGTTATGATGCATTTACACTATAGGAATCATTAATAGGGCTGGGCATGGTGGCCCCCGCTTGTAATCCCAGCACTTTGGGAGGCCAAGGTGGATGGATCACCTGAGGTCAGGAGTTTGAGACCAGCCTGGCCAACATGGCAAAACCCCATCTCTACTAAAAATACAAAAATTAGCCAGGCGTGGTGGCATACGCCTGTAATCCCAGCTACTCAGGAGGCTGAGGCAGGAAAATCTCTTGAACCGGGGAGACAGAGTTTGCAATGAGCCGAGATCGCACCAGTACAATCCAGCCTGGACGACAAGAGTGAGACTCCGTCTCAAAAAAAAAAAGCATCATTAACAGTCAAAAGGAGGATTTAGTAATGAAAATAATATGAAATTCAGTAATTTTCATGTCTTTAAATTTCATGCCTTTTATGCTGAAAGAATCAGGCCTCATTAAAAAAAAAAAAAAAGCAATCCTCTGGTTCCTGAGATAATATGACTACTATTTGGTACCACAGGTCCTCCCTATGTTACACCATTATTACACCAATGAGCAAAGCCCTCCTATTGATTTTGCAAAAGCTTCCTGTTTCCTTCATCCTGGCACAATCATCCTTTTTAAAGCTGAACAGCAGGGAAAGGGTCAGGTGGAGGAGCCACAGACACCTAGGACTTTGTTTCCTGTCTACCATTTCCCCACATGCTGGACCCAGCTCTCTCCTTGAGAAGGGTGTGCTTATTAGACCACCCGTATGTGCTGAGCTTCTCAGGAGAGTAGGAGAATTGCATTAATAACCAAGGAAACAATATATTTACTTAGGCAAATCAAGATTTAGGGACTGAGAATGTAATTGGAAAAGAGACTGGGGAGAGGAAAAACAGCCCAAGAGAGAAAGTGGAGTGGTCTTGCCTGTGAAGAGGTCAAATTCCAGCCAGTGGTCTGGACCATGAATGAACCAGCCTAATGAGCAGCTCCATTTTGCATGGACAGCAACTTCTCTAGTTGGACAAGCTCCAGAAGGCACTGACCTATGAATCTGTCAAAGTCCTGAATATGTGAAGGATTCTGAATAGAACACGCAAACTTCCGTCCAATCTGCATTCACCTGAATCAAATGAAGTCACTGAGCTGTTACCACCAAGAAACAATGTAGGAACCTGGATGAAATAACAAACCAATGTATAAACACAACATATATATATATAAAGAATATATATATGTTTTTATATATATACATATATAAAGAATATGTATATGTTTTTATATATACAAAGAATATGTATGTTTTTATATATACATATATAAAGAATATGTATGTTTTTATATATACATATATAAAGAATATGTATGTTTTTATATATACATATATAAAGAATATGTATGTTTTTATATATACATATATAAAGAATATGCATGTTTTTATATATACATATATAAAGAATATGCATGTTTTTATATATACATATATAAAGAATATATATATTCTATATATACGTATATATAAAGAATATATATAGAATATATATAGAATATATATACGTAATAAAGAATACATATATTCTATATATGTAAAGTATATATATTCTATATATAAATAGATATAAAGAATATATACATTCATATATAAATATATAAAGAATATATATATTCCATATATACAAAAAGAATATACATTCTATATATACATATATAAAGTATATATATTCTATATATACATATATAAAGAATATATATTCTATATATACATATATAAAGAATATATATATTCTATATATGTAAAGAATATATATATTCTATATGTATATAAAGAATATATATATTCTTTATGTATATAAAGAATATATATATTCTATATACATATAGAAAGAATATATATATTCTATATACATATAGAAAGAATATATATATTCTTTCTATATGTATATAACATATATATGTTATATACATATATATGTATATAACATATATATGTATACATATATATAAAACATATATAAAGAATATATATTCTATATATACATAAGAATATATATATATATTCTATATATACATAAGAATATATATATATATATTCTTTGGCATAGAGTTTTTATTAAGAAATAATGCATTACGGGTAAGGCTAAAGAGGACCTGCCAGTGCCATTCCCTACCTGACGCTTGGGTCGAGGTTAATTCACTTTATTTATTAATTTTCCTACATATGGAGATATCAATCATAATTATTTTCTCTATTTTAAAAATTAATATAAGGAGTATCATACTGTATGTGTTCCTCCAACACAGTGTTGTTGAGATTTATTCAGTTTAACATATGTAAAATCAAGGTTACAGCAGTCCTCCCTTATCCTTAGGGGAAACATTCCAAGATGTCCAGCAAATGCCTGAAATCACACACAGTATCAAACCCTATGTGTATATTTTTTCCTGTTCACACATACTTACAAAGTTTAGTTTGTAAACTAGTCACAAGAGACTTAACAATAATAAAACTGAATAATATACAACATATTGCTTCCAATTTCATGGATATAAGATTTGTTCTTCTATAGATCTTAGCATCCTTAGTGTACGATTTTTTTCTCTCCTTATTAAGTCAGGAACTTTCACCTTTTCACTTAAAGGAAGCACTTTACAGCTTCTCTTTGACATATCTGAATTGCCAGCATCATCACTCTTGCACTTTTGGGGCCATTATTAAGTCAAATAAGCGTTACTTGAACATAAGCACTGCGATACTGTGACAATCGATCTAATAACCAAGACAGCTACTAAGTGATCAGGAGACCGGATGTAGACAGCGTGGATCCACTGGATAGAGGAGATTATTCATGTTCTGGGAGGGATGAAGTGGGCATCAGGAGATTTTATCCCGTTACTCAGAACGGCATGCAATTTAAGGTTTATACATTCTTTTTTTTTTTTTTTTTTTTGAGCTGGAGTCTCACTCTGTCGCCCAGGCTGGAGTGCAGTGGCGCGATCTCGGCTCACTGCAAGCTCCGCCTCCCGGGTTCACGCCATTCTCCTGCCTCAGCCTCCCGAGTAGCTGGGACTACAGGCGTCCGCCACCACGCCCGGCTAATTTTTTGTATTTTTAGTAGAGACGGGGTTTCACCGTGTTAGCCAGGATGGTCTCGGTCTCCTGATCTCGTGATCCACCCACCTCGGCCTCCCAAAGTGCTGGGATTACAGGCGTGAGCCACTGCGCCCGGCCCCTGCTTATAGAATATTTCTAGATTTTTCCATTTAATATTTTTGGCCCAGCTGACTTCAGGTATCTGAAAGTGCAGAAAGCAAAAATAGCAGATAAGGGGGGACTACTGTGTTTCTTTCTCTCACAAACCCCAGCATGCTCCTGTTTTTGGCCAAGCCCAGAAATTAAGGTGCAGATGGGGCTTCACTCCCACAGCCCCTGTGCTGGACACCTCTCCTGCCCTGGCTTTAGCTGAGCGAGCACACACTCTCACTTTAAATTTCCTTTTTGTCTCTGAAACATAGAGACTTCCTTTTTATGTAGCTCCACTGAGTACTTAATATTTTAGTTTAAACTTCAACCGAAAAAATCATTTAATAGAGCAAGGGGAGCCTGAGCGAGTCCAGCCCACCATGTTGCTGGGACTGCAAAGTAATCCTGGTTGAAGGAGAGTTTTCCAACTGTGCCTCAGATGTTTGCTTACTCCTGCTGTAAGTGTGTACACACTGTGGGCTTACCAAATAGGACTGTGGAGAATTCAGGCCTCTCCACACAGCACAAGGGAAAAGGTGGAAGAAGGCTTGTAAAAGCATTTGCCGTAATGGAACTGTGATGTCATGGGTGTATGGCTGGAAAACAATCCCTCTGCCAGTGCACATCCTATACTCACCATCATCTGCATGTGCCTACTCCACACGCCTGCAGTGTGCCTCCTGCCTTAGCTGAGTATTGCTGTCTTCGTGGTGGGAGCTGGCATCACCTAGTTCCTAATTCCTTCTGTGTTTTACTTTCACAGGCTGGTGGTTTGATGCATGTGGTCCTTCCAACTTGAACGGAATGTACTATCCACAGAGGCAGAACACAAATAAGTTCAACGGCATTAAATGGTACTACTGGAAAGGCTCAGGCTATTCGCTCAAGGCCACAACCATGATGATCCGACCAGCAGATTTCTAAACATCCCAGTCCACCTGAGGAACTGTCTCGAACTATTTTCAAAGACTTAAGCCCAGTGCACTGAAAGTCACGGCTGCGCACTGTGTCCTCTTCCACCACAGAGGGCGTGTGCTCGGTGCTGACGGGACCCACATGCTCCAGATTAGAGCCTGTAAACTTTATCACTTAAACTTGCATCACTTAACGGACCAAAGCAAGACCCTAAACATCCATAATTGTGATTAGACAGAACACCTATGCAAAGATGAACCCGAGGCTGAGAATCAGACTGACAGTTTACAGACGCTGCTGTCACAACCAAGAATGTTATGTGCAAGTTTATCAGTAAATAACTGGAAAACAGAACACTTATGTTATACAATACAGATCATCTTGGAACTGCATTCTTCTGAGCACTGTTTATACACTGTGTAAATACCCATATGTCCTGAATTCACCATCACTATCACAATTAAAAGGAAGAAAAAAACTCTCTAAGCCATAAAAAGACATATTCAGGGATATTCTGAGAAGGGGTTACTAGAAGTTTAATATTTGGAAAAACAGTTAGTGCATTTTTACTCCATCTCTTAGGTGCTTTAAATTTTTATTTCAAAAACAGCGTATTTACATTTATGTTGACAGCTTAGTTATAAGTTAATGCTCAAATACGTATTTCAAATTTATATGGTAGAAACTTCCAGAATCTCTGAAATTATCAACAGAAACGTGCCATTTTAGTTTATATGCAGACCGTACTATTTTTTTCTGCCTGATTGTTAAATATGAAGGTATTTTTAGTAATTAAATATAACTTATTAGGGGATATGCCTATGTTTAACTTTTATGATAATATTTACAATTTTATAATTTGTTTCCAAAAGACCTAATTGTGCCTTGTGATAAGGAAACTTCTTACTTTTAATGATGAGGAAAATTATACATTTCATTCTATGACAAAGAAACTTTACTATCTTCTCACTATTCTAAAACAGAGGTCTGTTTTCTTTCCTAGTAAGATATATTTTTATAGAACTAGACTACAATTTAATTTCTGGTTGAGAAAAGCCTTCTATTTAAGAAATTTACAAAGCTATATGTCTCAAGATTCACCCTTAAATTTACTTAAGGAAAAAAATAATTGACACTAGTAAGTTTTTTTATGTCAATCAGCAAACTGAAAAAAAAAAAAGGGTTTCAAAGTGCAAAAACAAAATCTGATGTTCATAATATATTTAAATATTTACCAAAAATTTGAGAACACAGGGCTGGGCGCAGTGGCTCACACCTATAATCCCAGTACATTGGTAGGCAAGGTGGGCAGATCACCTGAGGTCAGGAGTTCAAGACCAGCCTGGACAACATGGTGAAACCCTGTCTCTACTAAATAATACAAAAATTAGCCAGGCGTGCTGGCGGGCACCTGTAATCCCAGCTACTCGGGAGGCTGAGGCAGGGAGAATTGCTTGCACCAGGGAGGTAGAGGTTGCAGTGAGCCAAGATCGCACCACTGCACTCCAGCCGGGGCAACAGAGCAAGACTCCATCTCAAAAAAAAAAAAAAAAAAAGAAAGAAAAGAAAATTTGAGAACACAGCTTTATACTCGGGACTACAAAACCATAAACTCCTGGAGTTTTAACTCCTTTTGAAATTTTCATAGTACAATTAATACTAATGAACATTTGTGTAAAGCTTTATAATTTAAAGGCAATTTCTCATATATTCTTTTCTGAATCATTTGCAAGGAAGTTCAGAGTCCAGTCTGTAACTAGCATCTACTATATGTCTGTCTTCACCTTACAGTGTTCTACCATTATTTTTTCTTTATTCCATTTCAAAATCTAATTTATTTTACCCCAACTTCTCCCCACCACTTGACGTAGTTTTAGAACACACAGGTGTTGCTACATATTTGGAGTCAATGATGGACTCTGGCAAAGTCAAGGCTCTGTTTTATTTCCACCAAGGTGCACTTTTCCAACAACTATTTAACTAGTTAAGAACCTCCCTATCTTAGAACTGTATCTACTTTATATTTAAGAAGGTTTTATGAATTCAACAACGGTATCATGGCCTTGTATCAAGTTGAAAAACAACTGAAAATAAGAAAATTTCACAGCCTCGAAAGACAACAACAAGTTTCTAGGATATCTCAATGACAAGAGTGATGGATACTTAGGTAGGGAAACGCTAATGCAGGAAAAACTGGCAACAACACAATTTATATCAATTCTCTTTGTAGGCAGGTGATAAAAAATTCAAGGACAAATCTCATTATGTCATTGTGCATCATATATAATCTCTTATGAGCGAGAATGGGGGGAATTTGTGTTTTTACTTTACACTTCAATTCCTTACACGGTATTTCAAACAAACAGTTTTGCTGAGAGGAGCTTTTGTCTCTCCTTAAGAAAATGTTTATAAAGCTGAAAGGAAATCAAACAGTAATCTTAAAAATGAAAACAAAACAACCCAACAACCTAGATAACTACAGTGATCAGGGAGCACAGTTCAACTCCTTGTTATGTTTTAGTCATATGGCCTACTCAAACAGCTAAATAACAACACCAGTGGCAGATAAAAATCACCATTTATCTTTCAGCTATTAATCTTTTGAATGAATAAACTGTGACAAACAAATTAACATTTTTGAACATGAAAGGCAACTTCTGCACAATCCTGTATCCAAGCAAACTTTAAATTATCCACTTAATTATTACTTAATCTTAAAAAAAATTAGAACCCAGAACTTTTCAATGAAGCATTTGAAAGTTGAAGTGGAATTTAGGAAAGCCATAAAAATATAAATACTGTTATCACAGCACCAGCAAGCCATAATCTTTATACCTATCAGTTCTATTTCTATTAACAGTAAAAACATTAAGCAAGATATAAGACTACCTGCCCAAGAATTCAGTCTTTTTTCATTTTTGTTTTTCTCAGTTCTGAGGATGTTAATCGTCAAATTTTCTTTGGACTGCATTCCTCACTACTTTTTGCACAATGGTCTCACGTTCTCACATTTGTTCTCGCGAATAAATTGATAAAAGGTGTTAAGTTCTGTGAATGTCTTTTTAATTATGGGCATAATTGTGCTTGACTGGATAAAAACTTAAGTCCACCCTTATGTTTATAATAATTTCTTGAGAACAGCAAACTGCATTTACCATCGTAAAACAACATCTGACTTACGGGAGCTGCAGGGAAGTGGTGAGACAGTTCGAACGGCTCCTCAGAAATCCAGTGACCCAATTCTAAAGACCATAGCACCTGCAAGTGACACAACAAGCAGATTTATTATACATTTATTAGCCTTAGCAGGCAATAAACCAAGAATCACTTTGAAGACACAGCAAAAAGTGATACACTCCGCAGATCTGAAATAGATGTGTTCTCAGACAACAAAGTCCCTTCAGAATCTTCATGTTGCATAAATGTTATGAATATTAATAAAAAGTTGATTGAGAAAAAGTCTCACGATAACAAGAAATCTGAGTCATTATTCTCATGAGGTCAGATATTTAAATATTATCCTGTTTTTACACATATGAAATATTTTATATATATATTTTTAATTCCAAGTTTCTAATTTGTGAAGTTTTATAAACAATCCTCTGTAAATATTCCAGACTTTTATTAATTAAAACAGTGAATTAAAAGAAGATGGATCACAAGCCTAAATTCAAAAGCAATCCCTTTGGCTTGTGACTTTGTTTCTAACATTGGCTAATATTTTCAGAAGTCCCCAGAATACACTTGAAATTCCTTCCCAGACTTTGGAAGAGTAAAATGTCCCATAAACAAGCTTTCATCGTCATCATTATCATCATCATTATCCTCTTAGTATTTGAATCCCCACACGGTAAAATGATCAATACAATCTTTTCCTTTTTAATTCAGTAATATTTGAGGTTCTGCAGCCGTCTCTCCTCCAGGACCAAACTCCCTGAAAATCTGTCTCCATACACCAGAAGTTTAGAGCTAAAATAACAAAGCTGGATTATACAATTCATGTTTATTTTATTTATTTATTTATTTATTTATTTATTTATTTAATTTATTTATTTTTTGAGACAAACTCTCACTCTGTCATCCAGGCTGGAGTGCAGTGGTGCAATCTCAGCTCACTGCAACCTCCACCTCCCAGGTTCAAGCAATTCTCCTGCCTCAGCCTCTTGAGTAGCTGGGACCACAGGCGCCCACCACCACACCTGGCTAATTTTTTTTGTATTTGTAGTAGAGATCGGGTTTCACCGTGTTGGCCAGGCTGGTCTCGAACTTCTGGCCTGAAGTGATCTGCTGACCTCAGCCTCAATGCATGTTATTTAAGGAGATATACTAACAATATGTGAGGCTCCCCACAAGCTCATATAATTAGACCAGAAAATAAAAGGTTAAAATCAAGTTCATTTCAGACAAGAGGCAACGTAAAAGAATAGTACAGTGAGAAATACAACGTACCAGTGACAGAAGCCATGAACCAGCCTTAAAAATGCGTGCGGCATTCAAGTTCAAATATAATCCACATTAAAAAGTCAACTGAATTTAAACAATCTCATGGAGAAAATTTATGTCCTCTAAATTTAGCCGTTTCTAAATGTTAAGAAAACAAAACCATAAGAAGCTAAAGTAGAGTTCTGGTCAGTAAATTAATTAATTTACACAGACATCCCAGGAATTAATATTGCATAGAGATAGGAGAAAACACTAATTCAGTTGTATTAAAACAATCAAATCAGAAATACAGTGTAAACATTTTGCTCTAGTAGTTTCATTGGCCGAACACATCTTTACCTTAATAGAGTGTTCAAAATAGTGAAAATCTACTTTGAAAGAGCACAGGTAAGGCTGTAAGCAAACTTAAAAACAAAAGGTTGGCCCAACATATTTCTTATAAGAAGGGCAGAGTGAATTCAGCATCCGCTGCAACAGGAATTCAGCATCTTGTAGGTGACACATTACATAATGAAAATAGTGTTTTTTACATTTTAATATTATCATTCATAAAACCAAAACCTTGCTGATGAATTTAAATAGGAACTGCATCTGTGAATAGAAACTGCTTTATTTCTTCCTTTCTGATTGCTATGCACATTTTATTTTCCCCCTTATTGCACTGGATGACACTTCCTGTTCAAGGCAGGGAAGGAGCAGTGAGAGCATTGAGAGTTCTTTGAACAAACTTGTAAGGCAGACTTCTTCAGTTTATTGTGGTATAGGACATCATAAAAACCTTAAGTGTTCAACTTAATGTACCTATGTTCAAATCAATGTATCTATTATATTAATGTGTCTATGTTCAAATTAATCTATAGAAAGCACAAGTTTTTTTCTGTATTTGTATTTTTAAAGCCACTTTAGCTTCATAGCAAAATTAAGAGGAAGGTACAGAGAGCTCCCATACACCTCCTGCCGCCACATATGCATTTCGATGTCTCCCACTGGAGTGCTACATGTGTTGTACCCAGTCATCCCGTGTTCACACATCATTATCACCCAAAGTCCACAGTTTACATTACAGTTCCTTATAAGTGAAAAGCATATATTATGATGGAGTACTGGTGCTGGTCAGTGGTTGCAGCTCTTCCCTAAGCTGTTTTCAACTTCCTTTTCTATTTTTTTTAGACAGTCTTCCTCTGTCGCCCAGGCTGGAGTACAGTGGTGTAATCTTGGCTCACTGCAGCATCGTCTCCCAGGTTCAAGTGATTCTCCTGACTCAGCCTCCTGTGTAGCTGAGACTACAGGCGCACATCACAATGCCTGGTTAATTTTTTTCTTTTTTCTTTTTTTTTGTTTTTTTTTGGTAGAGAATGGGGTTTCACAGTGTTGGTCAGGCTGGTCACGAACTCATGACCTCAAGTGATCCACCTGCTTCGGCCTCTCAACGTGTTGGGATTATAGGTGTGAGCCACCGCACCCAGCCCTCTCAACTTTTTATTTCTCAAAGAATAATTACAAATTTCTGACTGATCAAAAGGATTATAGCTAAATATCGGTAAATGTTGCACTTCCAATCAGGACCAATGAAATTAGTTTTTATTCATTAATTAGCTTATTAGTATTTTCTTAACTGCCTAAGAAATTTTCTTCAGCTAAGAACAAAATTTATTCACAAAGTATTTCATAAGCAAAAACACTGAACAAGGTACTCAATTTTTGACTTCTCAAAAAAAATTTAAAGAGGGAAAACAATAAGCAATTATTTCAATGTATAAGTGATGAGAGAAAACTGGGGGTGGGGTGGGGAAGGCAATCTGTAAGAGGGATTTTAAGTTGGGCTTGAAAACATGACCCCATTTAATAATGACTCCCTACTGGGATGGAAAATACAACTGTAACATGAAGCTGGTTTAACTCACTGGAAAGCATTAACGATTGTGTTGAAAACATTTATTAACATTCACAATTTTTGATAGGCAACATTACTGTTAGTCATAACACTACATTTATTCCAAATTTCTAAATAGCCAGCCTTATCCAAGCATACCGCCCACCATAGCTTACCACCCACCATACTGTGAAATTCAACTGCAGTTGTGGTACTAAGAATACCTGTGGGAATGTAACTGGAAAGGAAAAAGGCGGGGGAAGGGGGGCGGGGGGGCTTCCGTGTGGCGAAAGTCAACAATATTCTTTGCATACAAAAGACTCCACATCGTGTAAAACAGGGGTCCTGGTACCAGTCTGTGGCCTATTAGGAACGGGGCCACACAGCAGGAGGTGAGTGGTGGGTGAACCAGTGAAGGAAGCCTCATCTGTATTTACAGCCACTTCCCATTGCTTTAATTACCACCTGAGCTCCACCTCCTGTCAGATCAGCAGTGGCATTACATTCTCATAGAATTGCGAACCCTATTGTGAACTGTGCAGATGAGGGATCTAGGTTGCATGCTCCTTATGAGAATCTAACGCCTGATGATCTGTCACTGTCTCTCGTCACCCCCCGATGGGACTGTCTAGTTGCAGAAAACAAGCTCAGGGCTCCCACTGATTTTACATTACAGTGAGTTGTATAATTACTTCATTATATATTACAATGTAATAATAATAGAAATAAAGTGTACAATAAGTGTAATGTGCTTGAATCATCCCAAAACCATTCCTCCCTCACCCTCCCAACCCCCAAGTCCCTGGAAAAATTGTCTTTCACAAAACTGGTCCTTGGTGCCAAAAAGGTTGGAGACTGCTGGTATAAAATATCACTGATTAATTAAAAATCAAATCTGATAGTTAGAAACTTGTCCCACAGTCGTAAGCCATAGGAATGTAGTTGATTTCAAACAGTTCAAAAGTATGTTTTACATTCCGCTTTACTGGATGATACTTTAGGAGTAAAGTTAGACACATCTTTACTTTAATCACTGAAAGTGATTGGGGTGTTTTTGCCACTATCTCCTCCATCCACCCTTCACTCCACCAACTGTGGTAAAAAGTGTGGTTGTAGGTGTTTATGGAAGGTGTAGAAACACATTATTTATTATAAGCGTAACAAAAGTAATAATTATTAACTTTTTACTAATTTAAGCTGACAAAATTATAAAAATCAAATTACAAAGATTGTTCTCATCAGATTTTATAGATCCTTTGTCTTAGTAGTTAGGGCAATTGATTTTCTCAAACAACATTTATGAGAGTTTGCTAGTTTGTATGCTGTTTTGGATTTTTCTAAAGAAAGAAGAAGATTTGGGATTCTTCCCCAACTAGACAGTGTAACATACTGGTTAAAAGCACAGAATTCAACAACTGGGTTTAAACCAATGTCCATCTTTTTACAGATTTATGACAAGGGGCAGGTTAGTGTTTCTGCCACATGAAGACATTATGCATCATTATTAACTAAAAAAGCACCCATGTAGTTAATGAAATAGTGTAGCAATGAAGTTATTTCTAGGTTATACTGAACTTCAGGAGAAAAAATTGGGGATGTCAATAGTATAATTTTTAACAACAAAATAATAGGGTACTTATGTCCAAAGCATTTTCAAGCCAGAAAATAAAGGTCTAGTCTTCCAAAGAGACCAGCTTGAACTGGCAAAATTTCAAGCCAATAATATCTGTTCCAAAATAAGCTATTCTTCTGTATTTCCAACACATCTCATAACATCAAGAAATGCTTCCTATAATTCCATAAAGTTCTTTTAAAAATACAAACCTATTTAGTAGTTGTAGTGGTGCCTTAAAGCTATTTTCCATATATGACTTTTTTTAAGTGAGGTGAAATTGGCATAATATACAATTAACCATTTTAAAGTGTGCAATTCAATGGCATTTTATATCATGATGCTGTGCAACCAGCTCCTCTTTCTAGTTTCAAAATGCTTTCATCACCCCAGAAAAACATCCTGTACCTGTTAAGTAATCACTCCCCATCCCTCTCTCCCCTCCATCCCTGGTAACTTCTAATTAGTTTTCTATTCTATGGATTTACCTATTCTGGATATACTGTCTGAAAGGAATTATACAACATGTGCTTTTTGTGTCTGGCTCCTTTCACTCGGTGTGTTCAACGTTCATCCAAGTTATACTTTTAATGAAGGCTAGTGATCAGCGTCAAAAATGCTTGTTGAATAATAACGATATTTAATATTTATTGAGTGTTTACTGAGTACTTTATTTAGGTGATCTTTCCATTCTTTTACAGATAAAGAAACTGCCTTACCCAAGGTTACACAGCTACGGTGTAGCAAGGTTAGCAGTGAAATCCACTGCCTTATCCATTAATCTTTTCAAAACACACAGGCCATCAGAGAATGCCCATATCAAGGTTTACAGCTATAGAAGATAAAAAATACTCTCTAGGCTATCTTTGGAAGTAGATGCTAGAAAGAATGTGGGCTATGAATTGAGGAAGAGCTGAATTCAAATTCAAAATTCACCATTTCTGGCAGGATGCAGTGGCTCACATCTGTAATCCCAGTTCCTTGGGAGGCCAAGGTCGGCGGATCACTTGAGGTCAGGAGTTTGAGACCAGCCTGGACAACACGGTGAAACTCTGTCTCTACAAAAAATAAAAATTAGCCAGGTGTGGTGGCATGCACCTGTAATCCCAGCTACTCAAGAGGCTGAGGCACAAGAATTGCTTGAGCCTGGGAGACAGATGTTGCAGTGAGCCAAGATCGTGCCACTGCACTCCAGCCTGGGCAACAGAGCGAAACTCTGTCTCAAAGAAAAAAAAAAAAAATTTACTATTTCCAAGCACTATGACCATGAGCAATTTACTGAAAGTGTTCAAGCCACAGTTTCCACAGAGGATTACTGTCTTGACTAACAGCTTGACGATGTGTAAAACACTGACAAAGTAGCTCCGCATCTCTAAATGTTCCATGTGACTAACATCATTGGGACGCTGTCTCATCTCCACCCCCGAATACGACAGAGATCCCCGGTCATATTTTGTATCCTGGGGACCTAATGCTGGGTCACAGGACTAGCAGCGTGGACCTCACCTCAAGCCTGAGCAGACCCAGACCCACTGAACCAGGATCTGCACTTCAGTAAGATCCCCCAGGTGATCCACACATTAGTAAGGTTTTGAAAAGCACTGCTCTAGCTGTCTCATAAAGAAAGGGGCAGGAAGCTAAATATCTAACACAGCCTATTCAACCAAGAAAGGGAAGATAAGCAATAAAGTACTAAAAGTATATAGTTAAGAACCCATTTCCCTTTTAGAAGACATTGACCGATAGAGACTGAATTCCAGGTGGTGAGAGGGAAAACAAGCTGCATGTTGACCTAGGCTTGAATATTCTTATGAAAAAGCTCACCTCAATTGAACACAAACATTTAAGTTCAATTTATTCTCCTTGCATTCTACCTAATCCTTTCCAGTTTTCAAAAATGAAAATGGGTGATTCTCGATGTTAAGGCTTAACTGCTCAGTAATATTCACTTTATAAATACAGCTAAGCAATGACCAGGAAAACCCAGCATGTCACCACTGTACTCACATGTGAAGTCCAAACATCTTTATAAATAACTAAGTGCGTACTTCTCTTATCAAAAGGAAAACAAAGAAATAAATATAACAAATTCCAATGCAACTAAAATAAACAGCAGAAACATCACTTCACTGTATGAAAACACAGCAGAAATTATTACCAACACAGACAATAAACCAAATATTATGGCTACTAAGAGCAATCACTATTTTTTGTTCACATTAAGGGCAAAAGCACTTGACTCTGCCATAGCCTCCCTAGAGCCACGTACCAGGAAGTAGACAATAGTATTTACATGGCAAAGCGCAGTATGCAGTCTCTGTACTACCCAAGAGTACAATAATTTAACAATAATCCTTATCAGTTAATCAATTAATTACTTAACTCAATCAATAATTCAATAATGAAAGATTATTAATTTTATAATATTAAATAATTATTATTAATATTTATTTGATAATTTAATATAAAATATTTATTTTTAAAAAAATTTTAAATTTTAATATTCTAAAAATTTAATATTAACTATTTAATATTAATATTATTAAATAATTGTTATTAATGATGAATAGCATAGAAATATGCTATTTCTATAGCATAGAAAACCTTGGCAATAATATTCAGGACACAGGCATGGACAAGGACTTCATGTCTAAAACACCAAATGCAATGGCAACAAAAGCCAAAATTGATAAATGGGATCTAATTAAACTAAAGAGCTTCTGCACAGCAAAAGAAACTACCATCAGAGTGAACAGGCAACCTACAGAATGTGAGAAAATTTTTGCAATCTACTCATCTGACAAAGGGCTAATATCCAGAATCTACAAAGAACTCTAACAAATTTACAAGAAAAAAACAACCCCATCAACAAGTGGGCGAAGGATATGAACAGACACTTCTCAAAAGAAGACATTTATGCAGCCAACAGACACATGAAAACATGCGCATCATCACTGGCCATCAGAGAAATGCAAATTAAAACCACAATGAGATACCATCACACACCAGTTAGAATGGCGATCATTAAAAAGTCAGGAAACAACAGGTGCTGGAGAGGATGTGGAGAAATAGGAACACTTTTACATTGCTAGTGGGACTGTAAACTAGTTCAACCATTGTGGAAGTCAGTGTGGCGATTCCTCAGGGATCTAGAACTAGAAATACCATTTGATCCAGCCATCCCATTACTGGGTATATACCCAAAGGACTATAAATCATGCTGCTATAAAGACACATGCACACGTGTGTTTACTGTGGCACTATTTACAATAGCAAAGACTTGGAACCAACCCAAATGTCCAACAATGATAGACTGGATTAAGAAAATGTGGCACATATACACCATGGACTACTATGCAGCCATAAAATATGATGAGTTCATGTCCTTTGTAGGGACATGGATGAAGCTGGAAACCATCATTCTCAGCAAACTATCACAAGGACAAAAAAACCAAACACCGCATGTTCTCACTCATAGGTGGGAATTGAACAATGAGAAGACATGGACACAGGAAGGGGAACATCACACACCAGGGCCTGTTGTGGGGTCGGGGGAGTGGGGAGGGATAGCATTAGGAGATATACCTAATGCTAAATGACGAGTTAATGAGTGCAGCACACCAGCATGGCACATGCATACATATGTAACAAACCTGCATGTTGTGCACATGTACCCTAGAACTTAAAGTATAATAAAAAAAAAAGAATACTAGAAAAAAAAATACATGTTCTGAGCAATGCTTTTAAAGCTAATTGTCCTTCTGTCCTAATAATAATCTTTAGCAGCTAAAAAAAAAAAAAAAAAGAAAGAAACCATAGACTCTACTTCTGTTTATCGAAGTAAGTGGTAGGTGTATTCTCCATAAGTGAGACATTATTCTGGAATTGTGTAAATTATTCACCAAACATTGCAAAGCACTCTGACTTCTCAGAAATACTTTAATTGTATGGCAAAAAAATTAAATTGTCTTTTCAACTGACTCATGATCTCAATTTAAGTTTATTTGCTAGGAGAGATTTTAAGAAATGTATGACACTATTTGGTATGTGGCCACCTTTTTGCCATACTACTTTGAAAGTTTAATAAAACCAATGCTTCAAAAGTAAAAAAAAAATTTTTTTTGATAAATTTTATTTTTTAAATTTTAAATTTTAATATTCTAAAAATTTAATATTAAGTATTTAATATTAATATTAAATAATTGTTATTAATGATTAATAGCATTATTGATATTATATTATTAATATATACAATGCTTGTTAAATTATTAACTTAGGCACAACTTCAATATTCTGGCAGAGAAACTTTCTTTCAGAAACAAGAACCCAAGAAAAAGAACTAAAAAACAGCTCTATTATGAACCTATGGCAAGCTGTTACTCTAGCTGACAAAACCGCATTACATAATTCTCATTCTCTGGTTAAGGACAGCCTAACAAATTTTCTGTATGAGATTTTCCTATGAAATTCATTTCATTTGGAATTCCTATTCAATTCATTGGAAATTAATTTTAGGAGAAAGGCATTAGGTGGATCATACATCAAAAGTATCAGGTAGCAAAATGTACAATGTCGTCAAATATAGCTTTGAAAAAAGTACAACAGTTTCCTAAAATCTAGTATTTCTTACATCAGCTCTCTTCAAAAGCTAACATTGTCCCTAAAACCGAATTCACAGAGGGTGCTTACACACAGACTGTAAGAGAAGTATGATGTTCCTTGGAAATCATTTTAACTTGGGGATAGAGTTTAGAAGCCTTGAAATAACAGATTGTTAACAATGTCCCCAAAGTCCCTGAGGAACATCTAAATGACATCTAAATGATGGACAGCTGAAGACAGTTTTTGAAGTGACAGATAAAACCAAACCATGGTTGAATTTTCCAATGAATACCTGAAGTTAAAATATTCTGTGCTATTATTTAATATTTACAGTGAGAACTGTGTGATTGAGATGTCAGAAACAAAAGTGAAAGTTCAGATGTCTGGCAGAACACTGCAAAGGTTAAAGTGCACCTTGAGGTATGGTCAAAGCTTGGAATTTGTGCTGCAGTTCAGCATGGACCAAGTTGACGTCCTGGAGGTCTCAGTCATAAGGCAAATGTTGGGGAACTGAGATCTACACTGAAGACCTGTGTTACTTCACAGTTGATCCAAGTTAAAAGAAAAGGAAAGACCAACAGTGTGATCCTTGAAGGCCATGATTTGGAAAAGGATGGGTGGCAACAAGTACCCTCTCGACTTGTTGGTTTTTAGCCTTATCCATTTAAAGTATTTGCCAAATACAGCAACTTTTTCATTAATATACATAATCTTAGTTTACTTTTTAAATTTTTTTTCCCTGATAACTCAGCCAACAGATTCAGATGCTTCCCAAGGCCACACTCAACTCACCATAATGCAACCACATCGCCAAGCACTAGGACGATGATCTGTGTTGCAGTTGGCAACACGAGAAGGCTCGAGTCACACTTCACAGTGCCCCATTCGCTGCCAACCAATCTCTCTGATGTAGCAGCAGCATTATGTCTAGGAATAACATATCAGCAATATGTCTGATAATAATCCCTAACTCAGCAAATCGCACCATTACACATAACCCTAGTGCTTCCACTGCTTTATGTACCATTGACTCTTCAACTGTCTTAGTCATTGGATTCATCCTGCTTTTTTCAAGGTCTCTGACAACATCCACCTGAAGAAATCAAACAGTGGCTTCTGTCTCCTCTTATTCACCTTCCAGCAGCACTCAGCACAGCTGAGCATCCTTCCTTCCTGAGACAGTCCCCCTTCTGACTGATGCCATGTTCCCCTGGTGTCTCCCCCAGGTTGCTAGCTAGCCGTTCCCGGGTCCCCCTGCCTCCCCCTTCCCCCTGACTTCTGCATAGGGGCACAGCCCAGAGATCAAACCTAAACTCACTGTTTTCTTCATTTCTTCATTCACACTCCCTTCCAGGTACCATGGCTGGAGTGAATAGTTAACCTTTCCTCTGAATATTTGTACATATATATAATCTGATATGTAGTATCTCTATTTGAATGTCCAGTAGGAATCTCAGACCTAATATGCCTACATCAATTTTTTATTGTACCCCAAACCTTGCACACAATCTTCTGCCCCAGAATTCCCTAACTCTGCAAATGGCACCATTATCTATAGTTAGTCGCCCCAGGAAAAAATTTGGGTGGGAGTCTTCTTGACTTCTCCATTCCCACACACCTGACGTTACAGATTCCACTAGATCTTCCTAGGAAGGGCGCCGACCTGCTCTCTCCTCTCCACCTATCAACCCCCCCTCTAGACACAGCCGCAGTCATTTTTCACCTCGATGACCCTAGCTGCCTCCTGCTTCTCACCCTGTTCTTACCTCCCTGCAATCCATTCTTTGCTGAGAGGCCACAGAGACAAAAGCTGCCACTCTGTAATTAAAATAGTCCGATGGCTTCTGCATCCCTCGTCTTGAACTACACAGCCATACTGGGGCCCTACAGCCTTCTCCAACACCTGTCCTCCTCACTCCCGGTGCCTCAGGTATTTCTCTTTCTTGCAAAGGTGCAGCCTTAGGACCCGGGCACTGCCTTTTCTGTGCCAGGTGCATTAAGTAGATTCTGTTTAGCACCTTTCGAAAATTAAAAAATATTAATGTAAAAATTTGAAAATGGTGATCAAACTTTATTTCTAATCAAGCCTGTGGTTGCATCTCAGGGTGACTCCACAGTCTTCTCCCACTAAAAAAATCACTTTGACTCTTTCAAACTTTAACATCAGTCATTCTTAGCACTCACAGGTTTCTCCACATCTTTCCAAATGTCCTCCTAGAGGGCAGCACCACAGCCCTCAATTTTACAGATGAATCACTTTTTGGTATCTGTCCTCAATCAGCAGATTATGGTCCTGGGAAGCACAGCGGCTCCAACCTGGGAAATGCGCACCTTGGGGTCTTGCCAGGAGCAGCAGACAGGGGGATGGAGGACCTAGACCGCAGCGCCTGCTTCCCATGCTCCCAGCGGCCAGAGGCCACGCTGCCGCAGCCTGCAGGAGCCTCCGCAGAGAATGAGCTCTGGCACTGCTCAGGAACCACCTCAAGTGAAAGAAGCAGACAAACTCTGTGGGTTCTATGTCTGGGCAAAACCAGAATCCATTATTTTAATCAGGAAAAAGTATAAATTAGGTGTCCTGGAGATAAATGTAAGACCATAGTCACTGCCTTAAAACAATGCCTTGACAGAGATGTGTTTCTAAGATCCACGTTCAAGTCAGACAAGCTATTTTTGCCCAGAGTCTCCATCACTAAATTCACTAATTATTTGCAGCGTCCTTCTCGGCTGCAAAAATGTTCTGTCAGGATCCAGTGAGACAGTGCATGTGAAAACACTCTGTGAAGTATAAAGTCCTTTACCAAGGTATAATCTGTAGCAGGATAAAAAGGACTTTGAAATCAAGCCGTGAAAGTTCAGAGACCCAGGCCTGAGATCCTAGTCAGCTTGCAAGTGCGAGCAATAAATGTCTGCCAGAGAGACCTGAAGGGCACCCTCAGAAACTCAGTGTCAGTGTGACACACCAAGTACAATGTCCCTGAAGATTCTTCCTAACATGAGTTATGAAGTTAATCTGCCAACTGAAAGTTAAAAAGAGAATGGTTTTTCAAGATGATCCCTTTTGAACAGACTTAGGAATGCAGGGTGATGAACTAACACCAGTGAAAAGCTGAGATTCCAGTTCTGGTTCTCCCATGAGTTATAATTTTAGGAGAGCGGCTCAGCATTTCTTTAATGTAAAATGAGAGGCGTGAACGGAATGAACTGAGTGTGTTATTCTAACAGTTCATTGATTCTATGCTCACCACTGATAAAAACATATCTCATCTGACTCACTGCTTACTAAGTTCAATGTGGATCACATTATCTCAAGAAAATAGTCATCATGAAATCATTTTTGATTAAGAAAACACTAGATTATCTGTTGATAGTTAGCGGCCTTGACATTTTGTTGTAAAGCTGATTTAGCTTTTAAGCCCTACACTTGTATTTATAAGTGAATTAGCTTTAAATCTCTATTATCAGATCCTTTTCATAAGCTGTTCAGAATCAAAATATTAAAATCTGAATACAGGCTGAGTTATTCCTCACTGTGCTGGACAGAGTGACACGGAGTGGTAGCTGGAAAAAGGGAAGACTGAATCACAGGACACTCTGCTTGTATGTTAGCATCCACAAAAGGGTTTCGAGGGAAAGTAGAATTTTAGACAAGTCACAGGAAAGTGCAGGAATCATCAAATTAAGTGAGAGTGGGATAAAGAGTATTTAAAGGTTCAAATTGTGCTATGCTTGAACAACACATAACAAAACAATGTGAGTCTAAAGGGACACTTTGGTCAAATTAATTTCTTTATTTTTCTGTTGTGTTACTTCCTGTCTCCCATAAATAGGAAGCTCGGCAACTCCTGGCATGGTTTTCTATTTCCATGTATCTGCCAGACAATTCAGTCATGAAGGAGGAAAAACATAAATTATTCTCTTTCCTGAAAACAGTAGCGCTAACACTGGAGGTGTGAACTGCTGTAAACATGGAAAAATTGCCAATAAACTTCTCAAAAATATTAAGTCAAAATTCAAACTGAACTTTGTTATAAAATCGCCACAGTTTCTGATAAGACTAGCTGGGCCACATACAACCATCTAATTCTGAAGAACTGCTACAAATCTCCTTTACAAGAAATTTCCAGAGAATACCACACAAACCCTGAAATAAAAACATGCTCAGCAGTGTTTTTCTTGGAGGCCAGTTTATACTGCTAGCCAAAGAGAATATTTTAAGAATCCCCCAACTACATTGGAGACAGGGTTAGAAGGAGGAGGACGAGAGAGCGAGAGAGCGAGAGTGCCAGAGAGAGAGAGAGAGAGAGAGAGAGAGAGAGATTCCTTGTACACAAAGTCAATGTATATAATATATGATATGGATACTTTAAATCTTGACCCTAAAAGAAATTGGAACTGTGAAGTTTATATCTGAAGTTATATGCAAGACATAGATAAATATTAAAGTGGGTGCTAAGCTTTAAAAATTATGTAGAATGGCTTTGTAAATGGTGGTGGCAACTATCCTCTCTCAAATTTCTTATGTTTGTACTATTCAATTTATTTAAAAGTTAAAGGAGGGGGGCCATGCAAGAAGCAGCAGTCATCTTTGTCTTCTTGAAGACTGAGATGAACAGAGAAAGTGACTCGGCTTGTTTCTAAACTTTTTGAGGGTGCAAGTCAGGAGCAACCTGTGAACATCAATACTCCTGTTGTGCCAGCGAGAGTCATCGTGGTTACCATTGCGGTTACCATTGCGTTTACCTTGTAATCACACAAACATATATTTATATCTGTTTGTGTCATTTATATATGTGTGATATACCTGACTGCCATCATGGTTACCTTGTAATCACACAAACAGATATTTCACCTGAAGCCATAGGCCACCTGAGCCTTCGCAATCTCCCAAGAGTTGATACTATTAACAAATAGCGACATCATCAGTAAGGCAAGGGCAATACAGACATACATTTGTGACGTTTTGCCATGAATGAGGGGAAAAAAAGGTAGCACAGAGGGCAAAGAGCAATTTAGAGAAAGTTATGTTTTTAAATTCTTTTCATTTTTTTTTTAAGATAGAAAAGCTGGGATGAAGCTTCAGTGCTAACAGGAAGTATAGGTACAGAGGCAGCAGTTGAAGGTACAGGAGCCTGTAAACTTCAGCACACAGAAGGAAACCTAGTTCTGAAACCAAGACACTAGCCCGGTCCTACCAGTGCTCAAACATCTCCATTTGGAAAGCACGTTAGATATGTAAGATATACTTTTTTTTTTTTGAGACAGAGTCTCACTCTGTCACCCAGGCTGGAGTGCAGTGGCGTGATCTCGGCTCACTGCAACCTCCTCCCTCCAAGTTCAAGCGATTCTCCTGCCTCAGCCTCCTGAGTAGCTGGGATTATAGGCACCTGCCACCGTGCCCAGCTAATTTTTCTATTTTTAGTAGAGACGGAGTTTCACCATCTTGGCCAGGCTGGTCTTGAACTGCTGACCTCGTGATCCACACGCCTCGGCCTCCAAAAGTGCTGGGATTACAGGCATGAGCCACTGCACCCCGCCTAGATATTCTTCTTAATTTAAATTTAGAAACAATAAGATTTACTCGTGTGTGCATATGTGTGTACAGTTCTCTGTGTTTTAATACATGGATTCTGTAACCATTGCCACTAACAACACAGCACAATTCCAATGCCCCAAAGATGTGACAGCTGCTATTGTTCTGCAGAGGCAGATGCTACTCCCACCTTAATGCGCGGCAACCACTCATCTGTTCTCCTTCCCTATAGTTTGGCCTTGTCTAGAATGACAAAGAAATGGCCTTATACAGCATGTGACCTTCTGAGACCAGCTATTCAACTTGGCATGATGCCCCTGAGAGTCATGCAAGCTGCTGTACCTATCACCATTCCTTTCGACTCCTGAGTGACACTCCACAGTATGGTTGGTCCAGCTGGTTGATCCATTCACCCACTGGAGGGACAGCTGTGCTGTTTCCAGGTCCAGCTGATGATAAGTAAGGCTGCTACAAATATTCGCGTACAGACTCTGTGTGAACACAAGCTTTCATTTCTCCGAGGCAAATATCTGGGAGTGGGACTGCTGAGTGGACATTTAGCTTTCTGTGAAACTGTCAAACTGTTTCTCAAAGCGGCTGGACCACTTCCCACACACACCAGCAGCCGTTCCAGCTGCCCTGGCTCCTTGCTAGAGTGCGACTGTTATTTTTTCTTTTAGCCATTCTAATGGATATGTAGTGGATCTCACTATATTTCTGAAGTGAGCAATAATGATGAGCATCTTTTTAGATGCTTATTTGCCATCTGTGTGTCCTCAGTAAACTGTCTATTCAAATCTTTTCTTTGCCATTTTTTGTTTGAGCTGTTCTGTTTTCTTATTGTTCAGTATTAAGAGTTCTTTATATATTCCAGACATAAATCTTTTGTCAGATATAAGATTTGCAAACGTTTTCTTCTGATCTCTTCATAATATCTTTCACAGAGTAAAAGCTTTCAATTTTGATGAAATCTAACTTATCTATGTTTTCTGTTATTCATCATGCTTTTGGTGTATCTAAGAACTCTTTGCCTACACCAAGATCATTTTTCTTGTATGTTTACTTATAGAAGTTTTATACCTTTAAATTTTGTCTATGATCCATTTGGAGGTAATTTTTGTGGCTCGTGTAAGGTATAGAATGAGGTTCTCCCTTCCTTCCTCCTCTCCTCTCCTTTTCTTTTCTTTTCTTTGACAGGGTGTCTCTCTGTCACCCAGGCTGCAGTGCAGTGGCATGGTATTGGCTCTTTGCAACCTCCATCTCACCGGTTTAAGTGATTCTTGTGCCTCAGCCTCCTGAGTAGCTGGGATTACAGGCAGGTGCCACCATGCCGAGCTAGTTTTTTTATTTTTGGTAGAGACGGGGTTTCACCATGTTGGCCAGGCTGATCTCCAATTCCTGACCTCAGGTGATCCACCCAAAGTGTTGGGAAGGTTCCTTTTCTTGATTGTGTATGTCCAACTGCTCCAGCACCACTTGTTCAAAAGACTGAATTTCTCCACTGAATTGCCTTCATGCCTTTGTGAAAACCCATGGGATGTATTTTGGGGGTCTATTTCTGGATTCTCTGTCTGTTCTGTGTGTCCACCAATACCACACTGCCTTGAGGACCACAGCTTGAAAGGATGCCCCAAAAGCAGGTAGTGCCAGTCCTCCTCCTTGTTCTTTCCTTTCTAAATTGTTTTGGCTATTCTGGCTCCTTAATATCTCCATAGAAATTTTAGAACCAGTTTGTCTGTATCTTGAAAGAGTCCACTGAGATTTTGAATGAGAATGTGTTAAATCTATACATCATTTTGGGAAGAAGTGACATGTTCACTGTACTATGTCTTCTAATCCATGAACATTGTATGTCTTTTAATATATTTAGTTCTTTGAGCTTTAAAATCAGTATTTTGTAGTTTTCAGCACACAGATCCTGCACTTATTTTATTAGCTTTATACTGAAGTTTCAATGGAATTCTTGCATCTGGATGACTTGCTCAACTCAGCTGTCACCTCTAATTGCTGTTTTGTAGATTGCTTGTGACTTGTCTACATAGAAAATTGTGTGGTTTATAAATAGAGATAACTCTATTTCTTCCTTTCTAACCTACATGCCTTTTATTATCTTTTCTTGTCTGATTGCCTTGTACCTCATTCATTCACTTATGTGTCTGAGTGCCCCAGGTTCTTCCCTCCAGGCAAGGAGTCTAGACTAAAGGTGAGAAGTTTATTAAATAATGTGTTTTAATGCCCACCTTTATCATATCAGGTAATCCCAGAAGAGATACAATAACCTAAAATTTCACCCAGTTCTGTTTCTATGTATGATTAGCTGTGGAGTACTAGCAGAACACTGAGCAGAGACATGCAGACAACCAGGGAGCAGGTCTCTATCCATGTCGACAGCAAAGGCAGTACGTTCTCACGTCTGACCTCTATGGACTGCTCCAAGTCCCAGAAGAATAAGTTGGGTAAGGAATCCTGTACAGATGCATATCCTTAGAAATAACATTTTTTCCTCCAAAACCTGAGGGAAGGGAGAGTAGTCAGATGAAGACACAGAGACGATTTGAATTGGAGAGAAATAAAACACAGAACTCATTCACTGATGCTAGAGTTATTAAAGAGACAGTAGTCCACCCTATCCAAAGGGGGCACAGTCCGTGGCCCCCTGGGGGATGCCTAAAACTGTGGATAGTTCTGAACCCTATATATATAGTATGCACAGTTTTTTCTCCTTCTTCACAATTTCACAGGTCAAAGAGTCATTTTTTCCATAGATTTTAGCTACGTCAGCATACCATTTTTCTTTCCATATTAAGTGGACAACGTTCACCTTTTCACTTAAAGAAAGCACCTTGGAGCTCCTCTTTGGCATATCAAAGTTGTCAGCATCAATACTCTTGTGCTTGGGGAACATTATTAGGCCAAATAAGGGTTCCTTGAAGACAAACACTGCAAAATCACGAGATTCTATCTGATAACCAAGATGGCTACTAAGTGAGGGCAAGCAGCACCTACTCCATGCACAGGCTGGACTGAAGGACGATTCACATCCCAGGGAGAATGGAGCCAGATAACCTGAGATTTCTTCATGCTAGTCAGAAAAGAATGCATTTAAAGACTTATAAATTGTTATTTTCTGGGATTTCCCATTTAATATTTTCAGACCATGGTACCTGAAACTACACAAAACAAAACCCTGGATGAGAGGGGCACTACTGTCTTTCATCCAAATAAACATAAAGCAGTACTAATATATAATCAGGTAAGGTGATCCCCCATTGCCACCAATGCAAATGAACAGTGCTTACTTTTGGAATTTCAACGTTTTCCACTTCACAACTAGAAGCACTAATCTCTTTAACCTCTGTCACAACACGGAAAAAAGACGACGGCCATTCTTGAAAATACATGTGTAGCTTTTGCATGTTATAATTCTACTGGTTTAAATGAACACAGTATGAGTATGAATAGAATACATTCTTGGGAGAGGAGGAGGGAAGACGGATACCACAGATGCAGAATGGTAACATACGTAACAAGTGATGCTACTGTCACCAGAAAGGAATGCTTTGGAGCAACCTTAGGTTGAGGATGAAAGTAATAATAGAACCAATAACAGTTCATTTCAGTTTTTATGAATAACGAAAATAATTATGTATTTTTAAAAGCTATCTTTAATCTACAGAAACAAGGGCAAATAATGTTACAGATAGATATACATAGGATAAAACCTATCCAAATGGGATTAAAAGAACATCCTTCATCCTAAGTAAATCCATCTGTACAAACAATCACTGAATTATTTTGGCTCTGCAAACCACCACCACCACAGCTCACAATGTTTCTTGGTCACACATAGAGGAAAGCTCTTTGACTGTGAGAACATGCATCTTGCGTTTCTTTCAGCATCTTTGTAATCTTGCTTCTGCTTTATCTTAGAGGCTACTCACTTCCTGCTCTCTACCCTCCCCGTCCTCCTGTTGCCCCAGAACTTGGCCCTGGTTGAAGGGTAGCAGCCCACGGGAGACCAACAGGAGGAAAGACGGGTGTTCCCAGCTCACAGGAAAGTGTGCAGATCCACAAGGGTGCACGCCGGCCTGAGTGCTGATGTCGGCACCTCAGGGTGACCCACTCTATCAAAATGCCTTGTTTTAAAATACGCAGTTCACACACAGGGCTTACCCAATCATAAGAGAGAACCCAGCAGCCACGCGCAATTCCCAGCAGCACATTCAGGGTGCGAAGTGGCTTCCCGGAAAGCACGTGAGTCGTGGTCTCACAGACGTCTGGTGCAATTGAAAAGCCTTTCAATTTATCCACAACCTGGATGACGACATTCTGCTTTCTGTCAAATCGGGGGAAAAATTAACAAAATGAATGACTTTGTTGCACATGCCCATCAAAGCAGTTACACTCAATATTAGTACTAATAAAACTAGAAAGCCAAAATTTGAAACTGATTTTGGTTATGGTACGTATATCTTAACTGACTTATAATCAATGCTTTGAAACCTGGGGAAATAAACTTCAGATCTCAATTCTATTTTAATGGCTGAGAAGACAAGCCCACAGGCTGTCAATGGCTTCCCACAGTGGCTGGGCTGGGTAGGGACAGAGCCAGCATCAGAAACCAGGCCCCTGGCTGGGCGCGGTGGCTCACACCTGTAATCCCGGCACTTTGGGAGGCCGAGGCGGGTGGATCACCAGGAGTTCAAGATCAGCCTAGCCAACATGGTGAAACCCCGTCTCTACTAAAAACTACAAAAATTAGCCAGGCGTGGTGGCACGCGCCTGTTGTTCCAGCTACTCAGGAGGCTGAGGCAGACAGAATAGCTTGAATCCGGGAGGTGGAGGTTGCAGTGAGCCGCGATCGTGTCACTGCACTCCAGCCTGGGCGACAGGGAGAGACTCCGTCTCAAAAAAAAAAAAAGAAAAAAAGAAAAAAGAAAAAAAGGAACCAGGCCCCTGACATCAGACCAACACTCTTCCCACTGGGGCAATGATTTGTTTTTCAGGCCTATTTGAACCTATCTGTGCATGCTCAGAACCAAGAACCTCACTTATTTTATTTTGAAAATGTAATATTTATTGAGTATCAACACATAGTTTTTCTACTAAGAGGGGAAAAAAGACCCTTTTTATTAAATCATCAAATCAAATCTGGGACCTATTTGTCACAAAGCTCATGACCATTATGGCTTATCTCCTGCTCTGTCATTCCCTTAATACTTAAAATATCCTTTAAAAAAATATATTCTTTCCGTCCAACTTCCTTACCAAACAACCCTCAGTTCTTTCTTCCCTTTTATAATAACCTTTCTATGCCATTAGTTCTGACATTAGTTTTCTCTCTCTCCCAGAAAATTTAAAAAATCCCCAATGGAGGGCTTTCTAAGCCACACTGTGATATATACAACAACATGGTGAAACGCTGTCTCTACTAAAAAAACAAAAAAATTAGCCGGGCGTGGTCGCGGGTGCCTGTAGTCCCAGATACTCAGGAGGCTGACGCAGGAGAATGGCGTGAACCCGGGAGGTGGAGCTTGCAGTGGGAGGAGATTGCGCCACTGCACTCCAGCCTGGGTGACAGAGGGAGACTCTGTCTCAAAATAAATAAATAAATAAATAAATAAATAAATAAATAAATAAATAAATAGAAAAAGAAATAAACATCTCTCCTCTCCAAAAATTATATTACAAAGGGGAAGAGGTTATTGTCTATGCTTATACAGACTGCCTCTAACACTCTTCCTTCCAAATGATGGTGTTCCTTAGTTTTATTTTATTGTTTTGAGACAGGGTCTCACTCTGTTGCCCAGGCTGGAGTGCAGTGGTACAATCATGGCTCACTGCATCCTTGATCTCCAGGGCTCAAGTGATCCTCCTGCCTTATCCTCCCAAGTAGTTGGGACTATAGGCAATTCACCACCAAGTCTGGCTAACTTTTGCATTTTTTTGTAGACACAAGGTTTTGCTATGTTGCCCAGGCTGGTCTTGAACTCCTAGGCTCAAACAATATGTCCACCTGGGACCCTCAAAGTGCTGGGATTATAGCCGTGAACCAACACACCCAGCCTTCTTAGTTTTATCTCTAGTGATCTTAGGTATGTCCATCTCAAAACCTGTTTCTTTATCTGTAAAATGAAAGGGCTGAATTATATCATGCTTTTAAATTCTTAAGAGATCCTTAGGGTAGAAAAGATGTGTGAGTCAAGATCTGGGCCTCATCACTACTTCAACCCGAGAATGTGTGCTTGAGTCAAGAAAAATAATTAAACTTGGAAAGAAATAAAGGCAAAAATGATAAAAGAAAACAAAAACAAAAACAAAAAGTAAAAAGCTCTAAACTACACACTCCCTAGAACTCCATCCTGAGGCTGGCAGCTGCTTGCTGGATGTGCCAGTAAGTAACAAGTGTCTCTGCAAGGCTCAGCTAATCCACATAAAATCAGAATGTCCAGGTCTTATTCTTAAGTATCACAAGAAGTCCATGTGGAGAAAAAAAGAGTAAGACAAGAAGACGGCCTAAATGAAAAGTTTTATTTTTAAATCTTGAATGAGAAAATAAGCAGTTAACTAGTAATTTTTCTTTTATTTTGGAAAAATACAAAGACTTTAAAAAATATTACACATATATTCAATATTCGCTTCTGTATTAGACTATTTAGAATGTTCAATATATTTCATAATATATTTACAAAAATTTTGAGTGACCCCCTTTTTCACTATATAATGTATGGTGTTTGATGATCAGTGCTTTTATTTCTAAGCCCCAGGCAGGAAAAGGATCCCACTACTGAAAATGTTCTAAAGGTGCCCTCTCTGCAGCATATTTTTCACTGAAATGTTCCAATGTTTTGATGGATGTCTTAAAACCTTAAAACCTATGATTGATATCAAAAACATGGTTTTCCCCTTTAAACAGGAATTCAAAAATCTGTTGCAAAGAATATAGCACTGTATTTTTGTTGGATGTTCTTTGTTGTGTTAAATGTTTAAGGGAGATGATAAGAGCATGCCAACAAGCTATTAACCCTTCCACAAAATGCATACATAGCAACTTTAACACTGCTGTGGAAAGCTTTCTGCTGCAGTATTGCTTTAAGACCTTTAAGGGAAATGTTTTGGTCAATGATGTTCCACTTCTTGAACATTCATGAAGCTATTTGGTATCAAGCAAGCAAAAGAACACCAAAACGAGCACACACCTCTTAATGCTGCCTAAACAACCCCAGAGTTTTCAAGGCTAAGTCGCTCACATTTGGTACATGTTTAATTTTCAGTGATCTTCTAACTCAGATATTAATTTTATAAAGTAAAAGTGATACAGGACAGATTGACAAGTTGCCTAAAGGCACCCAGAATTAGAGTATAAGAGAGAAAAGGTTAACATTTTACATTGAACAGAAATCAAAACAAGTACTTACTCAGATGGCATGCTTGTCATGACTAATGTTCTTGTTGGCTAGAGATTTCAAACAAGAAGGAACAAAAAACAGTCAAAAACATAAAAAATATTTTTCCCACAGAAATAAACTGTAATAAGTTTTTTGAAAAGTTACATCACTTAAAAATAAACATTTAAGCATATGTCAAAGAAAAAAAACCTTTATATTCCTGGAAAAAACAGGCCAAGAGATAGAAACTCAGATACTGTCCCCAAAGCAATCCAAAATAATCCAGACATGAGGTACAAGAGCAAAACAAAAAAATTTCCCCCAGGAATCTGTTCCACCAGTTAGCCAGCAGACCTCCAAGTGTGTCAACGTCTTCATGCACTTCAAAGTGAGAAAGGGTAAGAAGGGTGTTTTTGTAGACTCGTCAGCCACTTTTCTCAAGACTTCTAGGCAGCCTCATTCTCATTTCAGACACAGGTGCACAATAATGCTTGTGCTTCTGTTGCACCTGTCAAGTGAATCCCCCACATACAGAAGCATGGATAAGGGAACTTATTTGTTCTATTGACATCTGCTATCAACTGGAATTGAAAAAAATTTAAATAAAATGTTTAATTTTTTTTTTGCTTATCTAAGAAATGCACGCTGACTTGCAAAAAATTTAAATGCTATAGAAATATATAATCAGAAACACAAATTTTCCTGTAATTCCACCAGCTAGAAATGACTATTGTTTAACAATTTGGCAGTATATTCAGCCAAATGTTCACTCTATAGGAGTGTGTGTGTATGTGTATGCATGCATATACATATATAAACAAAAATGAATTCACATTATTCATATACTTTTGTAATTTACATGAAATACTTCAAATGTAACCAACTGTGTAGTATAACCAATATGTCTTGAAAAGTCAAGGTGAAGTAAATGAGAAGGAACAAAAGGCATTTGAAGGACCCCAGGGTTGACGAAAATGACAGACATGAAGCGGTTTGTATACTACGTATTTGGGGAAGGACTGCTGGTTTATAGAGATCTTGTCTCTGTTGGGTGAAAGATAACAGAATCTGATTTGCTAGTATTTTTCGTTTGTCTGCTTTTCTACTTTGGTTTCAAAACAATTAAGAATTTCATGCCATCAGGAAGTACACATCTGAGTAAAATTTTATATTTCTGCTTTTAAGTTTGGTCTATGACTGAATTTTTTTCTTCTTCTTTTTTTTTTTTTTTTGAGATGGAGTTTTGCTCTTGTTGCCCAGACTGGAGTGCAATGGTGCAATCTCGGCTCACTGCAACCTCCATCTCCCGGGTTCAAGCAATTCTCATGCCTCAGCCTCCCAACTAGCTGGGATCACAGGCGCCCACTACCATACCGAGCTAATTTTTGTATTTCTAGTAGAGACAGGGTTCCACCATGTTGGCCAGGCTGGTCTCCAACTCCTGACCTCAGGTGATCCACCCACCTCGGCCTCCCAAAGTGCTGGGATTACAGAGGTGAGCCACCGCGCCTGGCCTGAAATTTTAGAATTACAGCTTACAAATTATCTATGTCTGTTTGTATGTCTGTATTGTACTGTGGAAATGCCACTGTAGTGAATACTGACAGTTTCATATAGCCTTGGCATCTATTTTGATGATAAGTTTAACCTTCTCATACCAGAAACAGGGCTTAGTTTCCCTCGACAGCTTCCACCTGCCACCCCCAGTCCTCAATGGGGTTGATCCAGGGATCTGCCTTATACACCTCCTCTTTCTGGTGACGGCCTCTCTAAGAGACAGTCTACCTGGCTGCCCTGCCAACCCCACACCCCACATGGACTGTGGAGTATGCCACAGGGACCACCTCTCAGTTGCTGTGTGATCCTGAAACTCATGGCTGCCTGTTTTAAACTCACCAACTAAAACTCCCTGCAGGAAACCTGCTTGGACAATGCCCTGGCCCCCAGTAAAGGTGGTGGCCCATGGGTCCCACTCTCTCTTGCTCTATGCCTGACACTTCATTCATTCTTCTGGTGACCTGGGGATAGAGCATTGCCCTCCCGACTCATGGCGCCCTCCCTCTCTAGGATCTGGAAGTAATAAATCTTGGAACTTATTTCCTATCGTGTTGGTGTGCTGAATTTGCACATTCCATCTGAAGAACCAGGGGCTCTCCCAGGCTACCTGGGTTTTCCCCGGGATGCTGGGGAGGAACACAAGGGCAGGCTCTGAGCACCAGAGCGATGGTCAGGCAGTCATAAACTGGAGAGGGGTCAGAAAAGAGCCACAAGGGCGTCTGCCAGGATAAGCACATCTCCCATGAGAGGAATGCCTGATACTGGTTTAGAGAACAAAGCATCAGGCTGTCCACCACGTAAAAGGAGTGCCCGTGAAGGGCACCCAAGTAAACACTTGCACCCTGCTCCCCAGCATTTGCTGTTAGGGCAGGGTCATTAGCTGCACTGGTACTGGAAGCCCAGTGTGGCAGGGGAACTTTCAAAGCAGCTATTGTCTCTCATCCTGGGATAACCATCATGAGATGGTCTTACCAAGTGAGAATGTGATAGCTCTTAAGGATGTTCTGTTCTGACTGGCTTAGAAATAAAGAGACACCTATAAATTGAATCTTCCTAAAATTCCCAGAAATTAAGGAAATTGAACTTCCAATAATACTTTCAACAGCACTAAAAAAAGTATTCCTATAGAAACGTAAATGTTTTAAGAATTCAAGTTCACACATTTAGGTAAATATTTGGCAAATGAGACTAGTTGAATATTTGGGGTTTAATAAAAATAGTCATGTCTTCTATGAGTTGTCAGCATTAAGTATTATTATTCTTATTTTTTAAGATGGGGTCTCTCGCTATGTCACCAAGGCTGGTCTCAAATACCTGCCCTCGGCAATCCTCCCATCTTGGACTCCAAAAATTTCTAGGATTATAGGCATGAGCCACTGTGCCCAGCCACACTATACATTGCTATTCTACTTTTACATGTTCTTACAAAAGCTATACAGATTTACTGATCAAATAAGTGAACGTTACTCGTAAAGTTTAAGACTATGAAAAAATGTAAATTTGTGCTTAATCAAATTGAATCATTAACCTGACAAACTTTTTTTAACAATAATTTTTTAAATTATTTATTTATTTACTTTTGAGAGACAGGGTCTTGCTCTGTTGCCCTAGCTGGAGTGCAGTGGTGCAATTTTTTTTTTGGAGACAGCAAGGTGAACCCATTGCATGTTAAAGTCTTAGTAGTATTATGAAATTAGTTTTGACCCCACAGACTCCCTGAGTTCAGTCCTAAAGTGTCACTTTGTTCTGACTTGGTGATAGAAACGTGTCATAGAAAGCCAGGTACACCAGAGGTTGGAAAAACCACATATCAGAATCAAAATCAGGATTGAAATACATTAATGTGGGTGATTTAGCTTGAGAAAAGCAATTGTATGACGACTATGATGAAGAGTATAATTGTCCCATTTTAGATGAAGACAGAGTAGCTGATGAGTTAGATAACCAAATGAGAGAATGTGGAGTTATTGTTGATTACCACGGTTGTGATTTCTTCCCTGAACGCTGGTTTCACATAGTTTTTGTGTTGAGAATAGATGCCAACATATTGTACGAAATACTTCAAATGAGGGGTTATAATGAGAAGAAACTAAAAGACAATATTCAGTGTGAGATTTTCCAAGTTCTTTATGAAGAAGCCACGGCATCCTACAAGGAAGAAGTTGTGCATCGGCTGCCCAGCAATAAACCAGAAGAGCTAGAAAATAATGTAGATCAGATCTTGAAATGGATTGAGCAGTGGATCAAAGATTATAACTCTTGACTTATAAGGCTAGCTACTTTACAATCACTCTTGCTGATATCTCTCTGCTGACATCATAGAAATTGTTTAAGTATCAGGAACGCTTTATTAAACTCATGTTGCAGGACCAGCAGGCGGATAGTATAAAGGTTTATGCCTATGTTTCTTTTTCTCCATGAGAAAGCTAAACATATGAAATACAACAAATATAGCATTGTTAAGGATTGAGACAGGCTGGGCGCGGTGGCTCACGCCTGTAATCCCAGCCCTTTGGGAGGCTGAGGTGGGCAGATCACGAGTTCAGCAGATCGAGACCATCCTGGCTAACACTGTGAAACCTCATCTCTACTAAAAATACAAAAAATTAGCCGGGCATGGTGGTGGGCACCTATAGTCCCAGCTACTTGGGAGGCCGAGGCAGGAGAATGGCGTGAACCTGGGGAGACGGAGCTTGCAGTGAGCCAAGATCGTGCCACTGCACTCCAGCCTGGGCAACAGAGCCCGACTCCGTCTCAAAAAAAAAAAAAAAAAAAAAAAAAAAAGGATTGAGAGAAAAACTGTCATTTCAATGCTTAAATTGCTACAGAATTAATAAATCTGAAGAAATATAAGTGGATATCTTTTAAGTTTATTACAGAAAAAATGCAGATGATCTCTTAAAACTAAAGACTAAACATTTAAAAACAAAGAAAAGTTTACCCAATATTGATGAGCCTGTTTCTTTGGTTTACTGTTTACCACATTCACCTAAAAAATAAAGGCTTATTCTTTTTTCTGTATAATTGGCTTAGATTCCAAAGATTCTGTGTTTTATGAGAATAACCTTCTATGGTTTATATTGACTTTATTTTACCCTTGAGTATTCAAGAAATCGTGTCTCTTAGGAAAGAGCTAAGGTTCTTTACAATCATGTTACCTCTCTGTTTACTTTTAAAACCTTTTACAGTCACTTTGATTAAATAGGTAGTCAAAAATTGTTTCTAAGTTACATGATCCTATTGGAATCAGGTATTCAAAATTTCTTGATAATTTTTGATATTTTGCCTTCCGCAAATCAAATCCTAAATGATATATTTTGTACTTAAAACTGTCTGAGGCTGGACATGGTGGCTTATCCCTGTAATTCCAGCACTTTGGGAAGCCGAGGCGGGTGGATTACCTGAGGTCAGGAGTTCGAGACCAGCCTGGACACCATGGCGAAACCCCATCTCTACTAAAAAATACAAAAATTAGCCAGGCATGGTGGCAGGCACCTGTAATCCCAGCTACTTGGGAGGCTGGGGCAGGAGAATGGCTTGAAACCCAGGAGGCGGAGGTTGCAGTGAGCTAAGATCGGGCCAATGCACTCCAGCCTGGGCGACAGAGTGAGTCTCCATCTCAAAAAAACAAAACAAAACAAAAAACTGTCTAAGATTCCCCAGACATACCTGGAAAATAAAAAGTATTTGTGCTTTTACTTTAATAAAAAACAGATGCTTGAAATAATTAGGAGATCCATTTGATGTGTTACTATTGATAAGTTATATGGGACAAATTGTCACATCAAAAAAGATAGCCAGCCCTAGGTTAAATATATGTTATTAATACATAGGTGTTTATGTCCCCTCTAAAATAACCCTCTTGATGTGATATTCTTGGTCTATTCTAATTATATGCTTGGCATATTCATTGTATATTATGTCTTGGGACTATTTTGTTATATCTGAAGATTTTTTCTGTAAAGATTATGTTCTTCCATTTTTATAAATTAGATGCAACATCCACTGTTCTTTTAAAATAAGGTTAATTATGGTGTTTCTAGATGCTGTATCTAGAACTTTTTTGGGTTGACTCTGTTTTGCACACCATAACTAACTTTACTTATCAGTTGCCAATACTGTTGTAATGAACTCTCAATAAATTTAGTTTTGAAAATTATCAGTAATACGAGAACCATAGCCATTTAAAATCTTTTGTCACCTACAGATTTCTGTTTTTCTCTGACACTTCCCTGATCAGCATCTGCAATTAGCTATAGGCCAGAGTGACTTACCTTCGACCAAGAGGGGGCTGTGTTAGAGCCCCGTGGAGAAGAACTATGCTGGGTACTTTTGGGTACAGGCTTCTTATGGCATTGTCTAAATAATGCTGAGACCCCACCAGGGGAAGAGGATTTCTATAACCCTCATTGAGAAGCAGACGGATTCATGAGACTGCTAACCCAAGATCAAGTGGAACAAAAATTAATGACTAGGCCCAGATGAACTACTGAAGGAGGACTGCGGCTTTTGTTTACAGTATTGTTGCTATTTTAACACTCTATATTCTGGATACATAAGGAACCCTTTCTCTTCTCCCTCTGCCTGTATCTCCTAACAATTCAGTCGACTGTGCTTTTATAAACAGAAAGGAAACATCTGGAAATGGTATCTTATTATCCCTGCCTGATCCCTCCAGAATTGTGAAACTGTAATTGAGTATCATTTTTTTCAGCGCAATATAATTATTTGCATAGATTAAAAAACAATCCATCTTCCTAGTTACCAGGACATAACTAAAAACAGTGGCTATGCAACCATGGCCTTTGCTGGAATGTCGTATTTGAGAGTGATATTCACTTACTCAGAAATAACCAGCCACCTAAGTCCTCAGGTTGATTTTATGGCGCCAACGCTTACAAAGCCCTTTTGGGGAAAGAAGCCTGGTACTTTGCTTACGGTGTTCTCAGCCTTACAGGTGAGCAAGGAAGGTCACTTGGTGGTAGGTCCAAGATCCACTGAGTATGTTGGTCACCCCCCAAAAAAGGCATTCCCCCAAATTTATAGGCACTGCAGGTGAAATCTGAAAAAAAAGGACCTTCGATACTTAAACTGTAGCAGCCTCCATTGTAAGGAAATTTAGAGAAAGAATAAGATGACTCCCTTTGGAATGGTATGAGCAAAGAAGGACTTTCCTAATTGCTAACTGGATGGTAGAAAAGACACCCCTTAGTTTATGTACATCTTACAGCAGCAACACTACTTTTCTCCTTCAGTTTGAGACAACACTCCTTCAGTTTAACAACCCTCTTTACATTTTCTACTAAAGCTTATAATGGTGGAATAATAAAGCAACCACAAAGTGAAGTACAGCCTCTGATTCCTGTGGCATGGCCACTGGCAGGGCATCGTTTGGAGGCCCAGAAGTTTATGTGTATTCATGAGTTACTCATGGGTTTACTTGTATTCATGAAACATGAGAGGCAGCAAAAGCATAAAGCATGTATCTTAACATTTTATTTAAAAGTACGAGGATCTCAGAGCCTGGCATGGTGGCTCACATCTGTAATCCCAGCACTTTGGGAGACCAAGGTGGGCGAATCACTTGAGGTCAGGAGTTCGAGACTAGCCTGGCCAACATGGTGAAACCCTATCTCTCCTAAAAATACAAAAATTAGCTGGGTGTGGTGGCAGGAAACCTGTAATCCCAGCTACTCAGGAGGCTGAGGTAGGAGAATCGCTTGAACCCGGGAGACGGAAGTTGCAGTGAGCGGAGATCGCGCCACTGCACTCCAGCCTGGGTGACAGAGCGAGACTTTGTCTCGAAAAAATAAAAAAATAAAAAAAACCCCAAAGTATGAGGATCTCAGAAATGAAAAAACAAGTACAAATTCTATTATATGGACAGCTCCAGGAAGCTGAAACCTTTATCTTATTATTAGCAATATATTAATATGAGATATTACTCTTCCATTCGTCTAGACACATCTCACAAATTTAAGTATGTCAAGGTATCTACTACAGAATGCCTACTGCAAAGAAGAAAAACAACCCTTTTCTGTTTTTAACATTGTTATTCGATGAGAAAAAAACATGCAGGATTCTTTTCCTTAACAGGAAAAGCACACAGTTAGGCGCATCCAAAGGCAATCAGAGCAAACGTGAAAAAGGTGGTCACATGAAAGAATCCAACGACCAGTGAGAAACAATAACAGACATGAAACACTGTATCTACACAAAAGAATGTTCTGAAAGTTCTAAAGGAGTAGAGATGAGGGAGCAGGGAGAGAGAGAGAAAAAGAGTATTGAATGCATGATTATTTGGGAAATGGTCTAGCTGATTTTGTTTTAGTAAGACCAAAGATAGGTCAAGTTAAACAGATATACCCGTTTTATTAGTGATAAATAGAAACATTTCAAAAACAAAACATTCTTTGAAATCTTTTGGGTTTAGCTATCAGTTCTTTGGTAAACAGTGAAATTAATTTTCCTTAAGAATAAGTAAAATAAGGAGATAACCCACATATTCACAAAGATTATTAACCTTGTTCACGCCCAGTATAAGCCCATCTAAATATATATGGTACTATCAGAATCATATATTTATATAAATTTTGACTATAGAGGAAATTTTTAAAAATAAAATCCAATATGACAAAAGATAAATTCTGGAAAAATGTCTTCAAATCCCATCCTGAGGATATTATATGACCTAGATCCCTGGCAGCTACATCGTGTAAAGCACCTTCAGAAAGACTCAGTCTGTGGACCCAAGAGATCCCAGATCTTTAAACAAGTAGCTTATTAAATACAATAATAAGCTATAGCATTAAATATAATAATGTTGATATTCCCCCATTTTTAATTTTATACATGCTATGATCTAAAGATGGGTTCAGTGTAGAAAATTGAGACTAAAATCTTTAAGTTTCTTTTTTGTTTATTTTTGAGACAGGGTCTCACTCTTGCCCAGGCTGGAGTGCAGTGGTACAATCACGGCTCAGAGCAGCCTCGAATTCCTGGTCTCAAGCCTCCCTAGTAGCTTGGACCACAGGTGGCCACCATCATGTCCAACTAATATTTTTAAAAAATTATTTTTAGTAGAGATGAGGTCTCACTCCTTTGCCCAGGCTGGTCTTGAACTCCTGGCCTCAAGCGATCCTCCTGCCTCAGCCTCCCAAATTGCTGGGATTACAAGCATGAGCCACTGTGCTCAGCCTTTAGCTTTCTTATAGTAACAGTTTCAAAACTTCATTGTCCTTCCTTATATATTTTTTCCCTTATGTGGACTGTTTTTTACTCAAATTCACAGACTTTTAATATTCAGGTTGCTTTGTTTTTCTAAAAACTACAATACCTTTTCCAAACAGTTTCAAATAATACAATAATAGTGATCCATACAGCACCAGTATCAGTTTTCAATACTTACTGTCTTGGATAAATATTTTTTCTAATTTTCATAGCAAAAAAAAAAAAAAACCAAAAAAATGTACATCCAAGTAGTTCATCATTAGTGTCTAAAGTGTTCAAACAATACATCTGCACCACCTCAATTAAAAAGATGTTTCATCTAGCAAACTCGGTATCTAACACTAAAGCTCCCATGGGGTCTACACATGCACCTAGCTCCTTGCTCCTTGTGGAAGTCGCTGGGGAGCCCCAATGTTAGATCTTATTTTCACATCATCCTTTCTCCTCTCCAAGAAGAGGGGCTGGCCAGGGAGAGTAAGAATAAGCCTGCGGTCTGGGTGTGTGGGAGAAGGGTGCAGGTCATGCTTGTAGGACAGGGCAGGTGGGAGGACAGCATAGGGGGCATGCACAGGTGACACCCGGGAACATCCAAGCATCCCCCTTCCCCAAACAAAGGACCATAGGGAATTCCAGCCTACCCACAATAAGGGGCAGTGGCAGGAGGAGAGAAGCCACAGAGCCCAAGACCGTGAGGTGCAGGCAGGGTGCACTCTTATCTGCACAGGAAAGACTGCCTCTGAGCTCTGGATCCTTGGTGGTGAACTCAAAAAGCAATGTGCTCAAATTGCTTAAGCTAAGGTGTAGGGCAGAAACTCCTTATACTACCCACTCTAAGTATAACCCCAAACTCACCAAAGCAAATGGGCTGAACTTGGGGAAAAATATGCAAATTCATGGATTTCCTGGCTAGTGCTACTATTTTGAGAAACAGACACGTACACACCTCTACCTTCCAACTCCACAAGAATTACTCCATGGGCCAGGCATGGTGGTTCATGCCTATAATCCCAGCACTTTGGGAGACCCAGGCGAGTGGATGGTTTGAGGCCAAGAGTTCAAGACCAGCCTGGTCAACACAGCCAAATCCCATCTCTAAAACAAACAAAAAAAATTAGCTGAGCATGGTGGCACCTGCCTGGAGTCTCAGCTACTCATGAGGCCAAGGCTGGAGGGATCACTTGAGCCCAGGCAATCAAGGCTGCAGTGAGCTATGATCTCGCCACGGCACTCCAGCCTGGGCAACAGAGCAAGACCCTGTCTTTAAACAAAACAAAAAAAAAGAATTATACCACAACTTCAACCCTGTAAACTGTTTCATTCCTACTTTCCTATCCATGGTCCCTCGTTTTTGTTAAAACTTCACCTGAGGAAGTAAAGTGACAGAAAAATACTAAAAACAAAAAAAGGACAAAAGACACAACCTATAAATTCTGGGATAAGATTTTAGTACTGCTTTTAATGATGAGAACTAGATTGCAAATAAATAGCAAATATACTTTAAAATGAAAAGCAGAAGATATTTCTGCAGAAAAATAAAACAACACAACTTCAAAAAAAAGTTTTCAAAATTGAAAATCACTGATTAGGGAGACCAGAATAAGAAGCGCTTCATACCAAGCTGCTCCAGTCACTGGTTTGACAGTCACTGAATATTATATTCTTTTCCTATACAGACTCACTATTGATATATAAACTAAGTCTTAAGTCTATCCAAAAGTCACAAAAGGATATGCCAAAAATCTATTTTAAATACCTCATAATTTTTTTAACAAACCCTATTATAACGCCTCATTAATTCTGAATTGCAGTTTTTGTCATTGTATTTAACCCCTTCTGAATAATAATGTTTTTATTCCCCTTTTTTAAAAACAAATCGAAATTACCCTGGATTAATATCAAATAATTTATATTCCTAAATATTATTTGGAAGGCAATAACTTTTTTAAAAGTGTGAAGAGTTAAAGACGTAAGGAAAGGCAAAGAAATAAATATAATTGAGGGCAGGGCGCGTTGGCTCAACCCTGTAATCCCAGCACTTTGGAAGGCCAAGGTGGGCGGAACACTTGAGGTCAGGAGTTTGAGACCAACCTGGACAACATGGTGAAACCCCGTCTGTACTTAAAAGTACAAAAATTAGGCCAGGCGCGGTGGCTGCCGCCTGTAATCCCAGCACTTTGACAGGCCGAGGTGAGAGAATCACGAGGTCAGGAGATCGGACCATCCTGGCCAACACGGTGAAACCCTGTCTCTACTAAAACACAAAAAAAGGGCTGCGCGTGGTGGCTCATGCCTGTAATCCCAGCACTTTGGGAGACCAAGGCGGGCGGATCACGAGGTCAGGAGAGTGAGACCATCCTGGCTAATACGGCGAAACCTCGTTGCTACCGAAAATACAAAAACTTAGCCAGGTGTGGTGGCACGCGCCTGTACTCCCAGCTACCCAGGAGGTTGAGGCAGGAGAATCACTTGAACCCAGGAGGTGGAGGTTGCAGTGAGCCGAGATGGCACCACTGCACTCCAGCCTCAGCAACAGAGCGAGACTCCAAGACTCCATCTCAAAAAAAAAAAAAATTAGCCAGGCGTGATGGAACGTGCCTCTAGTACCAGCTACTCAGGAGGCTGAGGCAGGAGAATCACTTGAACCTGGGAAGCGGAGGTTGCAATGAGCAAAGATCGCGCAACTGCACTCCAGCCTGGCGATAGAGCAAGACTCTGTCTCAGGAAAAAAAAAAAAAAAAAAAAAAATCCAAAAATTAGCCAGGTGTAGTGGCACGGGCCTGTAGTCCCAGCTACTCGGGAGGCTGAGGCACAAGAATCACTTGAACTGGGGAGGCAGAGGTTGCAGTGAGCCAAGATAGCGCCACTGCACTCCAGCCTGGGCGACAGAGCGAGGCTCTGTATCGGATGGATGGATGGATGGATGGATGCATGGATGGATGGATGGATGGATCGATAGATAAAATTGAGTAGGAAATAATTATTCCTCAAGAGAACAGACATAAATTTTTCCTGGGAAAACCACTCACATTTAAAGTAAATTCTAGCCTTCAAGACAAATACGTACAGCTGTGCATTTCTGTGTGTCTACCTTACCGCGTGTCTGAGGAGCATAACAAACAAAGCCGCTTGTTACTTATTAACATGAGTCTCTGATGTCAGTGGAAATAAGCCGTAAGGTTTGCAGGCCTCCCCCGCCCTCCGCCCTTCCTTGTTTTGGTTCACTCTCTTGGCTTCCTCCTCCGCTGTCGCAGTTCCAGAAGATGCGTCCAGCCACAACAAAGCTCTGAGGACCCGGGGAGCATTTCTTCCCAGGGCTATCACAAGTGAGAGAACGCTTTCCAGAAACCTCCCAGGAAGACTTCCCTTCACATCTTGTTGGACAGAAGTGAGTCACAGTCTCAAACTAATTACTGGTAAGAGGAAGAGAATACCGGTGATGTGCTGAGACCAGGCGTCCGAGGACGGGGTGGACATGGGGTGGTGGGAGCAGCGCAGTGGCAGGGTCACTTGGCGTGAACAGCTCCGCGGGAAGTGGCCGCTGCCTAAACGAGAGGGACTGGTACCAGAGAGGCGCAGTGCAGAGCATCTTTTACTTATCTACAGTCCCTTTACTCCCTTTTAAAATAAAAATAAGGATTCAAGTTTGCTACTTCAGCAAGCTATTGAGTTTCCGAATATCTCAAACAGATTAATTGGATATTTCTAGACCCATTTAGCACAGTTTACTATCATTAAGCTGACTCCCCGCAAACGGTGCAGATAGTAAGATAGACCTTAGGAGCTAGCAGCTGTAACTATTTAAATTGGGCCTCCACATCTCTCCTTTGCTCAGTGCATAGAATGCCTACCAGCAGAATTTTTCTTTTTTTTTTTTTCTGAGATGGAATCTTCTCTGTTGCCCAGGCCAGAATGCCGTGGCATGATCTTGGCTCACTGCAACCTCTACCTCCTGGGTTCAAGTGATTGTCCTGCCTTAGTCTCCCGAGTAGCTGGGACTACAGGTGTGTACCACCACACCCAGGTAATTTTTTGTATTTTTAGTAGACACAGGGTTTTCCCATGTTGGCCAGGCTGGTCTCAAACTCCTGACCTCAGGTGATCCACCTGCCTTGGCCTCCCAAAGTGCTGGGATTATAGGCGTGAGCCACCACACCTGGCCAAAGCAGCAGATCTTAAATAGACTTCTTCGGCTAGCTCCTCTCTTAGCGCCTGTGGGTCTCCCAGTGGGAAATGTCCTCCGTCGGTGGCCTCTACCTTTACGTGGCCAAAGACGACCACTGAGGCACAGGAGATCCACCCTGGCTGGTCCTCATTTCTACCACGTCCAGTCCAAAACACATTTGACAATTTCTGAACCACACATTTACAATGCATGCAAAATCAGTTAGTGAACAAATAAAACACATTTTTAAAAAGATGGAGTTCTTTGAAGATCCTATTTAATGTTTTCTGTAGAAATATTTTCTCTCATACATAACAAGAAAAAAACAACGTGCTAATGGGGGCTGAAAGCAACTGTTAGGCTATCAAGAGGCAGCTGTTTTTTAAATGGCTTCATCAAGCAACATCTGCTGATGGACCCCACACCTGTTACAACGAGCACATCCCCGCCACTGCCAGCTCTGGGTACACTCTGCCAAAAGTGATTTATCAAAGCAATTACAGATCACTGAAACAGCTGTGTTGGAAACCAAGGGCACCTTCGATCTTACAGAGCTCACTGGCCGGCTGGTCGGCACTAAAGGGCCTATCTTTCTGCGTACAGCGGGTCTGAACAATGGAAATGATTTACATGGATATTTACAAAGGGTGTCATCCTCGAGGAAGTGTGGCAATTCCCCTAAACGTGTGATAACAACATACCCGTGCTGCATTTTCAAGAAAAAATAAATAAATATCACCTGTCCTTTGGATGAGTCACTGCTCTTTCAACTTGAAAGTTAAATTTAAAATCAAAGCTACAAGAGTATATGCTTCCAGCCAAGTGCACCATCTAATGGAAAACAGCCAAAGGCCTGGCATTACTGCAAACTGTAAAACTGCATTCATAAAATATTAGTGTCTCCATTACAGCAGTGAAGTACTCATTCCAGAACCTTTTACTTGAAGGACAGGAAACGCCAGGAAAATAATCCATTTTACATGAAAATTGGCTCAAGTATTCTATTTTCTCTGCTCAGGAAGGCATCTGTGTCCCTGCAGCTCTCTTTCCTCCTGCCCCTAGCTGGCCTGGCCACACTGCATCTGGGCTAGGCCTTTCCCACCCTCTGGGCATCTAGTACTCTTTTTATTCCCACCACTGGGACCCTTTTATCTTCTTTCCACTGCAAGGCTCCTTCTCTGGGGATGCTACACCCAAATGAGCTGTAATTCCCAATCTACTGCCTCCGCAATAAAGACATGATTAGAGCTCTCTGAAATATACTTTCTTTTCAGCTTTCCATATGACTGAGAAATAGAAAACTCAATCTAAAAAGAGGTCACAATGCTCAATAAATGACAGCTGTGAGTACCCTATCGCAGCTCACAAAGATCTCAGTTCTTTCAGGAAGGTTCTAATGATACTGGAGATGAGGAAAGCATCTCTCGAAAACTGAGGAAGCAGATCCCCCAAGCGGGCATTTCTGACCGCAGAACTCAGTCTTCTGCCTCCTGGGGGAGATGACAGAGCACAATTTCATGCTAATGGCCTACATCTCACCCCCAAAACAAAGGTTCTCAATGGGAGGATGACCATCAGCTCAGAATCACTGAAGGAGCTTTTAGAAAAGGCTATACTCCTATACTCACCCCCTGCCCAAGACTCTATTTTGGCTCTGGCATGCCTGTGGTCAGTAAGTCCAACAAGAAACACAGTGTGGACTGTCCCAGAGTTTTGAGGGTCATTTTCATTAAAGACACATGGTGGTCTCTGGGAGTGGGCAAAGAGGAGGCAGGTAAGAGAGACCTACTCCAAGTTATAGCTGCAGAACAAAGCACAGTCAATATGCAGACATGACCCTCACCCAAGCTGGTGCTGAAGAAAATAGCTAACATTTTTTGAGCACTTCTATATATGAGGTACTATCTTAAACTCTTTGCATGTTTCAACTCAATTAATTAGCACAAACCCTTTGAGGAGACTGGTACTATTATTATTATTCCTGTTTTATACACAAAGAAGTATAGGCACAGATATTAAGTAATTTGTTCAACACCATGGAACCCACAGAGCAGGTGAGTAACAGAGATGGGACTGAACCCAGGCATCTGGCTCTGGGGGCAATGCTTTAGCAACACTGCGCTGCCATGCACAGCCTTGGAGAAGAGAATCCATCTTTTACTGAAAGAAGACAGTCTCTCAAGTTTTGGAAGAATATTCAAAAATAAGTGAAGTACATGATGATGATTCCATCATTACTGAGTGATGGTTAAGAGCACCAAAAATGTTTTAAACATGTTCACTGAAAAAGTAAAAGGGAAATTAATGCATCTCTTATTTACTCAGAAAATATTTACTGAGCACTTATTTTGTTTGTGATGCTATATCCTGCTGAGTATTAAGAGACTAACAGGATATAGACTATGTCCTTATGGGCTCATATTCTAGCAAAGATGTAAGAACAAGCAACTATCAGCATATGCAAGCTATTATTTGTTTTGCACCCTATTTGAGAAACTTTCAGGAATTTAAGCATTCTATGTGGTGTGTAATTCTTTAATTTTTTTAAACCACTATCAAAATAAGTATGCTCTATTTGTTCCTTCACATCTCTCCAGGCCTCCAGGCTTAGGAAAGCCTCTGTAAACATTTCTGTGCTCTGACCCACAGCTTGCCTTCACATGCAACAAGCTGGATTGGCAGAGATGGCTCCAAAATGAGATTCTACAACTGAGCCACTTACAAAAAGCTATCCTGTTGATAACTCACATTAAAAATGTTCCTGAGGATAATAATCAATATTTTGAAAAACCAAATCCAGAAGTAGTAGAATAAACCAAATACTTGGAGAAAAAAAAATTACATTCGTGTATTTCTACCAGAGTGCTGGTATCTATACATAGCTTCTTTGGGTTCTGTGTCTGACAATATTCAACAAGTAACAAAGAAAACAGGTCAAAATTCGTCATAATATTTTCTATTTCTCCCTCTGAAAAGATGTATAACTATCAATGTCAATGACCTACATGCTGCAAGCTAAGATTACAGAGGTAATAAAACTGCTTAACTGGATCCTCCAAATAAAGTCTCACCAGGCCGGGTGTGGTGGCTCACGCCTGTAATCCCAGCACTTTGGGAGGCTGAGGCGGGCACATCACTTGAGGTCAGGAGTTCAAAACCAGCCTGGCCAACATGGCAAAACCCTGTCTCTACTAATTAAAAAAAAAAAAAATAGAAAAATTAGCTGGGCATGGTGGCAGGTACCTATAATCCCAGCTACTCAGGAGGTTGAGACACAAGAATCACTTGAACCTGGTGGGGTGGAGGTTGCAGTGAGCCAAGACTGGGCCACTGCACTTCAGCCTGGACAACAGAGCGAGACTCCATCTCAAAAAAAAAAAAAAAAAAGTCTCAACAAATTTGAAACAAGTATATTTAAAATAAGTCTAAAAAAAAACAGACTCTTTTTCTGACTGATTTATAGAGTGATTTTTGCCATTAAAAATGGGCATTACACCAAAAAAAAAGCTAATGGAAGTTATAGCTCTGAGATTCTATAATTCTTCATGGAATCATGGTTTTTTTCACTCTTTAAGAGAAACTGAATTAATGTCAATTCAGGTGTTTAGTGTGTCTTTTGCAAACTGACCTACGTGTTCATCTCAAAAATCATTTCTCTTGAGTTGGCCTCTTACTGCTGTCTTCTCAGAGAAGCATTCACACCAAAACTCTATTTAGAAAAGTTAAGTGGCCGTTAAAATTCACCCATCGTCTCCAGGAATGGTGGACTAAGTAGTTTGAAATAGGCTCCTCACTGTGAGCCCTCAGAAAAGCTGGACAAGATGCAAACAAACAAACAAGCCCCAGCTATTTGCAGACGTTGCCCAGCTACTAAGTCAGTGAGTCATGGAAGAAGAAACCCATGGAAGAGGAGGTGAACCAGAGTCAGAAGCCCACACTCCCAGGGGACAGCTAGCCTCACAGAGACAGAACCCCAGCTCCAGATCATCTCAGTCCCTGCTAGGAAGATAAAGACAAACTAACCAGGCATATTAGATATGGAACGTATGATTGAAAACAACAGATAAGAAAAACAGAAATTGAGGGGAGCCAGAAAAGGGAGTTATTTCAAAAGAAATATGCATAATATGTTCAAATAAATAAAAGATAGGATTAATAATTTTGACAGAGAACTGGAAATGGTTTTTATAAATCAAATAGAGGGCATGAAGGCTCCCGCCTGTAATCCCAGTACCCTGGGAGGACGAGGTAGGAGGATTGTTTGAGACCAGGCGTTCGAGACCAGCCTGGCCAACGTGGAGAGACCCCCATCTCTACAAAAAATAATTAAAAAAAATAAATGGAATAGCAGGGACTGAAAAATAATACATGTTAAAACTCAGTATATGGATTTAGCATCAGAATAGACTTAAAAAGAGTCAAAGGTGAAATGGAAAAGAAACCAATAGAAGACATCCAGAATGAAATAAGGAGATACAAGAGGAAAGAAATAGAGGAAAATCATGAGACATGGGCTATAGAAGCAAAGGATAGCACACGAGATTGCGTTCCCAGCAATGGAGGCGTGAGAAAACAGGCAAAAGAAATCACAGTGGAGAAGTTTCCAGAACAGATCAAAGACAGGACGGCCTGTGACTCTCAAGTAAATAAACAACAAAAACAATACCCTGGTACAACAATCACAATGAACCTACAGAAAACCAAAGATGAGAGCAGTCTAACCCCAGAGCCCGTGGCCGTGGCTGAAGTCAGCCTCTCTCTTCTCGCGGTTCTGCATCCATCCCCGGGCCACACCAAGGCCGTGCTGCTCTTCGCACAGGCTCCAGGCCTTCCCACCTTTCTTGCCTTTGTACCTTCTACCTGGCACCTTCACATTACTCAGAACTCACGACTGACAGCTCTCATCGACTGACAGTCCTGTCTGCAGGGCTGCCCAGATAGGACATTACCTGCAAGTGCTACTTCAGATTTAAAACTAAAAAGAAAATAAAGTCATTAGGGCCACGGGACACATCTGAGTTTCAAATCATTTTCCTCACTACAGAAATAGCATGTAGGCTGGCTCTCAAGTGAAAACATAAAAATGTCAGGCCCAGACCTTACTGTTCTCCATTCTAGTAGAGGCATTGCTTCAGTCATTAGCTGGTGAAAGATATTTCCTGTAAACTCTCCCTTTTTCAACATTAATATTCAATTACAAGATTTTGTTTTCTTTAGGAAATAGAAACAATTTTGTGCTTAATAGAATCTAATACCTTAATATGTCCTTATACATAAAAATATGTGGCGTGCACCTGTAGTCCCAACTACCTGGGAGGCTGAGGCAGCAGAATCGCTTGAACCCGGGAGGCAGAGGTTGCAGTGAGCCAAGACTGTGCCATTGCACTCCAGCCTGGGTGACACAGCGAGACTCCATCTCAAACAAACAAACAAAAAAGGCCGTGTTAAGTTCCAAATTTCAGTTTAACACAGTTTATCTTGAAATCTAACAAGGAACAAAATAAGCAGGTAAAACCTATTTAATGGGAAAAAAAGAATGGTTGAGATACTAACATTATATTTGTAGGCTGCTACTCAGAAGCTTCTAATTTTAATTCACCAATTCAATCCTTCCACAATTCCACTGTATACTTTTAAAACCAGGAAACTAAATTTTAGTGTTTCTGTGGACTCATTACCACATATCAACATAAACTTCTCTCCCCATGCTCATATCAAAAGATCTCAAACTACTGGGAAGTTATATACTTAAAATTTAATGTTGCTGGCTAGGTGCTGTGGCTCACGCCTGTAATTCCAGCACTTTGGGAGGGCCAAGGAAGGCAGATCACTTGAGGTCAGGAGTTCGAGACCAGCCTGGTCAACATGGTGAAACCCCATCTCTACAAAAAACTTAAAAAATTAGCCAGGCGTGCTGGCGGGTGCCTGTGGTTCCAGCTACTAAGGAGGCTGGGGCAGGAGAATCGCTTAAATTCAGGAGGCGGAGGTTGCAGTGAGCCGAGATAACACCAGTACACTCTAGCCTGGGCATCAGAGTGATACTCCATCTCAGAAAAATAAAATAAAATAAAATAAATTTAATGTTACCTTTTAAGAAATTTATATCATTCTTCCTTCTAACCTGTAAAATAATAAAACACGTCCTTCATCTATATTGCTATCAAATTTGCGCTCCTAAAACACTCACTCAACCTTTAAGCAAACAAATCAGGAATTTTTTTTTTTCTTTTTTTTTTTTTTTGAGAAGGAGTCTCACTCTGTTGCCCAGGCTGGAATGCAGTGGCACGATCTCAGCTCACTGCAATCTCCGCCTCCCGGGTTCATGCCATTCTCCTGCCTCAGCCTTCCGAGGAGCTGGGACTACAGGCGCCCGCCACTACGCCCAGCTAATTTTTTGTATTTCTAGTAGAGACGGGGTTTCACCGTCTTAGCCAGGATGGTCTTGATCTCCTGACCTCATGATCTGCCCACCTCAGCCTCCCAAAGCGCTGGGATTACAGGTGTGAGCCACCGCACCCAGCCCGCAAATCAGGACTTTAAGCCTTGGTCTTTAATTTTAGAGTCTAAAAATGAAACAACTTTACATGAGAAATGTTTATAAAGAAATGAAACTTCTTCTAGGATAAATTACTTGTTTAAATTCTAAAAGTCCCAAGGCTGTAGTTTCCAAACTCTGCTTTGCATTAGAATCACCTCAGGAGTTTAAAAAAATCCTAGTGGCCAGGGTGCACCCCATATTAATGACACCAGCATGTCTGGCTTGGGGCCAGGCAGCCACAAACCTTACAGATCCCCAGGTGAGTCCAATGCGCAGCCCAGTCAGGAAGCACTACCCTAGGGCATTAGGAGTTTTTGATTCATTCAAGCAAAGGCTGTGCGGTGAACACTAATAAGGACTGGATTAGGAAGAAAATCCTGCGAAAGAGGGGAAACCTAGGTCTTGCTCCTTCTGCTATTGGCGAGACGCAATACAGAAGGTGGATTCTTCGCCCTCACTAGGTGTTCGTCCCCTCCACGTTAAGGACGGGGTGCCGCACTGGGGTCGGGAGCTGCTGGCCAGGAGGGTCTCAGGTGGGGCCAGAAAATCAGCATTTATTTATTTATTTTTGAGACAGAGTCTCACTCTGTCGCCCAGGCTGGAGTGCAGTGGCATGATCTCGACTCACTGCAACCTCCCCTTCCTGGGTTCAGGTGATTCTCCCACCTCAGTCTCTTGAGCAGCTGGGATTACAGGTGCCCACCACCAGGCCTGGCCAATTTTTGTGTTTTTTGTAGAGACGGGATTTTGCCATGTTGGCCAGGGTTTTGCCATGTTGGCCAGGCTGGTCTCGAACTCCTGACCTCAAGTGATCCGCCCGCCCCAAAGTACCGGGATTATAGGCATGAGCCACCATGACTGGCCCAGAAAATCTGCATTTAAAACCTGCTTTGAGTGATTCTTCACACAGAACCAGAAGTGGTGGATTCGTTTCAGAAATGACATTCTAAATTATGAGGGCAAAGTTTACTAATACTCTTAAAATATTTTTAAAAGAAGACTTAAATTTGAGCAAGTTAGGCAGTTTAATATATGAAAATATTTTTGTTCCTGAGCACAGCAGTTGAAGGCAGATATGGAGGTGTGTATTTGTAATTGTGTATTTTGTCTCCCTCTCTGACCACTCATTCTTTTATCATTACTCAAGACAGTAATACCACCTTATATTTATGGAGCACTTACTATTTGATCTACAGAAGAATGCCAGAAGGTCAAACAGGTACCCATCTCCCATTCATATGCCATTTACAGTGAGATGCCTCATAAGGAAGAAGGGGCCACACTCCCGCCCAGGATGCCTGTCCCTAACCCAGTGCTTCCACAGACCCAGCCCATCAGATTCAGGGCTATCCCAGGCACAGGGAGGCAATACCACTCGTCTGAAACAGTAACTTCCACTGTGGGCAAATGAGAAAGTCAAACCTCATGCCTTTTGATCAGACAGGACGGAGTATTTTTATGGTGAGTAACAAGTAACTCAACACTCAATATTTACTGAGCACTTAAAAAAAAAAAAAGCCAGACATGGTACAACGTAGAGTACCAATAGAGATGAGAGGTACCACGGCTTCCCTGGGCAGACACTGGCAGAGGGTAAAGGGTCAGTAAAGCGGGAGGGCACAGAACAGAGCTGTGGTGCCATGCGACGCATCAGCAGGAGAGGCACGGGAACGGTAGTAGATGCAAAGGAAACTGGTTCTTTATTTCTTTCCAAATGAACTAGGTCAAGCGGCCATGTAGCAGTAGGAAGAAGACTGAGAAACTGGGACGCAAAACACAAACTCAGCCACAGTGTTGCGAGCGTTCTAGGAAGGGCCCCACCCCTGGGAGGCAGCGCGCTGAGCAGGTCCCGCAGGCTGCAGTGGAGTCACAGTGCGCAACGCCATTGTAGAGCAGGTGCCTTGGTGTTGCCCACGCCACAAACATGTTATGGGACCCTGACAGTCTCTCTCTCTCCACATCTGTTGCTTTACCTGAAATAGGGTTCCTTTCCATTTTCTTGCTCCACTTTTTTTTCCGAGACAAACCAGAAAGCATCAGTAAAGAAATCTAAGTTTCTACAAGTTACTGCCAACTTTCATGAAATCTGTGTAATTTTAAATGTCTTTTAACCATTGCCAAGATAAGAAGCAAAGGAGTCAGGTTTCTCTTCCGCAGGTCAAATGCAGCCGCCCATCTGTTCAAGCCTGCGTATCAGGACCTGGAAGCCCCATGCAGACCCATCTACTCTGTCATTCTTTTCATCTGTTGCTTTTCAATCGGTATGGTTTTTCCCTACCATTCTGAATTCAGGTTTCACTACATTATACTTTTTTGGCCTCATAAAAATGAGGCACAAGGTATAATATATATGGCTAATTTTAAATTTAAGCAATGCAAGTAGATATTGAATGATAAAAACATTTAAAATCCTCATTCTATTACTCATGTAAGAGGATCAGCGGAGTCTTTCAGAGGAAGAGCAAGGTTTTAAAGCCAAAACCACAAAGGGAAGGGTGTACCTGAGTGTTAGTATATAAACCTTTCACTCTGATGGCTTGAGGTCAAGACTTGGTTAGTTCAAAAGTGAATGAATGTTTGGATTCTTCACCTCCTACCTAGTAAATATTTATTCCGATTATAAAATGGCAAGAAACACTGGCACAACCAACATTCTCTGCTTGAGAGAAGCTACAGGCATTTTTATAAGAAATGCATTAGCAAAGTGATATGAGAAAGCTTGCTCTATCAATAATAACTCTTTGTCTGGAATGCAAACAACGCTTTCAGTTTCATATTCTGAGTTTTCCAGCATTTACCCATAATCAATTTTTTAGAATAAAAGACAAGTCAGATAGACTGGTTTATGTTTCATTGACCCAGAGAAGAACATTATGATGTATCAGCATTTGAAAGTTTAAAATAATATTTTTACACACTGACCTTTTTGCCTCTCCCACTTTTCTTCAATTCCTCATGAGGTTTGATGAGGTCCTTAAAGCCGTCACATGAGTCATCTAAAACATCATGCCTTGTTGGTCTATTTTTAACACCTAAAACCCAAGGGGATTAAAAATTAGTTAGAACTTTACATGGACCAAATACAACTTAAGCAAAACAAAAATCACATTTATGCATAATGGAAACAGGAAGTTATAGGCCTTTTAAATAAATTGTATATATCTGGCTCTTTGAGATCTATCTAGAACTTTCAGTTTATTACATTCCAATATCCCAAGCAATTCACTTAATTCAATGGTCGGTAACAATCAGGTTACAGTGTTCTACAGCATCAACTCCGTCCATTTGATAATGTAAGAAAATGTATACCCATACCTTACGCACTCGTCAAACTTAAATTCTTAGATTTTAAAATAATGACAAAGAACAGCTCTTCAGAGTAGGCAGTTCCATATTAGAGGCAATAATTAATCTAACTTTTGGGGTCAGTTTGAGATTTTCTAGAAAATAGTCTTCAGTACAGAGCTTCAGGCTTCAACCTACAAATGATGGATGATGATTTTACTCCCCCCAAGTTTCCACCTTAGACCAGCGTCTTGCCATGAAGACACACAAACCAAAAGGATACTCATTCAAGTGAAATGTGGTTTCCTTAGATGCTAACCTCTGTAGACCTAAGTAACCCACGATGAAATGTGAAATGTGTACTTTGATTTGACTCATCTACTGCCTCAGAGGGTGCCTCTTACTCTCACCCTTCCTCCTCCTTCAAACAGTTTGCCTACTTTATGACTTACATGGGATTTTGAAGGAGGAGCTAACATGGACCATAACATGGTCTCAATGGTATAATGCAAACTTTGACGCAAAAGTTATGTAGCAGCCTAGGGGGTACTAGAACCTGCCAGGCAGGTGATAGCCAAACTGCACTGTTGATTACCTAATGATTAACAAATAGCTAATCATCTACCCACTGGAGATGCAAAATGCACAAGATATAGTCCCACACTTAGGGAGCTCACAACCCAATAGACAATGTAGATGCAGATGAATAAATATAATGCAACGTGAAATTAACATCAGTGCCCTCAGAGATTAAAAATCATATAACATGAGAAAGACTTCTTTGCAGATAAAATGCTATAAAGCCAGCTATAACTAAGTTTGGAGAGTCTAAGGTAAAAACTGTCACTCTTTTCAAAAACAGGGTCCTATCTCAGTGAAAAAGGATGTAGAATAAAAATGTTAATACTTTCCTGAATTCAAGCTAGTTGTTATTTGCAGCCTGGGCCCTGGACAGATTTTAAGGTCCAGTTCTAAACCACAAACCTACCAACCTACACTCTTTGCCATAATCCCTAATACTGAATCCACTCGAGACTCAAACCAGTCACATCCTGACTGATCCCGTACCTCCTCAGGTATCTTTTATGGTTGACTTGCACTGACTTTTCTCCCAGGCCCACTTTATCCCCCGGGGTAGAACATGAATGCAATCTCCTATCGTCTTTAAGATTAAAAATAATTAGAATTATTAATTATATCTACTACGCACTTATTTTCCTTTTTAAATAACAAATATTTACTTGAAGCATGAGTGTGTCAAAATCGGAAAAGCAGTGGACTAGAGATATAATTTGGGACGTAGTGCTCTGTTATTGAGTCATGAATAAATTTGCAGCTTCCTAGTGTATTCAATAAAAGTTTTATAATAGCCACTTGCCTCAGTTCTTGCCGAACAACGAAACAGGCTGTAAAGCATTTTATAAACATAAAGTTCTAAGAAATGCAACACAATCTTTTAAAACTTAAGAAAGACTGATATTAAAAAAAAAAAAGACTGATATTGTTAACATGTTTTCACAATTTCACAAATCCTGAAGTCAAAAAATGATCTAAGTAAATGATTTTATTTAAAACATTTCATAAACTCTGCCACACTAATTTGCCAGTGGGTTTTAACATTGACATCGGTAAACCCAAAGCAGTTGAGAGTGCAAAGTACTTCTGAAAACATTTGTGGAAAGATTAGTTGGACTCCACTTTTGGCAGGAGGTCTGTAAACAAACACCTACCCTCCTCTTCCTGACTCTCCCACTTCTTGGATGACTCTTTATTCGTGTTTGCTCCTAAGTGTGGTTTTTTCATGGGTTGTCATCAGCTCCCTTCTCACTCCCCAAGGTGATTTCATCACTTCCCATAAAGTCGTCCATTACTGAAGAGACCTAATTCTCTGTACCTTGTCTAGACCTCCCAGCTGAGGTATGGCTGGCTATATCCAACTACCTAATGGACATCTATTTTGAATGTCTCCAAGAAATTCCAACGAACATGCACTCTTTAGCTGCTCTTCCTCCAACACACCCCAGTTGGATGAATGTCTGTCTTCTTCGGCTGGGGCTACCATAACAAAATACCACAGATTTGGTGGCCTGAAGGCCGAGATCACGGTGCCCCCATGGTCGGGTTCCGGTGAAGGCTTTCTTCCTGGCTTGAAGGAGGCTACCTTCTTGCTGTCTTCACATGGCAGAGAGAGAGGAAGCCAGTTCTCTGGTCTTTTTATAATGGTCCTAATCTCATCATGAAGCCCCCATCTTCAAGACCTCATCTAAACCTAATTATCTTCCAAAGATCACCCTATCCAAATGTTATCCCATTGAGGGTTAGACCTTCAGTAAATAAATGTGGGGGTCAAAGGACACAATTTGGTCCACAGCATTTCCCTGTGAAAGCCATATATCTTCCTCTCATTTTCCTCCCAACCTCATTACACACACAATTCATTGACTTCGTTTTCACGAAATGATCAAATACGGAAATGAATCTGACAGACCCCACATTTTTATCTTTCAGTTATCTGAAATTTCACCATTTGGAAATTAGTTTGGATTAATAATACCATCAAAATGCAAACACATCAATGAAAGCTAGTAAATGATCACTCACTCACCTCTCAGTGTGAATTAGTTAAATCACAACCTTCAGCTACTCAACAGAGATAAGCAAGATTAAGGAAAAGTATTGATACTGAGGGAAAAGAGAAGAAAATGACTAATATGATCACTTTGGAGCCAGATCCAGGGCAAGACAGTATAAGGACACATGTAACTTAAATACTAGGAAAGGGAGAGATGAAGAAGTGGACGATGAAAAGACTGTAGGAGAAACTTGGCTTGTGTCAAATTTTGTCTAGAGCTAAGGCCGAAGAAATAACTCTTATTTTTAACATTTATTTTCCTCCACATCCTACTTTCCTACTTCCAAGATACAGAATTAAGACTAACAATGCTAATATTAATAACACATTTAAACAATTAGTATTTACTCTTACAATGCACTATGCAAGAGTCAAGGGTTGAAAAGGCTTCTGAAGGCTGAATAATCCATAATTTTAACATGTAAAAATATACACTTAACATTATCCAATGAGAAATGTCTTCTAAGCTTCAAAAATTTGAATATGAAATTATTTTACAATGTAGTATGCAAAATATTAAGACTGGAAAGAATCTTAAAAGACACCTAGGAAAAATTCCTTTCCAGAGATACCTTTGGTATATATGCAAGTTATACGGGTTCTACACAAGTAAAACTCTGCTAACGAGACTGTATTCATATTCATCTATTAAAATATCAAGTTCACTTTGTTCATTCTGAAAAAAACAAAAACAACACTCTTCAATAGATAATGCGGAATTTTATCCTTTGTAATCGTTGTAGAGGTCATTCCAATATCAATTTTAATTCCCACTGAAAGTAATTGCTCTGACTTTTGAATTTCCTGATACTTGTGTGTAAAGTATCTTGACTGTACCTTCCCTACTTAGCTAAGTTCTTTAAAGCAAGGGACAGAGCTTTCTATTAACCTTACCTCTCTCACTGTTTATACATTGGACATAGTAGATACGGAGTAAACATCTGACAGATAAAAAATGAATATGTAAATGAATGAATGAATCAACCAAACAGTTAAGTGGTCAATAGCCTTCTGTTAAGACTGACTAACCCACATCAAGTTGCTAGGATTGCTTAGTTTTGCAGCCCCAGTGAGTTAGGCTGGCAGGCTATGGGAAAGGGGGTTCTTAATACACTTGTGAATTATTTGAAGAGTCAAAAGTGCAACAATTTAACATACTTAATGAATATATGTCTATCTATTTATTTGCAACAATAGTAATTCACAGTTCCTCTTGAATGCTCAGAATTTGCAAAATGTACTATACCATAGGCTGGGCACAGTGGCTCACAACTGTAATCCCAGCACTTTGGGAGGCAGAGGCGGGCAGATTGCATGAGCTCAGAAGTTGGAGACCAGCCTGGGGAACGTAGCCGAGTGTGGTGGCCTGCGTCTGTAGTCCCAGCTACTCAGGATGCTGAGGTGGGAGGATCACTTGAGCCCAGTAAGTTGAGGCTGCATTGAGCTGCGATCATGTCACTGCACTCCAATTTGGGTGACAGAGTGAGACCCTATCTCAAAACAACAACAACAAAAAACCCCAACTCCTGTAAATCATCCAGCCCAATATTAGATGCTTTGTTAAAAGCCAAAATGGATGACAAAAATGAGTGGTTATCGGTGACATCATCAGCTTGTTAATCAGCATAATGGATGTGAGAAACAGTTTCTTATTGGTTAAATTCATGGATTCAAGAACACTGAATTGGCTTAAATATTGCAGGGGAACCCAATACCCACACATAACAGAGCATAACCATCTAGTATGAGTTGTGGCTGGTATCCCTGGAGGTGGTATCCAAGGCTTAATCCCTAAATGACCCTATAATAAACCACAGGGTCAAAGGATACACGATGGTCTGGTGCTGAGTGCAAGTTTGCAGAAACTTGCCCATAGAATGTTGTCTGCCTCCAGCAAACCTTTCAGATAAAGTATGGACACTGCACTAAAGGACAGAGAACTGGGCCTTCAGCATATTGGTCAATTTGTGGACCACTTCCTAATTGCTTGCCAATAAATGTTTAATAAATGTCTTTCTGATACTTGCCTTCAACAAGATCTGGTAGATAGAAGGTAGAAGAGTAGTTAACCATCATTGACCTCCAACAACTGGTGACTATTATCGATGAACAAGACCCTGGTAGTTGGACATGACCAAATTGCTCAGATAAGCTCACAACACGTATGTACAAGGTGCTGACATGTAAAAATCCATCACACACAGCAAAGAAGAAAATCTGTATCAAACCCATGGACAAGTGGGGTATAGATAGGAAGGACTTTTCTGCTTTTGCTAGTGAACACACGGCACCTATAGGACAACTGTGTCTCCTTCGTGAAAAGCAACTAGAAGCCAAGCTGTGCACTAGTTCAGGATGACCAGTCGGCTTTAACTACTTGGCAATTCAAACTGACTTTCGGTGGTTGAAGAGCTGTGATTGGCAGTGCTAAGGGTCAGGTGGGACACATTTCCACACATAAGCAACGATTCTCTCTTGTGCTGTCAGAGGTTAAAACAAGAAGATCTCCATTCCCATGCAAACTGGCTGTGGACATACTTCCTGAGCCCAAACTACAGCAGCACTTTTCAGACTGAGTGCAAGAGCAAAGGGAATTTCCTATTTCTTTTTTTTTTTTTCTTTTTGAGACGGAGTTTCACTCTCGTTGTCCAGGATGGAGTGCAGTGGCATGATCTCGGCTCACCGCAACCTCTGTCTCCTGGGTTCAAGTGATTCTCCTGCCTCAGCCTCCCAAGTAGCTGAGATTATAGGCATGTGCCACCACGCCTGGCTAATTTTGTAATTTTAGTAGAAATGGGGTTTCACTATGTTGGTCAGGTTGGTCTTGAACTCCTGACCTCAAGTGATCCACCTACCTCGGCCTCCCAAAGTGCTGAGATTACAGGCGTGAGCCATCACACCTGGCCGGAATTTCCTATTTCAAAACCCATTTAACTGCACAATTGAGGAGCTTCCACCTATTTTTCAATTGCAAGTGATGAATCTGCAATATAAGGACACGCTAAGAGGCAGGCATCGAGAGAAGAATCTAAGAGAATTCCATCAGCGTCTTCTAAGCAATGAAGATGCTCAATGCAAATTATCTAACTGTGGACTGACATCGAATCAGCAGTATCTGTCTGTGTGAAAAGATATTTTCAAAAGTGAAATACGTAAAATCTATCTTATTACAAATCAGCCTTAATAAACATTTGCAATCAATGTTGGTGATGGGAACACTCAGTCTGAACTCCAATTAAATGAAATGTTATTATTCCCCCACCACAAATTATTTTATTTTTCTCATTAATAGACCTGTATTACAAAAAAAAATGTATTCCAGTGTCAATAAAAATTTTGTGGAAAATGTCTTTTTCTCATTATGTAATCATCTCATGAGTACCTACATACCTCGATTTGGTCTCTTTGCCCATGAAGCGTAATAAACTTACTATCTGATCTGTTACAGAAAAAGTGTGCTGACCCTACCTATAGGCTCTATTAGAAAATGAAGATTTACTGGTACCAATATGTAAATATATGACATACTGCTTTTGTAAAAAGCAATTTTTAAGGCAATATAATTCTATGCATGCAAAAAATTCTCTTAAAATATCTATTTGCAGTTGTATGCTTGTAGACACACACACAAGAAATGTGTGGAAGGAAATATTAAACTGTGGACAGTGGCTGCTTCGTGCAGACAAACACTCCAACCCACAGTCTGTTCTTCAGTGACCATGGTTACATTTAAAACCTAAATCAGATTTGGTTGCTCCCCTGTTCAAAAGCCCCAATGGCTTCTCATCACACTTCAAAACAAAACAGCTGCCCGCCTTGTCAGAGACTGAAGGTCCCAAAGCTCTGGCTCTTACCCCTCTCCAACCTCCTTCCTGCAGCTCAGGAAGTCCTTGCTGTACTGGCCTCCCCGTTGTTCCTGCAAGCATTTTCCTCCATCAGGACATTTGTTCCTGCTGTTACCTCCAGCTGAAACATGGATTTTGACAGAGTCACAGGCTCCCTCTCCCTCCCCAGGCCTGTGATCGGATGTCACCTTCTCAGGGAAGCCTTCGTTGGTCACCTTATCTATCCAATGCAGTATTGTTTTTCTTTTTATCATTAACTGCTTGCTAGCTGACATTGTTATACACTTATTTACTATTTGTCTTCCTCTATGAGGGTGCACGCTGCTTCATTCTCTATGTCCCCACAAACTTGAAGAGCACCTGAGACACAACGGGTGCATGTCTTTCATTAGTTAGGAAGTGAATTAGTGAAAAGAGGCAAGTGAGGAGATGGAAATTCTAGTCTTCTTAGCAATCTTTGTTACAATGGGAATGTATCTGTGTACTGTTTATAAAATTAAGAGAATAAAAAAGTAAAAAAGAAAAAAATTAATGATTTTAAAGATTTTAGAAAACAAAATTGTTGGCCGGGCGCGGTAGCTCACGCCTGTAATCCCAACACTTTGGGAGGCCGAGGAGGGTAGATCATGAGGTCGCGAGTTCAAGACCAGCCTGGCCAAGACGTGAAACCCCATCTCTACTAAAAATACAACAAAATTAGCTGGGCATGGTGATGGGTGCCTGTAATCCCAGTTACTCGGGAGGCTGAGGCAGAGACTTGCTTGAACTCGGGAGGCGGAGGTTGCAGTGAGCTGAGATTGTGCCACTGCACTCCAACCTGGGCGTCAAGTGCGAGACTATGTCTCAAAAAAAACTAAAAAACAAAACAAAACAAAACCAAAATTGTTTCTCGCTCAGTTCCCGTTCTATCAGCGTATTGAAGCTCTTTGTAACTTGTTTTTGAAGCCTTTTTTACACTGTATCTTAGATACTGACAACAGCAACAAGTAAAAGTGAACTGAAAACAGAAATGGCAAAAAGCCCTTTATTTCGACATTAAAGATTTGGAGGTACAGTTTGCTGTACAGAAGTTTTCACCCCTCCATAATTTCACCAGATATAGAGTGTGCATCCCTGACATTGAAACTGAAGGCTTTATGGTTTCATCTTCTAAGATAGATTCCCAAAGAGAGTTGGTTCACCTGAGTCCCAGGGGGCTGACAGTGGACAGTTTAAAACATTGATGAATCTTTATTACTATAAAAGGGTTCGATTTAGGCTAGCCAACATGTAGGTCTTTTTATGTCCTAGAACCCAGTGACTTCCCGTCTGTCTGTAATGGCATGAAGGCAGGTGACTGTAGAAGATCCTCTCGCACTAGCGCACACAGAATGTTTTCTTGCACCCGGGCCCTGCCTGGACACCCCTGCCTGATGGCCTGCACCACTGAGCGAAAAAACCTCTCCGTCCCCACCAGGGTGCCTTGAGTCAACTAGTGCTGGCCCCTCACCCCCTTCTACTTACCCCCAACCCCGGAGGCTGTCGACGCAGGGGGGCAGTGTTCTAGAACATAACACACCTGCTTCCGAGGACTAGCACACTCCCAGCAACACGGGGATTTTAGGCCATGCCACACTGTTTGCTACCAGCTTTTTCCTACTTAATTTACATTTCCATGTCATTATTATTCAAAAGCTTAAAAAATACACAAGGTGAAAACTGGAAAGATGGAGAATGTAAACCTCAGAACAGGATATTCTTAACTACCAAAGAATTTTACACATCTATTGTTTTATATTAACTTTTGAGTCAACATTTTAAAATAAATATTTTGAAAACACATACTAAGGCTAATGGAACATAAAATACAGTTTCTTGTCAAATTTAATATATGTTCAGAAAGCCAAGATATAAATAGCAGGCCAAAAACATAAAATTATTTTCATTCTTTTTGTGAAACAATTTTGGGGAGCGTATACTCAAGGAAAAGGTATGTAACATGTCTGTGATGATTTCAAACGCTACCATGACTTCTCCACCTTCAAAGAGGCAGTTAAAACATTTGTAGAGCAGAGAAATCATGCAGAGAGAATGCGTTCTCACTCAAATTTTAACCTAATCTTTAGGTAAAGACGGTCAAAGTTCAAGATTTCTTCAATTTTGGTTGCTGGAACCTATTTGTGCTTATAACTGTGAAGTGCAAAATTTTTTATTGTTTTGACTTTTAATAAAATGATATGGTTTATTATAATTACAATTAAATTATGAATAGGAGTAAACCTTTTCAAGTGATGCTTCAAGCAAAATAAGTACAAGTTAAACAAGGCTTGTTACAAATGATCAAAAATGTTTAAATGTTTCTTCATAGTTAACACTGACCAAAGTTTCTTCAAAAATCAATATTGACAACAGATTTCTAAAAGTAGTTTTTCACACTTTCTCTATGATACAATCGATGGCTTAATCTACCTTAATTTCTTTCTTTAAATAGCCTCACTATTAAGAACCTAGGTTTTAAAAAACTCTCTATCGTATACATCTTTACACACGCTGCAGCGCCAAGACTCCAATGGAATAAGGAAAAAGACTTCACTCCCCTCAGTTATTCATACTATGGACTACTTATCCTTTTGACCTATAAGAAGGAAAAGTCTTGGAGAAATAGATTCCTAACAGACTTAACCAATAAGTCTAGAAGTTCCACAAGACAGCAAGTCATCTATTCCTAAAGAGTTTATCATTGGAATGATCAAATGCACATTCTTTAAGTAAAAAGAGGAGTAAATGGGGAAATAAGTTATGAAAAAGTTGTGATAAATTTAAAATATGGATGCACTGTTACATGTTTATTTAGCGAAGGTGACTTGGAAAAGGAGATTCACATACTTCCACTGTATCCTCCGGGTAAGTTTTCCTTCTCTTCTGTAGACGTCTCCATGTTACAGTCAACTATAAAACATGGCTCATGTTCACTCTGGGCTTCGCCTTCAGAGGAGTTTGATATTTTGGAAGTGGTACCTTTGTTCTGTGTGCTTTTCAGACCAACCGCTTCTTTCATTTCTTCAAGGCTTCCTTCCAAAGGAGTTAAATCATCATCATGTCCTTTTGGAAGAGCAGGGTCCTCAATGGTGTAAGAAAAGCCATTTCCCTCTGGGCATGCGTCTTCTTTCCCAGCCTGTCTACAACACCTTAGGGCTTCTTCAGGGGCAGAAGTCACGCAACTCGAAGTTGCACGGCCTTCACCATTTCCAGTTTTCCGAGGACTGGAGATGGTTTTTGCTGTGAAATTGGTAATGTCAACTGTTCTGGTTTTTTTGCCAACGCAGGAAAAATCAGACATTTCAAATATGCTTGTTCTCTCCTTCTTAGAAAGACTTCTGCAGCTCAACTGAGCAGGGCTTGATGGCAGCTGAGATTCAGGAGGAAGATTCTCTGAATACCTTTCCTTAAGATTATCAGGTGAAAAATAGTCATCATATGAAGACTCCCCACAGCTAAGAGCCTCCAGGGCAGGTCCCGCCACGTGCTGCAGCCTGTCTTCCGACCTGCACAGCTGCAGCCTCGGCATGATAGATCTCCTGGTGCTCCTCTTTCTCTTGCATTTTTCCTTCGGAGGTGAATGGGAGCCATGTGATACTCTTTTTCTCTTTACTGAGGAACTCCTGGGTCTTGAATGTATCAAAAGGTGGCCTTTTGTTGAAGATAAGGTAGGAGACAAACGATACTTCTCTTCAAACGTCTCCTGAGACATACCTGCAGCCTGCTTTTGGTCAGGGGTGACTACTTTACCTGCAATATTTCTTTGCAAGTTTATTTCTTCCTTTGAAAGATTACTCAGAAATTTCTGAGGACTTGATTTATCGAGGTGAGTGAAAGATGGTGATGAATGAATATTATTTGCTTTCAATACAAGTGAAGAAATACACACATCACTTTTAATGTCATTAATGGATCCTTCCAACTTCCTTTCCTGATTTCCACATCCTGAGTTTCCACAAAGATCATCAAAAGATGAGTGTAAGCCACCAGCAAAGTATTCATCTGGAAAACATTAACGGAGAGCTAACTTTTAAAAGTGGTTTAAATTATTCTATATTCAACTTTCAGTTGACCAATAAAACAACTTTTAAAGTACAGCTATTAGTTAAGAAGACTATTAACCACACTTGAGTTCTTCTCATTTCCACTTAAGGGTACATTTTAGGCCAGTATTTTTAACTAGAGAACCTGGGCTTTGATGGGTGTATGGGATAGCAGTGGGGATAGAGAAGAGGTGTAACAAACTTCTAAAAATTTTAGGCAAATTTCCATATGCATGTGCACATTTTCCAAAAGAGCATCCATAGTTTGTCACTAAATTTTCCAGGAGATCAATAATTCTAAAACCTAAGAACTACTGTTGTAAGATCTAGGGAAAGTTCTAGACTTGCATGAAACATTCCCTCAATGAACACAGCTCACCCTTACCTTCCCTGTCTTCCAGTAAAGTCCTCGTATTACACTGATATTCAAAAGTGAGCCATTTGGTAGGCTTTAATGTTTCAACTCTTATATGGATTACTCATTTCCTGAGAGTAATGCTAAGCTGCTGCTACCTCCTAAATATTCTATACTCCTCTGTACCCTCTGGGCCTTCCCCTTTCCTCCACACTTTATTCTGGGTAAATACAATTCATCCTTCCAAACCCACCTGGGTTGTCAACATCCCTGGGACCCTCCCACTGCCCTTGCCAGCTCTCCCTGGCCTTGCCCCCTCTGCTACACACCATCATGCATCATACTGCCCCATGGTTACGTGGGCATCTGCCCGTCACTGTGCTATAAGCTACTGGAATGAATATGAAGAAGTCTCTAGTCCCGTGCTGGCTCCCTCAATAGGGGCTCAGCACTTGCTGGTGGAGGGCCTGTGTTTTGTAGAAATCACTCAATCTGGAGGTCACGTAAGTGTTAGAACTCTCTGTCTGAAATCACTGAAGTTCTACTTTAAAAAGGAAGAACACAGGTAACCACCAAAGCTTCCCTTCCAACTGTGCCCCAGGTGTCTTCAAGGCAGTAGTTGGAAATAAGGTCACTTTTAATTTTAGATGCTCAATATATCTTATTCAGCACCTAAAATTGTTTTATGTTTTATCACACTTTTCAAAAACCCGATAAGCAATGTGACATGTCACTAAGAGTGTAATCTGTGATGTCAGACTGCCTAAGTTAGAAGCTTGGGTTTGCCATTCACAAACCACATGACCTTGGACAAGCTGTTTGACCTCTGTGTCCTGGTTTTTCACTGGCAAAATGGGATGGTGATGGAACCTACCTCTTAAGGCTAATGGGAGAATAAATGAGATAACAGTGAATAAGACACTTAGAGGAGTGCCTACAACAACAAAAATGAAATCAATGTTAGCTATTATTATCACTTGTTTCCAACTTCTAGGAAATAAATGTAACAAGTGTAAAATAAAAAGATGGAGACTGTTTAAGAGAAATGGGTAAATAATTCCAGCACACAGAGGTGAGAGTACAAGGATTAACCCTGCGCTGAAAGGAGGCTTTGTTTGAAACTTCTAATATCTTGATGCCATCTTGCGCTTTGTCATTGCTGTGGCTTTCATGATAAATTTTCCATAACATCTCAAGCACTTTTGAACATAGTACTTTCAGGGATCACTGCTACTTACTTGAGCCCCACTGGGGACTAGGTGAAGAAACTGTAAGAAATTTGGTACGAAGAAGATATGACCATGAAAAATTACCATCCTAAGTGGAACTAGGGCTCCCACATTACAAACATGTATGTGCGTAACATGGAACTAACTGCACTAATTCCTACCAGTGTTCTTTCTGCTTCTAATTAGAAATCCTCTATTTATCTCCTCAATTGACGATCTTTACATACTTCACTGACCCCGTTCAATAACAGGTTCCTTGTGTTAATTATACATTGTGTGAAACAACATTTCCTTAGCTCTGACCTCAGTTCTATGTAGTTTAAACTGCATACAGATTAGTTCATATACGTTCACAATAATTTTTTAAATAGAGCAATGGATTCTGTAGCAAGAAAGCAAATGCCTAGGAAAAAAAACCTATAGGAACCAAAAAGGAAGTTTAACTCATGCCTTAATTTTATTATAATACCTAATTTCAGGGGGAAATTTAGAAGTTCTAGTTTTAACTAATTATTTTACTCATCAGAAGTTGCTACATGAAATTCTAAATCAGAAAATCATATTATTCTCAAAACTTAAACATATCACAGAAAGGAAAATAAAAATTTTACCTGAACACAAAGTATCACGTGAAATGTTCAAAGGTGCTTCACACAGAGAGTTACTTGGATTATCATGAGACTGCTGAATCATTTGGGAAGCTAAAAACAGGACCAAGACACTGCATTAGATAAAGTTTCAGTATTTCTTAGCAGATGAAGCCAGCAGGAAGTCCTCCTATTAATCATAGGTGATTCTATTAAATCCTATAATCACAAAGTTAGAAGGGATCTTAAAGTCAACTTGCCTGAATCTAATCAGAAGCTCAACAGAATTAAGTGAACATTTCCAGTCTGTTCTAGTCTTCTTATTTGATAATCATGGATTTTTCTTCAAGGATGCTCATCATAGTTACCTCTAAAACTAGAGCACTGCTTCCCAACCAGAGGTGACGTTGGGGTCCCAGCAGATATTTGGTAATGTCTGGACACATTTTTGGATATCGCCAGTGAGGGAGAGCAGTAGGTACACTGCTAGTGTTAGTGGGGAGAGGCAGGGATGCTGCTGAGCTTCCTACCACACACAGGGCAGTGCCCCCAACAAAGAATTACCCAGACCCAAATGTCAGCTGTGCTGGGTTGAGAAATCCTAGAGGTTTCATAGAAAACACTTAGGATGTCAATGACTTAACAAATAAGATCGTAAGTATTATCTTCAAAGGCGGTTCATACAATAGTCAAGAAACAAAAGAAATGTTTGGATCTTATATCCAAAGATATTTTTTAGAGACTCAAAAGGATACTTTTCTGAGAAAACTTCAGCAAAAAAAGAGAATAAACCAAGATAAGGAAGGGAAGCACACATAAAATTTTCAGTTAAGTTTTAAACTGTACTGGACGCAGTAAAGTAGCAGAATTAACACTGCCAAGTAATAGAAAAAGTAAAGTTTAAGGCAAATTAGTTTATACACATAATTGCACACTGAAACAATTTGGATGTCCACCTGGGACACAGCTAGTTATCTACCTCAATGTCCATTCTCACTTCTTCTTAACAACAGAACTTTGATTTTATCAGGACAGCAATGCATCCCAGTCAAGACTACATTTCAGTCTTGCTTGCAAAAGGGGTGGCCATATGACCACATTCCAGCCAATGGAATTAGACAGGAATATTGGATAGACGTCTGGTAAGGCTGTCAAAAGGAGATGGCTTAGCTGGGAGGCACACACATTTTGCAAGAAAAGCCAGGCAGGTACAACAGAAAGATGGGAACCTAGTTTCTTAAAGACACCATGGAATGGCATCCCAGCCCTGGCTGCCTACTTCTGAACTAGGCAAGACAGAGAAAGGCAATTCTATCGATTGTAACACATTGGTTTTTGTCTTTGTTATATGCAGCCGAAACTAACCTTAACTGATACATATGGACAAAGGACATAAAATTAAGCGAGGTAATAGTTGATCACATTAAAAGCTGCATTCGGTAAGTCAGTCAGTAATATGAAAAGGCACTTAAACCTGCTTCTAATCAAAAGTAACTTCAAGAACAGATCCAGTTTTTCAAGCTTCCGACTGAAAAAGGCTACAGGCTAATGCCATTCAGTTTTCCAAGTATGGAGAAAGGGGCATTCTTATAAACAACTGGTGACAATAAGATGACTCAAATTTTTTGAAGGATAATTTGACTATATCTATCAATAAGCCAGGGATCGTGGCACACACCTGTATTCCTAGCTACTTGAGAGGGTGAGGCAGAAGTACTTGAGCCCAGGAGTGCATGTCCTGCCTGCGCAACACAGGGAGACTCTATGTCTTTAAAAAATCAAATTCTGCATGTATGAATTAGTATTATTGAAATACACGAAGTACTCAGAAATACAAGGATTCACGTAGGCACATGCAGGGGTTATAACAGTAAAAAGTCGGGGTGGGAAGCTGGAAAGACTTATGTCTAGAGAAAGGAAAATGGCTTAACAAAAAAACAAGAACAACCAAACCATATGGTTAAAAAAAGAATAAAAACTGCAACACAATTTCTAATAACTGGGAAAAAAATACCCACCAATAGATTTTCAATATCAAAACTGTAGACTACTTTGAGCATCTTAAAACAAAAATAGGTCTACAACAACTAAGCTGCAAACAAACCCTCCAGGATACTCTTAAGTAAATAAAGCGGATAATAATACATATGTCATTATCTAATTTAGGTAAAACAGAAATTACACCTCCACACAGAAACCAAACCCGTATCTTTTTCATGTATACACAGATATCTGATACACTGAAACAGATCTGGAAAAACACTTAAACTTAAAATACAGGTTACCCCCAGGTAGAAGAGTACAATTAGATGGGTATCAAGATGAACTTTTACTATTAGCTACTTTGATAAATGTTTTATTAAAATGTGAATTACACTTCAGTAATTAAAAATTTTAAAGATAAAAGAAATAATGAAAAACAAACTGATTCCTTAGATACATTAATCTAAAGCAAATTCCTTCAAAAGACATGATTCACGGCCAGGAGCGGTGGCTCACGCCTGGATTACAGTCCCAGCCGTTTGGGAGGCCGAGGCGGGTGTATCACCTGAGGTTAAGAGTTTAAGACCAGCATGGCCAACATGGTGAAACCCCGTCTCTACTAAAAATACAAAAAAACAAAAAAAAATTAGCCAGGAGTGGTGACAGGCGCCTGTAATCCCAGCTACTCGGGAGGCTGAGGCAGTAGAATCACTTGAACTAGGGAGGTTGCAGTGAGCCCAGATCGCGCCACTGCACTCCAGCCTGGGTGACAAATGCAAAACTCCATCTCAGAAAAAAAAAAAAAGACATGATTCATTTTTTTTTAAAAAAAAAGAAAGAAAAAATTCCAAAGATAATAGAAATTACAAAGGAGCTACAACAAATAGGATTTTAAACTTGAAGAATACTATACACCCAACATATGCTTCAAAAATCTTAATGATGCATAAGATTTTCTGGAAAACAAAGCCAGCCATGAAATAAGTCAAAATGTGTTACTACCAGGAAACATTAAAATATCTAGGCAAAGAAAAAAGAAGCTTTCCACCATAATTGAATCGGCTATTTGCATAATTTTCATTTTACAAACTAATTACTTACAGGTGGGGGAAAGATTTTCCCTTTTCTCCTTCATCTCTTGTAATCTCTTCTCCATTGCGCTGTGGTGCCTACTATTAATTTCAATTGTGGGAGTATATATTAATGAACCATTAGATTCAAATAAGAGAATAGGTACATCATCATCTGAAAATAAACAAAAAATCCACTTTAAGACCAAAAAGTGCCTTCATACTTCAGGAATGTGATTCCTTTTAAAGAACAACCCCCCACACCCCGTTTTCCTTCTTCCCTTTCAACATCATTACCTACTCCTGCTAATATTCTACCTCCACCACCTCCACAGGCAGTGATGTTGCTGCTACAGCTGCTGGCTCACATCTGCTGAGCAACTGCCCTCACCAAGCACTGTGCTAAGAACAATATATGCATTAGTGCATCCAACCTCAAATCCAAACCCAAATCAGTATCCCCACTTGAAGACAAAGACTGAGACACAGAAGTTAAAAGTTGTAAAGCTGGAATGCAATTTAGTTTCTGTTTCTTGTCTCAGGTTTCAGAAACTGCCCCCATGAACCATCACTCCTACCCTCAAACACACTCACAGACCCAGACATGAACTTGACTGCATGAAGTGGGATCAGCATGGTCCCGGAACCATGAAGTTATGAGCTCGTTTTGTGTGGGTGCAGAGTTGTGTTTTTTTCTGGAATGCTACCTTGCATATGCTCAAAGAGCCCTTCAGAACTTTGATACTCACCCCCAACAAAAAAATACCAAGAATCATTTAATATATTCTCCTTTGGGACTCTTAAGCCTGAATCACCCTTACTGTAGTTCTGACAATATACAAATGTACATTAGTTGAATCATTAATACTTTATACATATAGTTTTTAATTACGATACATATTTGGTCTAAGAAGAAAATTTTGTATCTATCATTACCATGTTGCCAAAGTATTTTCAAATACACTGTCACTGACATAGCAAAGAAGGCCAAAGTGACAAAAGTATAAAGAATTATAGGAGAGTGTGCAATATTGCTATGAGGCTAGAAAGAGAGGCCAGATCATAAAGCACCTAGTAAATTGGAGGATATGTTAAATACAGGATTTTATCCTGAATATTTTTCCTTGGGATGACACCAGGAAATTTTAAACCAGGGAGGGGATGTCCTTCTGGTTTAAAGTTTTCACCATTGTGACTGCAGCACAGAGATGAACTGTAAGGAGACAGTGGAGGGCAGCGTAAGGAGTGGCTGCAGTGGTGCAGGAGGGATGATCCAGGCATCAGGGGAGAGAGGAGGGAAGGAGAAAACAGAAGAAGTCAAACAACTATTTCAGAAGCAGGGCCATGGTCTTGATGGGGGTTAGTGTCAGGAAGAAGGAGATGTCAAGGACGATTGCACGTTTCTGGCTTGAGCTTTGACGAAGACGAGACAGCTGGTGTGAAGGAAGGATGGACACGCACCAGGTGAGGCAGCGGGAGGGCTGAGCATGAAACAAATGATGCAGGCCATGTTTCTGGAAAATTATGTGGCAGCACTATGTGGGCTAAGTGTTCTACCCAGTTCTGTCGCATTATCGTCACAGATTTAAAATAAATCTTGGCCGGGCGCGGTGGCTCACGCCTGTAATCCCAGCACTTTGGGAGGCTGAAGCGGGCAGATCACGAGGTCAAGAGTTTGAGATCATCCTGGCCAACATGGTGAAACCCTGTTTCTACTAAAAATACAAAAATCAGCTGGGCGTGGTGGTACGCCCCTATAATCCCAGCTTCTCGGGAGGCTGAGCCAGGAGAATTGCTTGAACCCGGGAGGTGGAGGTTGTAGTGAGCCAAGATCGCACCACTGCACTCCAGCCTGGTGATGGAGAAAGACTCCATCTCAAAAAAATAAATAAAATAAATCTCGACAATTCTATTTGAATAATTTCAAAACACAGAATAGAGAATCTGTGACATAGTAACATAGATTAAAACAAAGAAAACAAAAACTAGAGGAATTAATGCTTCCTAGGAATTTCTAGTGACCATAATTGCTTATCTGTAGCAATGCTGTGTCAGAATTAGTAGGAAATACTGACTTTAGACGACAGTGAAAAAGGCAAAACAGAAATACCAAAAACGTACAAAGCATCTTAATGTTTCATAATATTCTTTTTTTTTTGAGTTGGAGTCTCACTCTGTTGCCCAGGCTGGAGTGCAGTGGTGCAGTCTCGGCTCACTGCAAGCTCTGCCTCCCAGGTTCACCCCATTCTCCTGCCTCAGCCTCCCAAGTAGCTGGGACTACAGGCGCCTGCCACCACTCCCAGCTAATTTTTTTGTATTTTTAGTAGAGACAGGGTTTCAACATGTTAGCCAGGATGGTCTCTATCTCCTGACCTCGTGATCCGCCCGCCTCTGCCTCCCAAAGTGCTGGGATTACAGGCGTGAGCCACTGTGCCCAGCCCATAATATTCTTATATATAAAAATATTATTTAACAATATATATACATAAGAATACATATATTTTTTTCTAAGACATCTTGTTATAGAACATAATATTCTAAAGTATTTTCCCAAATCACTAAAATAATGTATCATCTAAGATTTGCCTATTCAGGGTAACAAAACAAAAATGCCAATTAGGTAAAAATACAAAGTTATATATAAAGAAGAAATAAATAGGTATTTATTTCAATAATGCTTATTAGCCAAAGTTTGCTTTTCTTCTGAAATCATTCCCGAAAATAAAAAGTTCGACCACCTTGATGAATGGTTAAGACTGTGGTCGATTAGCTCAAGCTGCGTGGCTCTATTATGGCTCCCAGCCAAGTCTCCCGCAGGCTCCTGACATTTTGTTTTCTCCTTCATAGAGTAAAGCTATCATAGTCTTCATCAGCTCTCTCATGCTGAACCCCACTAGTCATCATGCAAATTAAACAAGGTGTATGGACACAAATGCAAAGAACTGTATTATATTTCTTAGCTTACCTAGATTTGTTTTTTGCCTTTGTAGCTCTTTAGCCATTTTCTCAAATTTCTTCTGAAATCTCTTATCATTTTCTGGTGTTTTAAAATTAAAATCTTTGGGCTGCATACATTTACGCTGTGCAAAAAGAACACAAAAATTAATGCTGTACTGCAACTGCTTAAGGCAGGAGAAAAAGCCCTTTCGCATACATTTCTGATACCTTTTATAACATCAGTAATAAAAAATTCTAAAAGAGGTGTTTCTTGCACTGTATGTGAACTGGCAATATTTATTTTTTTGTGCAGTTATAAAGAAAATGGACAGAATTTAAAAGACTGTATAAAAGGCTCTGTATTATGCTTTGTGAGACATTTTCATGATCCTAGCATTCTTAGTTTCCATGAAAGTTTTTAGCCAGTCTCTTTCGATTTTTTGCTGTTCTTACCACCAAACCAGCCCAATCTAGTTCAACTTTGTGTATCAAAATGGTGAACTGTTTAATTGCCACGGCCCCTGAAGTTGCAAGTTACGTCACTTGAGCATGCCCAGGTGAACCAAGCATGTAACCACGGGCAGAACCTAAGCACTTAGACCAAGGAACGGGGGCCAAATTAAGGAGTAAACACCTGATGGCATAATCCATGATCCAATCAGATTGAGCCCTGGCATCACCTTGTGACACAACCCAGTCAGATGACACCTCCCAGCATCACCCCATTGCAAGATCCAATCAGATCACACTTTGTTTTCTCTGCCTATGAAACTGCCTGAGCCCCCACCTCAGGGAGGCGGATTTGAGAGTTTCCTCCTGTCTCCTTGCCAGGCAACTTGCAATAAAGCCTTTCTTTTCTCAAAACAAGTGGCATGATCTTGGACTCTATGTGGGTTGGCAGCACGCCCACTGCCTGCTTGGTAGCACTATTCTCACGTCATCCTCCCTGCAAGACCACAACACAGTAATAAAACAATTTCTATTTTATAATTACCAAAGAAAAGAACCATGATTATGCTTGCCCTACCGTCATTAAATCACAGTAACTCCAATCAGCCAGTAAAACCCAAAAACTGTAACTACACTCACAAACACATGAAACCCCAGGCTGATATCCACAGGAAGGTCTTGGGTTAACTCTACTCTTAACCATCCTCAGACAGGGGAAATGTTTCCTTTGAAACACACCTCACGTTCCCAGCCTTACCCACCCCACTTTCTGTTCTTGGAACTGCCCATTGACTTCCCGTCTTTAGCCCAGCCATCAGCACAAATACACATACTGAACTTCACATCGATTTTACCTATAACACTTTTATGCCTGACTTCTTTCTTATAGGACCCCAGGGAAATTTAAGTCATCTGTCTAGGTTCCTTCGTTTTCAGCGCGAAGCTACCAGCCCAAATTTGCTTACATGGGTAGCTAGCTACCCACGTAAACGCTAACTTCTTTTGCTCCAGTCTCATAGAAAGAACTTCTTTTAGCTACTCAAGGCTAATGCCTATACTGGGGATCTTGCTCTGTTAGTTATTCACTCATTTATTGACAAAAAACATGACTTTATGTCAGGCGCTGGTCTTGCAACCTAGAAAGATCCTTGTCATCATGGAGCTTGTATGCTGGTAAGGAATGACAGCAAATAAACATAATAAATAAGTAAATTGTATGTGTCTTGGGAGGTTCATTTCAACAGGCTTGGAACCGGCCTGCACTGCTTTCACTAAAGTACCTGCATGACACAAAATGTACTAATTAGACAGTGGTGCTTTATAGCCACAGGTCCGGGAAGTTTGGGGACAGATTGTGCTGGCCTGTCAACATTGTTTATGAGTAGTGAGATGAAGGATTTGCCTGGAGGCTCTGCCAGTGGGGCTGGTTCATATAGACTCAGGGTCAGCAGTATACAAGAAGACACTCCATCTTGCGCTTCCTGGTTCTCAGGTACGGTGCAGGTTGGACACATTGTTATTTTGGGGTCCTGTGAATCTTCTCTAGCAACTGTATTCCATCAAACTGCCCACATTACTACAGTGTGTTAGGAGGAGCCAGTCAGCACTGCAGATGAAAAGAGACTTGCATAGTTGGCACAAGTGGGAAGGAACTGCTGGTATAAACGGGTGGCAGGATAGGTCTCACAGAGAAAGTAACATCTGCACAAAGCCATAGGGAGGCTGGAAAACGGGTCATGTGTAAGGATTTTGGGGGAAGAATGTTCCAGACAGAGGGAACAGATAACGCAATGGCTCTGAAATAGAAATACGATTGGCATGCTTGAGGAACAGCAAGCTGGGCAGGCAGGCAGCAGACAGGGTGAGGGGGGAGACAGAGGCACAGAACCATCTCAAGGACCCAAAAGAATAAGGCCTTGAGTCGGGTTTAATTTGCAATTACATTTGGAAAAGAGAAGGAAAGGGAAGGTTTTTAGACATGAAAATTAAAGTGGTAAAGTGTACAAGCAATCATTAATGCTTCAGATTAGGAAAAATTAAAAAGATTAGTAACATCCAATATTGGTCAGAGTATCACGAAATAGGTTTTTTTTTTTTTTTTTTTTTTTTTGAGACAGAGCCTTGCTGTCGCCCAGGCTGGAGTGCAGTGGCATGATCTGGGCTCACTGCAACCTCCACCTCCTGGGTTCAAGCAATTCTCCTGCCTCAGCCTCCTGAGTAGCTGGGATTACAGGTGTGCACCACCAGGTTGGGCTAATTTTTGTATTTTTAGTAGAGATGGGGTTTCGCCATGTTGGCCAGGCTGCTCTCAAACTCCTGGCCTCAACTGATTTGCCCGCCTTGGCCTTCTGAAGTGCTGGGATTACAGGTGTGAGCCACTGTATCTGGCCAAGAAATAGGTCATCTTGTATATGATTGGTGGAGCTGGTAAAATCAAAATGTGTATGTATTCTTACCCAGTAATTTTATCTCTAGATATCTGACTTGGAGAAATAAACTCAAATATGTGGCTTAAGTAATATACTTAGCAAAAACTGACAGTGACTAAAAGTACATGAATACCGGAAAAACAGTCACAATGTATAATGCAATACAGAAAACTGAGTAGAGTCAAAGCTACCGACATGAAATGGTCAAAACCATATTGTTAATTGGGGAAGAGAAGGCAACTCACCAAATGATACACATAAGATAGCAGAGCCCCTTCACGTCAAGCATGCATGTGTGAGTGTGTACATGTGTGTAATGTACTGAAGAAATGCCACCTAGGATACTCATCAAATTGAAAGCTGCTTACATTGAGGGAGGGCAATCAAAGAGATGTCTGTGTTTACTAAATGTTTTACAAAGAAAATATGTATGTACTACTGATGTGTTTTTACAATAAACACTTGATTTTAGCATGTCACAGGGAGTCCAGAGACTGCTGAACACTTGTTCACCTATAATCAGGTAAGACTGAAGAAGTTCATCTATCACTGCATGGGCAAACTATGGCTTGTCTGAGATGAAATGTAACGAAGAAATATCATTTACTATTTTCAGGAAATGTGAAATTCACAGTTATTTCTCCTCTAGTCTACAGGAAATGTAGTTCAGTTTGGAGAAAGTCATCAAATCCTCCCTCTAACAGAGAATCTCATGTGAAAACAAGCTGGCTGTGATGTTTCAGAGTAAAGTACCCTCAGATAAAGAAATCACAATTAGAACTTTTACATAAATAGAAAGCCGAAAAGGTTGTGGTTAAAATGTGAATTCTATCTCAAATGAAAGCAATGTCTTTAACTCTACAGTTTGCCCTCTGTATCTGCAAGTTCCAGATCTATGGATTCAACCAGTCGCGATTGGAAATATTCAAAAGAAAAAAAATTTAACACAAATTAAAAAAAAATACAGTGTAACAACTATTTACAAAGCATTCACATTGTATTAGGTATTTTAAATAATCCAGAGATTACTTAAAGTACATGGGAGGAGCCAGGTGCAGTGGCTCACGCCTGTAATCCCAATTGGGAGGTTGAGGCAGGAGAATCACTTGGGGCCAGGAGTTTGAGACTAGCTTGGGCAACATAGAAAGACCCTGTCTCTACAAACAATTCTTTCTTAGGTATACGGGAGGATTTGTGTAGGTTACATGCAAATACTATGGCATTTTATATAAGGGACTTGAGCATCAGTGGATTTTGTTATCTGTGGGGGTCCCGGAACTGATCCTCTGTGGATAATGAAGGACAACTGTATTTGTACAGCAGATTTTCCTAATAAATGACTTTGCACACTTGGATGTAGGTCCATCGGACTTTTGAGATTTATCTGGCTAAACAGAATGCAGGTATTTTGGCTACAGATATAACAAACTTCATTCTGAAGTAATTACCAAAGCACCTAAATGTTTGCTTGTCTCTTGGCACCTTTTAGTCTTCCCATGGCCAACCACAGGCTTTTCCATTTCATACAAATGCTATCGAAGAAGTCATAGGATAAAATAATCTCTGTAATTCACTTAAAAATGCTATGTGAAAAGAACAATATCATCAATAGCATATTTAAGACAACTCTTGAATATATTTCTAGAAGTTTTATTTTCTAGAAATAAAAAATAAAAACGAATAAATTCCTAATTGCCATTATCTACATTGAAATCATGTACTTACTTTTTTTTTAATTAGGCTTGATAAGTGTTCATTCATATTAGCTGCAGGGAACAATGATTCATCAATGTGTGCTCCAGCTGTCCTGCATCTGTATAATTAAATTAAGGTAGTCTAATGAGTATTTGCTTCTATTATACATTGACACAGCACTAAATCTGCACATGTATTAGCAATTTAAGAAATCCATAGCTAGGTCATTTTAACAGACTTTTAAAAAATAAATACAACTGCAAATACAAAAGTCAGTATAAATCAAACTTCCCAAAATCATCTCTATCTGGTATTTAAGTATAACAGAAGCAAGAGGCAGGTAAAGGAAGTACAATTTTTACACAACAATTTTTGACTTGTAGCATACTTCAAAATTATTAGTGCATGGTACTCATAAAGCTAAGGGTAAATGCTATTAAATGGATCATTTAATAGTAAACAGGCCATAAAACAGATAATTCAGAGGTAGAAGGGACGTAAAGAAATTGAAGTCAGAGGACATCTCTTTCCTCCAAAATTGGGTTGTCCTTTTTGTGTTTCTGTCCAGACACCACCATCAGCCCCAAGGCCCAGGTGTGCAACCAATGCTCCGCATTGCCAAGCCTCCTCCTCCTGCCCTGTGGACACACCTGCCATTTCTCCTGTCCACCTTCGTATCTCTGGATTCCTGTGACCCTTATCTCCTTCTTAGCATTCTGTCACTCAAGTCTAAATAATTATGATTTTCTAAATGATCTCCTGCCCTACTATTTGTTTCTCCTCTTCTAATTCACTCATACATTCCTGAAATATTAATCTTAAATTTCTTCCCAACCTAGATAAAAACCTTCTGTCACTCCCATGTTTAGAGCATATTCTCACTCATCTGCTGTTTAAGTGTTTTTATAAGGCCTCTACTCACCTCTCCAACTATCCCTCACAGGCCTATCACCGTTCAACATCTAACACACGAACAGTTATTTGAAAAAATAAAGTACACTGCAATAAAAAACACATATCCATATTGATATAGAAATTTCTACAAAATATATTAGGAATAAAGGAAGTTTCAGAAATATGTGCCTCTGTACGGCACAGTATGGTCTATGCAATGTGGTAAGTGACACTAGGGTAGTGAATGTCATCCTGGCATCCCTGACCCCCTTCTGAGGGTGTGTAAAGTCAATACTATCTTTATAACAACACTAACGTGTGATTTTCCTTTCTCATCTCGCATTATCCCCTCAGTATACAATGCAGTGGAATTTTCCGAAGCAAAACGACATGTGCCACCCCAATACACTGAATGCAGAGGCAGATATGAGAAGGCAACTGTCTTCTATTAAGCCAGGCATCAGAGAAATCTGCAAAAATGTACAAATTTAAAAAAGAACACAGTGCAGTAATTGTAACAAGAGAAGTACAACCAGGCAGAAAAGCAGCAACAGGTTGCATAACGAGTATGGTTCAGAGAAAGCTTCAGGTCAGAGATGATCACCAGACTCAACTCTGACAAGGAGGCAGATGTGGGAGGACACAGATCTTCCATCTGGAAGCAGAGCATAGACTCAAGCACAGTGCAGCAAACAGGGTGACATTGTGGGGAAAACATACACCATTTGTATGACTGAGTGAATGAATGCAACTTAGGAGACTAGCAACAAAAAAAGAATTCATGTGATTCCAAGGGTTGTACTTTCTAAGCTAATGAGCTTGGACCCTGTCCTGTGGGTCTGGGGCATGGGGACAGGTGTGAGGGAGGGGTCGTGGGCAGATCACTGGTCCAGGAGGAGGAGGCCAGTCAGGGAATACTGCAATAACTGTGGCAGGAGACGCTAAAGATTCAGCAAAGGCAGTTGGGGACTAAGATGGGGAGGGGGAATCCTTAACTGAATAATATTTAGACAATAAAAATGGAAGGTTTTTGACCTCTGGTTAAATCTGGTGGACTTAGCACATGCTTTTCTCTTGACCCCCAAAACCCCAATAAAATGATAGTAAAGGAAAACAAAAAGACATAAACCAACAAAAATAAAGAGTAGATAAGAGCTGTCTGGGGAAATGAAATCAAACAAATAAAAAAAAAAAGGGAAACCCAAGCCTGGCAGCTGGGGCGGGGGAGGAGTCCATCTGGAGCTCAGAACCTGGAGCTCAGAACCCCTCAAGGGCAGGAGGCGCAGGTGAAGCCACAGCAGTCTGGGGTGGGGCAGGGGGCAAAGTGCAGAGGGCAGAGGGTGGAAGGCTGAAAAGAGGGAGCGACTCTCCTTCTCTCCTTGCCTGTGCCCACTCACTGCCACCCTGTGTCCAATGGGGGCACTGGGTCCATGTTCACATAAGTGGAGCCTGAGAAGCTCTGGACTCAAAGGACACCAGGCCAAGCTCAGGGAAAACAAAAAGTTTTCCATGAAAGGAAATATATTCATGGTTCACTCTGAGATTCAGCCTAACACACAACTTCCACATTCATAATGATGTAAACATAAACTACCGATTTAACCAAAATGTATCATGTACACTGCAATCAAGAGTGGAAAGAGCCTGCACATGAATGTGTCCATGCAAACAGCAGATGAGTGTATGTGGGAGTGAGGTGCACTCAGAGGGGCGGATTAAAAACGAAATTCTCACTTCCCTATCAGAAAGTCACTAGATAATACCTGAAACTGAAAAACCGAAACAGCAATACGGCCACAGTATTTAGAAATATGGAGGTCACCGAACAGCTTATCTGCAGAAGCAGCCACAAGTGTGAAAGGAGCTGCCTCTGGGGAACAGGAATTGAGGGTGAAAAGGGTCAAGAAAGAGACCATTGTTTTTCATGATAAGCCTTGTAATATTTAGTTCTTCTGTGTGTGTGTGTGTGTGTGTGTGCGTGCGCACGTGTCCATACAATGGAACATGATTCCACCATAAAAAGAAATGAAATTCTAATACAGATGACAACATACTGAACCTTGAAAACATTATGCTAAGAGAAAGAAGCCAGACATGAAGGCCGTATATCATATGATTCCGCTTATTGGAAATGTCCAGAAAAGGAAAATCCACAGAGAAAGAAAGTAGACTACTAGAGGCTGCCTTGGCTGGCGGGAGAATAGGGGATAGGGCTAAGGGGTGCAAGTTTCATTTTGAGGTGACGAAAATGTTTTTAAATTGTGGTGACGGTTGCACAACTCTGTGAATCCAGTTATATGCCGCATAACAACCTTTTGGTCAATGACAGACCACATACACAACAGTGATCACATAAGATTATAATGGAGCTGAAAAATTCCTATCGCCTAGCGACATACTGATGTTCCTAACCCTGTGTAGGCCCAGGCTAATGTGTGTCTTTGTGTCCTAGTTTTTTTTAAGTTTAAAAGTAAAAATTAAAATTAAAACATAGAAAAAGCTGATAAAGATATAAGGTATTTTTATACTGTTGTACAATGTATTTTAAGGCATTACAAAAGAGTAAAAAAATTTAAAAAATTACAAAGTTTATCATGTAAAAAAGCTATAGTAAGGCCAAATAAAAAAAAAATACAGTATAGGCGAGGCGTGGTGGCTCACACCTGTAATCTCAGCACTTTGGGAGGTTGAGGCGGGAGGTCAGTGGTTCAAGGCCATCCAGGCTAACATGGGGAAACCCCGTCTCTACTAAAAATGCAAAAATTAGCCGGGCGTGGTGGTGCGTGCCTGTAATTCCAGCTACTCAGGAGGCTGAGTCAGGAGAATCGCTTGAACCTGGGAGGCAGAGGTTGCAGTGAGCCGAGATCACGCCACTGCACTCCAGTCTGGGCGACAGAGCGACACTCCGTTTCAAAAAAAAAAAAAAACAGTATAATAACTACTTACGAAGTACTCGTATTAGGTATTATACATAACCTAGGTGTTTTTTTTCTTTTCCTCCCACCACAAGTAACAGAGAGATAGATTATTTACTTATGGGAGGAGCCGGGTGCAATAACTCCCATGTGTAATCCCAACATTTTGGGAGGCGGAGGTAGGAGGACTGTTTGAGGTCAGGAGTTGGAGACTAGTGGGGGCAACGTAGCAAGAATGCCGTCTCTACAAAAATAAAAATAAAAATAAATTACCCAGGCATAGTGGCACACGCCTGTAGTCCCAGCTCCTCAGGAAGCTGAGGCAGGAGGATTGCTTGAGCCTAGGAGGTTGAGGCTACAGTGAGCCATAAATGTGCCACTTCACTCCAGCCTGGGAGACAAAGCAAGACCTTGTCTTTAAAAAAACGTTATAGTATCAGTTAATACAGTTGCTCCAAAAAATATACATCCAGTGTAACCTAACTGTATGACGTGTATAAAGTCCATAGTACTGTATAGTAGTAATGTCCTAGGCCTTCACATTCGCTCACCACTCACTCAACGACTCAACCACAGCAACTTCCAGTCTAGCGAGCTCAATTCATAGTAAACGCCCTATGTAGGTGTACCATATTTTATCTTTTATACCATATTTTTACTCTACCTTTTCTATGTTTAAGTATTTCAGAGACACAAATACTTACCACTGTTTCACAACTGCACATGCTGTAGAGGTTTATGCCTAGGAGCAACAGGTTGTGCCACAGAGCCTAGGTGTGCAGTAGCTATGTCATGCAGGTGTGTGTTAATACACACTGTGATGTCTCCACAACAACAAAATCACCTATTCGTTTCTCAGAAGGCATCCCTGTCGTCAAGCAATACCTGACTGTATATTTAAAACCACTGAATTGTATACTTTAATTGGACAAATTGTGTAGCATATGAATTAGATCTTAAAACAATGTTGGGAAAAAAAAAACCATGAAATACCACTACACATCTGCTTGAATGGCTAAAATTCAAAAGATGGATAAATTTCAACTATTGGTGAAGACGTGGAGTGAAAGGAACACTGCTGGTGGGAATATACAGTGCCATAACCACCTTGGAAAAGTTTGGGTAATGACCCAAGAGAAATGAAAGCATACAAAGACACAAATGTAAATGTCCATTGTAACTTTATTCATAATAACCTAAAATGGCAAACTAGCCCAATCTCCATCAACTGGTGGCACCAAGCTACATGCCTACAATAGAATACTACTCAGCTATAAAAGGAAGTGAAACCACTGCTACAAACAACACGGACAGATCGCAAAAACATCACCTTCAGTGATGTCAGGCACAAAATAGTACACGCTGGATGATTCCACTGATCTGAAGCCCCAGAATTGGTGACACTAATCTTTAATGACAGAAACCAGATCTGTGGCTGCCCTGGGGTGGGAGGAGGGGGCAGGGAGGCCGACAGCAAATGGACACGAAGGAGATTTTGGGGTGATGAAAATGCTCTGTATTTTGGTTGTGGTGGTGACACAGGTATACACAAAAAACCCGTGAATGTACACTTAAAATGGGTCCATTTTATTTTATGTAAATGTTTTTATAAAGCTGATTTTAAAAAAACAAACCAACTATCTGAGCCTGCAATAATGGGGTGAGCAGAATGCTGTATCTAATAAAAGTGATGGGAAAGGGAGGCGGGTGGAAGAGAACGAGGAAGGAAATGTTTTTTAACTGTGCTTCTTTTTAAAAAGTCCCCTTAATTACCAATTTTAAGCATGAGAAGTTTTTAGCAGCTTCTTCTTACTCAAGCAAAATGTCACCGATTTACCACTATTATGCCTAAGGGAACAGCAAAAGGGGGGTGGCTGAGATGCATCTGGACGAAAGACGTAGAGGAGACCCTAGATAATCGTGTTATCAAATACACAGTATTAAAATCACCACCATCATCAGGACAAAGGTCACCCAGCTCATGAGAAGCCTCACACCAACCGTGCTGGAAAAGCCACTACCATTGCCTCCTATTGCACAACACAGAAAACCGAGGAGCAGAGAAGATCATTTGCCAAACTTTACAAAACCAGTAAGTATTCTTTAAGTTAGCAGTTTAAGGAAGGGCTTGATTCAACCCAGGAAAACGTGTGCCTGACATAGGTTATACAGTTGTGGAAGATGTGTTCTGTTCCTTTGGGAGAAGCTTCCCAACCACATATCCTTCAGAGTGATAAGATGTAAGGTGCACAGAGATGCTCTCCCTGAATTTCATCTACCTGGGTGTAACTATCATCACTCACTATGAAGAAGTAAGTGGCACTTACTGCTGGTAATGCCGTTCTGCATGCCAACAGCTATGCTTTAGCACACGTGGTAACACATTAAAGCTGCTACACTGAAACCCATGTTTACCAGGGGTCCAACCAAAATCTACTGAACAGACAAAAAAGCTTCCAGTTAGATTTCTATTTTTCTTCAGAAATGTAAAATGATAACATTATCCCACCATCTAGTGGTCAAAACGAAAAGTGTTTCAAGAGATGTCTCTAAACAGAGAACCAACTATTTGACCTGCTGCTGCCTCAGAGCCAACAGAAATCAAAGCAGCAACGTTCTCCTCGGGAAGCCGTGCTGTGATGAGCTTATTCTCCCCAGAGAGCCGATTCACTCCAGCACTTCCCACAGTACACCTGCTAGGTCGGCCAGGAACCACCGACTCTCATTCTACCCTTAGGACGATGCCTTCACCTGGGCCAATCCTGCATTCTTTATGCTACTCTTGTGCCAAACTGCCCAGCACCAGTATCTTATTCTCTAGGCCCAGTCAGTAAGTCAATTCAGGAAAAGTACATTAATCTTTTTTGTAAACGGCACTGTGTTAGTGAGGTAAAAAAGTGAATGGCATCTCCTTGAAGATTCCAGCCGCGAAGCACGCTATCCTTCACGTGTGTCCCTGACACACAAGGAAGAACACAGGAGACTCAGAGAAGTCTGCACAACAGTGCTCTGCCAGCAGAGAGCGAACTTCTGTGGTCTAGCACTAAATAACCGTAGGAAGTTAACTCAGGAGCTACTGGAGGAACCTAGAGCCCAGCAGTTGAGTAATTTGCCCAGTCCTAAATGGCTACACATCCACTGTTACACATTGATGTGATATTAGGAGGACACATCAGACCGTTCCAAACTGAGGGACGTTCCTATCACTGGTCAGTGACCTTAAACAGTGTCAAAGTCACAAAAGCCAGTGAAAGACTAAGGAATGGCTGCAGGGTGAGAAGGCTGAGGAGGCGGGAAGTGGAGCTGGCTGCTGGTAGGATAGGAATGGAGTCTGAGGATTCCGGGAGGAAAGGAGCCGTGGTAAGCCCCTAATGTCGGCCTGTGTTGTGGTTATGCAGGAATATGTCCCTGTTTCCAGCAAACACTAAATGCAGGGGGTGATGGCCTTCGGTCAGCAACCAACTCTCAGCCTAGCAAGGACAAAGCCTGTGAACCGTATTCCCCACCTAGCTGTTAGTTTGCAGTTGTTTAAAAATGATAAATTGTCTTCAACAGAACTTAGAGTGGGGGCCAAGCTGACCTTTATTTCAACTTTATGTATTCTTTCTTCAAGGTAAAAATTTCTACATCCAAAGGAAATGTCAGAATTTTATCAATTGCCATCTGATCTTAAAATGAACACTCCCAGAAGGAACCCAACAGAATGGGATTCTAGTGACACCTAGTGACCTTATGAAGTTAATGTTCACATTTTCAGTGGAAACCATGAGCTACTGCATTGGAAAGGCAGGCAGTTCACCAAGAAAGGACAGACGTGACATAAAAAATGCAGGTCAGTTTGGCTCTTATCTCTATGCTCTGCTGAAGAAAATTCAAGCTCACTAAAAGTCAGAGAAATGCAAATAAAAACTATTATTTTTCTTCTACAAATTAGAAAGAAGAACTGATAACTCACAACATTAGCAAAGGTATTGGGAAACATGCATTTTTTTGATAATTCCAGTGAGAATGGAAACCAGTACACTCCTTCCAGAAGATAATTTGGCAGCATCTATCATATTTAAATATGTAAACTCTCAGAAATGAACAGCCCACTTTGGGGATTTAAACCTATGGAAAGATTTATCACCCGCAAAAAGGTAATACATACAGAAGCTCAATGCTGTAATATTTCTAATTGAAAAAAATAACTAAGAAATGAAAAACTTCAATCACCAATAGGACACTGCTTACATAAATTACTGGACAGCTACTACAAAATATTCTTATATATATAAAGTGGGATGCATCTGCATGTACAGGCAAAAAAATGACCTGTAATAAAAAGTTGACTAAAGTGTATGGGCCGGGCGCAGGGGCTCATGCCAGTAATCCCAGCACTTTGGGAGGCCGAGGCGGGCGGATCACAAGATCAGGAGATGGAGACCATCCTGGCTAACACGGTGAAACCCCGTCTCTACTAAAAATACAAAAAAATTAGCCAGGCGTGGTGGCGGGCGCCTGTAGTCCCAGCTACTCAGGAGGCTGAGGCAGGAGAATGCAGTGAGCCAAGATTGCACCACTGCACTCCAGCCTGGGCGACAGAGCGAGACTCAGTTTCAAAAAAAAAAAAAAAAAGAAAAGAAAAGAAAAATGCCAAAAGATTAAGTTCACTTTTGAGCTTCTGAGGACCTTAAAAGTGTGCTTTTGCCAGGCACGGTGGCTCTTACCTGTAATCCTAGCACTTTGGGAGGCCAAGGTGGGCGGATCACCTGAGGTCAGGAGTTAAACCAGCCTGGCCAACATGGTGAAACCCTGTCTCTCCTAAAAATATAAAAATTGGCCGGGCACAGTGGCTCACGCCTGTAATCCTAGCACTTTGGGAGACCGAGGAGGGCGGATCACAAGGTCAGGAGATCGAGACCATCCTGGCTAACACAGTGAAACCCCGTCTCTACTAAAACCACAAAAAATTAGCCGGGCGTGGTGGCGGGCTCCGGTAGTCCCAGCTACTCGGGAGGCTGAGGCAGGAGAATGGCATGAACCCAGGAGGCGGAGGTTGCAGTAAGCCGAGATCGCACCACTGCACTCCAGCTTGGGCAAGAGAGTGAGACTCAGTCTCCAGAAAAGAAAAAGAAAACTTTGCTTTTGGATAACGAAGTTACAAGTATTATGGGGTCTGCATGAGCCCCTTGAGAAAGGCTGGGGTTAGTGGTGGGCAGAAATAGAGAGAGAGAGAAAGGGGATAGAGAATGAGTCAGGGGCTGGGCCAGCAAAGCAGAGTAAGAATCCCTAACTCTCAGCAGAACACACTACCAGTGACCATCCCCATTGTAGGGTTAGCTGAGAGGCCCTATTAGGTACAGAAATGGCTACTATTTTAATTTTGTCCATGCATCTCCATTTACTTCAAGCTTCTAGTAAAGGTCTCTGTTTCTGCACTCTCCCCTCCACATTTCTATACGACTTTTAAAATGTAGTTTTTTTTCAAATCATTTTCCCCCATGATATTTTCTCTAGTATCTCTACGCCACTTAACTAAATTTTCCTTTGTTCATAATTTGTTAGAACAAATATTTACTGAGCATCTACTATGAGCCAGATGAATGTTAGACTTACTAGAAACACAACCATAAATAAGACAGACAGGTAGCTGCTCTTGGAATCCACATTACAATAGAAAGACAAAATGCATGATTAGATACACAGACAGATAAAGCAGTCAAATGAACAAAATAAGTTTTAATAGTACACACAGGAAAAAAGGAGCTGAGACAGAGAATAACAAATAGGGCTTGAACTGTGAACTGGGGACAGAGGAAGCTCTTCTGATAAAGCGACCTTGCAATGCAACATGTATAAAGGAGCTGACTACAAAACTGGGTTTAGAATCAGGAAGACGGGGCAGAGTTCTCAGCACAGGCCAAGAACTAAAGGCAGAAAGAGTGTAGCCTTGGGGACGTGGAAGCCCAGAGCATTTGGAAGACGCAAACAAGGGAGAGGGGAGCAGCTGACAATGGAAGGGAAGGGGACCATCATGCAGCACACTGGACCTGGGTCAGCAAACTTCTGTAAAGGGGAAAGTAGTGAATGCCTTAGGCTTCGTGGGCCGTAAGGTCTCTGCCACAGGATCCAAATCTACAGCTGTAGTACAGAGGCAGCCACTGACTACATCGTCAGATGAACATGCCTGTGTTCCAATAAAACGGTATTTATGGATACTAAAATTGAATTTCATATAATGTAAATATCATGAAATAGTAAACATTTGAATTTTTTTTTTCTCTTAACCATTCTTACCTCATGGGCCATTAAAAAAAAATAAACAGTATGGCAGGGTGGATTTGGCTGGGGGATGATAGTTGGCCATTCTCTGCTATAGACCACTGAACTCTAAGCCATTTTGTCAGAAGGATAAAGCTGATCCATGTGTTGAAGTATTACAGGTAGTTAGGCATAAGCCCGGCAGGAGAGGCCTCTACCACCCACTAGGAATGTTGGGTGATAGCTCAACAATTATCACATTGCCTCTCTAAAAGTGATAAATTGGCAGCCAGAGCCAGGGAGAGGCCATTTCCTGACAGTCCACACCTGTTGTGCTAAAGTGTTAACTGAATGCAGACGCCAGGGAGAGGCCATTTCCCGGGCATGCACATTAAGAGACAAAATGGCGGAGAAACGGGAAGAAAGCTTCAGATGGGCACCCACACAACTTCCTAAACAAGCTGCCTGTGCTCAATTCCCGCACTGTGCATGCGGGCAGCCCACCCTAAGGGAAGAACTGCGGAAAAGGGCGAGCCTACAAATCCCAGGATCAAGGTTAAACATCAAATTAGACCTCCATGCCCGCCTGGGACTCTTCCCAGTGTACTTTCCTTTCTTTCTGTTCTGACGCCTTTTAAATAAACTTCTGCTCCTGCTCTGACCCTTGCGTCAGTCTCTTCTTTTGCCTTATGCTCCTCCGTGGAATTCTTTCTTTTGAGGAAGCAAGAACTGAAGTTGCTGCAAACCCATACGTGTTTGCTGCCGGTAACTTGGATACCTTCCACTGGTAACAAAAGGGGTTACATTTGCTTATGTATAAGAAACAAAATGAAACAGACAGGCATGAGGCTGCTACAGTAACTGAAGCAAGACATGATACTTGTCTCGACTGTAACAGCAGAGATAAAGATCTATGAGAGATCGATTTTGAGATAAAAATCAATAAGCCATTTCAATGGACTCCATAAGAAGATGAGGTAGAGAAAACAATGATGGCTGGCTGATACTGAGTCTTACCCCATTCCCTCCCCGAAAAAAAAGCAGAAAATAAAAAAGAAACTTAAATAAAAGACACATATGACCTACATTCTCACTGACACGGAGATAACAGCGCAAATTCAGATGACCTATAAGTAGAAAAATAATCAAATTCCAACACAGCTGCAAGTCTATGGATGCAGAAAGTCGGGGAGAATACGCTTAAGACTCCATAAAAAGTAGTACAGCCTGGAGAACTTACATGAAGCACAGGTAAAAGAAGTCTCAGAAAGAGGACACCCAGCACAACTGCCACAACAGAGAACCCACACAGCTCACAGCACCCACTCCAGGGAAGGGGTCTGAATGGGAGCAAGACTAGGACAGGCAGGCTCTGAAAAACATCAGTTCTGGGGGGAGTGGCAGCCCTTGAACCAATGGCAGTGAAAAAAAGAAGAAACTAAGAGAAAAACATTTAAGGATCCTATAGAAACAAAACGCAAACGAGATACACGAGCCCCTCCCTCCTCCCTCCCTCACCAGCATCACCTATAAAAGAAACTATGCAAGACAGCAGAACTGACAGAAGAGGACGCTCTGGCCACAAGCCTGGCCTATGCAATGAATGGAAATAGAATAGACTACATCCATTTTAAAAATCTATTTTAAAAAAACAAAGAAAAAGCAAATCATTTCAGCTGAGGAAAACCCATCACACTCCCTAAAATAAAAGCAAACACAAAACTGAAGAATATAACAAAACCCTTGAACTTGAATCAAATATTATCAGCTGGGTGCAGTGGCTCACACCAGTAATCCCAGCACTTTGAGAGGCTGGAGTGAGTGGATCACTTGAGCCCAGCCTGGCCTACATAGTAAGATCCCATCTCTATAAAAAAAATTCTTTAATGCCGGGTTGCACTTTGGGAGGCCAAGGCAGGTGGATCACAAGGTCAGGAGATCAAGACCATCCTGGCTAACACGGTAAAATCCCATCTCTACTAAAAATACAAAAAAAAAAAAAAAATTAGCCAGGTGTGGTGGTGGGCGCCTGTAGTCCCAGCTACTCGGGAGGCTGAGGCAGGAGAATGGCATGAACCTGGGAGGCAGAGCTTACAGTGAGCCGAGATTGCGCCACTGCACTAGGCCACAGAGCAAGACTCCATCTCAAAAAGAAAAAAGAAAAAAAAAATTTTTTAATGGCTGGGCATGGTGGCACATGCCTACAGTCCCAGCCACTAGGGAGGGCTGGGGTGAGAGGACTGATTGAGCCTTAGAGGTCAAGGCTGCAGTAAGCTGCAACTGAGTCATTGCATTCCAGCCTCGGCAACAGAGCAAGACCCTGTCTTCAAAAAACAAAAACAAATACTGTCAAATAAGTATTTGGGGTAAAAATGCGTGTGTGTGTGTGTGTGTGTGTGTGTGTGTGTGTGTCTGTGTGTGTGTGTGTGTGTGTGTATGTGTATATAAATATAAAAGGGTTGAAGTCAAGTTGACTGAAATAAAAGATAGCTAAGCAGGCCCAACGTAAACATAATTGGAGTCCCAGAAGAAAAGCAAAACAACGAAGCAGAATATTTAAAACTATAATCCCAGAAACTTTTGCAGAAATATAGACCTGAATCTGTTGAAAAGGCCAAGCCAGAACTGGAATGATCAATTCAAAACATATTACAGTAAAGCCATGAGTCTTAAAAAAAAAATCCTGGCCGGGCGCTGTGGCTCACGCCTACAATCCCAGTACTTTGGGAGGCTGAGGCAGGCAGATCACGAGGTCAGAAGATCAGGATCATCCTGGCCAACATGGTGAAACCCCGTGTCCACTAAAAATACAAAAATTAGCTGGGCGTGGTGGCACGTGCCTGTGATCCCAGCTACTCGGGAGGCTGAGGCAGGAGAATCGCTGAACCAGGGAGTAGGAGGTTGCAGTGAGCACAGATCGCGCCACTGCACTCCAGCCTGGCGACAGAGCGAGACTCCGTCTCAAAAAAAAAATGATAAAATAAAAAATATCCCTAAGGAGTCTCCAAAAAGATCAAATAATGTTGAAGGGAAGAAGAATTAGACTGGCATCAGATGCTTCAAAAATAACATACTAAGTTCCATTTCTGTTTATGCCTAACAAACCAATATACAAATATAGGTGAACTATAAGCTATACGTCCTGGAAATACAGGAAAAATAAAATAAAATAAACCAACTATGTGAGAGCTTTGAAAGCTGGAGGGAAATAAAAGAAAAAGAAAGAACAGGCAAATTTTAAAAGGAAGCAAAAGAATCTGGGCATCACCACTTTTTCTGTCTGTCCCCTAAAGGCAGCCACAGTCTCTGAGGGAGCTGGTGTGGCGCAGCAAGCACTCAAGCAGAAGCTCCGGCCTCCTTTCTCGCTGAAGAGACCAGGGGAAGGAGACTGGGCAGCTAGGGCTACTAGAGAAATGAGGTAAGGACTCAGGAAGTAAGAGAACCATAGGAGAAACCCCAAATTCTGAGTATAGAAGTTCAAGTCTCTGGCTGACCCCTGAACAACATGTGTTTGAGGCAAACAAATCAGCCTGCACCTGAGGCTTAAAGGGCGCATCTAAGCAACTGCCCACATAATGACAGTGTGCGTTTCATTTTAACGACAAGTTAACTGCTTGCTAAAACAAAAACCTCATGCTCTTTGCGACAATAGAAAAGAATCCAGAGTCTACATAGTATTTACAACGTGCAAAATACAACCTCAAATTATTTGCCATATGAAGAGCCAGAAAAATGTGACACACTATCAAAGAAAAACAAAAACAAAACAGATACCAACCTCAAAATTATCAGACAAGGTCATTAAGACAACTATTTATAACTACACTCATCGAGGTAATAGAAAATACACTCATAACCGAAGACAGGAAAACCAAAGGTGAGAAATCTCACATGAAACCGAAATAAAAAGAATGTATACAAAAACCAACTAGAAATGTTAGAAATCAAAAATATCTCAAATAAAGGTACTAAGTAGCAGAATGGATTTGATGGAGAAAAAAGTCAATGAACTTGAAAAAAGATCAATCTGAGGAGAAAAAAAAAGACTGAACAATAATGAAGAAGAAGGAGAGCACTATGGACAAATGCAAACGTTTAAAAGGTGTATTACACAGAAAGGATTGGGAAACTACCTGGCTTCCTGCCAGACTTATAAGTAAAGTTTGCTGCCACACAGACACAAGCATTTGTTTACTTATTTTCTATTACGCCTTTCACACCACAAGAGAGCTGAGCTGTTGAGCAGAGACCATATGGCCCGCAAAGCCTAAAATATTGACTATCTGTCCCTTTACAGAAAACTTTACCAATCCCTGGTATACAGCTAATTAGAAAAAGATATACAGCTAATCAGAAAAAATGAGGAGGAAACGGGGCAGAAAAGATAGATGAAGAAATAATGGCCAAAAACGAATCATATGTAGAAACACAGGCAACTACACATTCAACAAGTTCTGTAAAATCTAAACAAAATAAATTTTAAAAAACCATATCGAGACACTTAAATTTCTGAAAGTGAAAGATAATGAGAAAATCTTGACAAAAGCCAGAGAAGGACCCCTTACTCTTTTTTTTTTTTCCCCGCTCTTGTCGCCCAGGCTAAAGTGCAATGGCGTGGTCTTGGTTCACTGCAACCTCCGTCTCCCAGGTTCAAGTGATTCTCCTGTCTCAATCTCCCGAGTAGCTGGGACTATAGGCACACGCCAACATGACTGGCTAATTTTTGTATTTTTAATAGAGATAGGGTTTTACCATATTGATCAGGCTGGTCTCAAACTCCTAATCTCAGGTGATCCACCCCCCTCGGCCTCCCAAAGTGCTGGAATTACAGGTGTGAGCCACCGCATCCGGCCTGTTCCAACAATTAAAAAGGCAAGATGACAACGTATACAACATGACCAAGTAGGATTTATCCTAGGACTGCAAGGTTGCTTCAACACACAAAACCCCTCAATTACACCACATTAATATAATGAAGGACAAAAATCACATGATGATCAGTCATGCAGAAAAACATCTGACAACCATATCTAACTTCCTTTAATAATCAGAAACAAACAAACAACCTGCAACAGAAGGGAATGGGAACGTCCTCAGCCTAAAAAAGGACATTTACACAAACCACAGTTACCATCATACGAAATAATGAAATACTGAAAGCTTTTCTCCAAAGATGAGCAACAACACAAGGACGTCCATTCTCACCACTTCTATTCAACAGTGTGCTGGAGGTTCTGGCCAGAACAAATAACATGACATGACATGACATGACATGACATGACATGACATAACATGCGGCCAGACTAGAAATGAAGAAGTAAATCTATCTCTATTTACAAAATTACACAACATTGCATATAGAAAATGCTAAGGAACCCACAAATATATTTAGAACTAATAAACAAGTTAAGCAAATTTGCAGGGTATAAGATCAACATACAACAATCACCTGCATTTCTATACACTAACAGCTAACAACTTAAAAAAATTAAGAAAACAATTTCATTCACATGAAAATGAACAAAAAAGTTAGGAATAAATTTAACCTAGGGGGTAAAAAACTTGTACACTGAAAACTAGAAAGTGTCACTGAAGGAAATTTGAGACCTGAAAAAGAAACACATCCCATTTTCATGGACTGAAAGATTAAATATTATGAACACTTCCCTAATTAGAGATTCAATACAATCCTACCAAATCCCAGCTGCCTTTTTTGTTTTTGAATAAATTGACACACTGATCATAAAATTCATATAGAAATGCAAGGAACCCAATCAAGACAGCCAAACAATCTTAGCAAGGAACTCAAATCAAAATAGCCAAACAATCTTGAAAATGAAAAACAAGTTACAGGACTCGTACTTCCCAATTTCAAAACTTACTACAAATTTACTGTAATCAAAACTGTGTGGGCCGCGCACGGTGGCTCACACCTGTAATCCTAGCACTTTGGGAGGCCGAGGCAGGTGGATCACCTGAGGTCAGAAGTTTGAAACCAGCCTGGCCAACATGATAAAACCCCGTCTCTACCAAAAATGCAAAAATTAGCCAGGCATGGTGGTGCGTGCCTGTAATCCCAGCTACTCGGGAGGCAGAAGCAGGAGAATCACTTGAGCCCAGGAGGCAAAGGTTGAGATGAATCCCAGCTACTTGGGAGGCTGAGGCATAAGAATCACTTGAGCCTAGGAGGCTGAGGCTGCAGTGACCCAAGATCCAGCTACTGCACTCTAGCTTGGATGACAGAGCAAGACTTTGTCTCAAAAAAAAAAGAAGATACCAACCCTGTTGACAACTTGATACTGGACTTCCTGCCTCCAGAGTTGTGAGAAAGTCCTTTTCTGTTGCTCAAGCGACCCATTCTGTGGTCCTTTGTTACAGCAGCGCTTGCTGACTAACACAATCTGCTTCATCACATTCCCTCTTGCTTCCTAAGTCCACCTTGCATACCCAGCTTCAGGACCTGCAGGCTCCTTTTCCCCCTAGGCAGAGTTAGGTATTATAGCATGACCATTTTTGAACCACAGAAATTGAGGCTGGAGGATTTCAAATTACTAGGTGAGGTAAGAGGCAGAGAAAAGATGAAAATCAAACTTTATCTGGTTCTGCGATCTGTGAAAAATATCTCCACACATTTTCAATACTAGATACTTAAGGAAAAAAAGTAAGAGAGAAACTGCTTACTTTTCCACCCAGAGCACCGAAACGAGCTTTACGCCTCTCTTCTGAGCTTTGTCCCAAGTGCTCTGGTAGCCATCTTTGAAGATAACGTGAGTTACTTGTTTGTTAAAAGTTTTTGAAACCTGTAGACAAAATGCAGAAAACAAAATGTACATTACTGTTCATTCACAACTTAACTACAACTGATCAAAAAACCTCTACCCCAGCAATTCTGTTTCTCAACATCTGACAGAGAAACACTCAAAGGAATGCATAACGCTGCTTAAAACATATCTGTTCCAGTTACAACGGTGAATCATACACACAAGTTCACATCTACTCCCTCTAAAAACCCTCTGAAGTGTTACTGAAAGAATAGAGTTGGAGCCCTGCAAGGATAAAGAGGACAGAAGAGAAAATGTGGCCATGAGAAGGCACCACATTTTTAAAGATGGAAAGAGTCAGATAATAATGGACATTTCAGAAAAGCTTTCTACATCAAAAAAATAAAACCAAATGAAATTCAGAGGCAACAGAGAAAACAGAACACATATTTAACCAAAATTAAAAATACCTCATATCTTAAGATACTGTATCCATGGCTGGGCATGGTGGCTCATGCCTGTAATCCCAGCACTTTGGGAGGCCGAGGCAGGTGGATCACCTGAGGTCAGCAGTTTGAGACCAGCCTAGCCAACCTGGTGAAACCTTGTCTCTACTAAAAATACAAAAATTATCCGGGTGCAAGGTGGCGGACGCCTGTAATCTTAAATGCATAAATACAAAGTAAGAAGGTTGAAAATAAGTGCAATCATTCAAAAAGTTGGAAAAATTCAGCTAATTAAAACCAAAGGAAACTGGGTGTGGTGGTTCACACCTGTAATCCCAGAACTTTGGGAGGCCGAGGCAGGTGGATCATGAGGTCAGAAATTTAAGACTAGCCTGGCCAACATGGAAAAACCCTGTCTCTACTAAAAATACAAAAATTAGCCAAGCGTGGAGGTTCGTGCCTGTAGTCTCAGCAACTCGGGAGGCTGAGGCAGGAGAATCACTTCAACCCGGGAGGTGGCGGTTACAGTGAGCCAAGATTGTGCCATTGCACTCCAGCCTGGGTAACACAGCAAGACTCCATCTCCAAAAAAAAAAAAAAAAAAGATACTGTATTCACGCAACATGATCAGAAGATTATTTTTTAATAGGATCCTAAAGAGCTCTTGGAAATTAAGAAAAGATGACATAAGTAAAAAAATTTTCTACAGAAATATCAGACAATGAAGTTGAGTAAAGCTCACTGGTAGTAGAAGAGAAGAACCAGAAGACGGACAACAGGAGACAAAAGGCAAGAACATCAGAAGCTCAGACCAGGAGATCCAACAGCCAATCAACAGAAGTTAAAGAATACAGGAATACACAAAATGGAGAAAATATTATTAAAGAAATAATCAAAGAAAAGTTTCTCAAACTAAAGGATATGCATTCTAGATCAAAAGAATCCCCCACAAAGGCCCAGCACAAGAACGAAAACAGCACTACACCAAGCTTATCACAGAATTCCAGCATGGTTGGCGAAAGGGAAAAATATTAAAAGAGTGGGTAATCAAGGTGAAGAGGATAGAGACACATCACATGCAAACAATAAGTGACAACTGAATCAGTCTTATCAACAGCAGTCTGGAATTGAGAAAACAATGGGAAATACCTTCAAGGAAAAATAATATTTGTGCTAGCATTTTACACTCAGCTAAAATATTAGTCAAAGGTAACAGTATAATAAAGGCATGCTCAGACACTCATGGTGTCAAAAATTTTACCTTTTATGTATCCTTTCCAGAAGCAGAACTCATCTGCATAATTTTTATAGCATTCAATTATACTGAAGTAATATATGTACAATGCTTGGAAATATGAAGGTAAATACCAAAAGAAACAGATGATTTGAAAGTAGCTGTCTTTGAAAAATGGAAAAGGAAATGTACTGCAAAGCGTTGCTGGTTTCTCTTTCTTTTCATTGTGAATTTCATGGCACTGCCCGTTAGTCTTTTTAAACAATAAATATGTATTACTTTTATAACTCTCTCTCTCTCTCAATTTCCACACCCCCATCAAGTCCATGGGAGCTATCAAGGCAATTAAGAATTACCGGGCTGAGATTCTAGATTAAGACTGACACCTAGAGAGATGAGTCTAGCATTTGAGACCATCTTCCCACAAGGCTTTTATCAAATTTAGTACACACTAAACAGGACGAAAATTGAGAAGCCTCAAAGAGACAAGGGGGTCTGGTAAAACCCCTACACCTTGCGCTGAGACCCAAAGAGCTGCATCTAGATTAAGGGTGAATCAGAAGTTATAATGACCCTCACAGGCCTGTAGTCTGGTTTTAAATCATCTCAAATCCTGAAATTGGCTTAAGATAATCCCGGATTACGAGTACTACAAATATCCAAATCTTACGATGTTAACGACTATTGATCTGTATTCACTATTCTTTGAACTGTTTGCCAATTTTTGAAATAAAAGGTGAAACCAAAAAGTTCTAAAAGATCTAAGATCTTAATGCTACCCTCAAACCACCTTGTCAACTCACTTGTCTAACGGCTTTTTTCTTATTCACAGTAGTTCCTCCTCATCCCAAGTAAATGTTAGGCATGTGCAACATGCAGACTCCCTCGGGTTCCTACATTCCAGTGTATTACAGTGGGCATGTCTCCCCTCCTGCAGTGCAGGCCCTGCTCCTATATTCGGATTCCTCTCCACTGACCTCTTACTCAAGACAGGCATTAGGGAGGTCAAACAAGGCTCTTAGGGTATTCAGTAGCACCCACTCTTTGCCTGGTGGTGAGCGCCTCTTAAGTTTTATACCCACAGCAGCTCTCTTGCTCCACCCTAACCTAGCCCTGCCTTCGATTATCTTTTCTCCCATTTTTAATGGTTCTCTTTCACTCAGCCTATCAGTCAGCCCCTCCCAAATGCCAGACAAGGACATAAACAGGATTTGTTCATAACTAAACTCCCTATAAGAGCACATTAGTTCCCCCTTATCCACGGGGGTTAAGTTCTAAGACATGCCCGCGTCCCGCCCCCAACCCCTCCCAGTGGATGCCTGAATCCTGAGCTAGTACTGAACAGGTTATATACTGTTTTTTCCTATACATACATATACAATGAAGTTTTATTTACAAATTAGGCACAGATTAACAATAATGATAACAAAATAGGGTAATTGTAGCAATGTATTATAATAAAAATCACGCACTGTGGCTGTAACTGTTGCAGTTTGGTGTGACTGCAACAGTAGCATAGTTCTTCACAATTTCAAGATTAGAAGATTTGTTCTCACTGTCGATCTTAGCAACTTCAACACACAATTTTCTTCCTTTCCTTAAAGTGGAGAACTTTCACCTTTTCACTTAAAGCACCTTAAGGCTTCTCTGGCATATCTGAATTGCCAGCATCATCACTCTTGCACTTTACGGCTGAAAATTAGTTCTGCCAAATTTAACCTGCCTTGCTTGCTTTTGGTCACTTGCTTTTTGTTATTTATTTATTTATTTCTATATAGCTGCAAGTCATACTACTAAATGCTATAACCTTCACTGGCTTCCTTATAAGATAAAAACTTCTGGTGGATATGTCACCACGGTAACAGTTGCTTAAGTTACTTTTCAGGAACTTGGGGCAGCACCCGTACAGTTCAAACAGGCTGCAACCACCAACTCTTCAACCAGGCCTGTGTAAATGCCCAAGAAATGACCTTTTGACATCAGGCCAAAATCTTCACCATCGGATCCTACTAGTGCCTATTTTTTTGGTTTTTGGAGACAGAATCTTACTCCGTCGCCCAGGCTGGAGTGCAGTGGTGCAATCTCGGCTCAATGCAACCTCCGCCTCCCAGGTTCAAACGATTCTCCTGCCTCAGCCTCCCGAATCACTGAGACTACAGGTGTGTGCCACCACACCTGGCTTTTTTTTGTATTTTTAGTAGAGATGGGGTTTCACTATGTTGGCCAGGCTGGTCTCGAACTCCTGACCTCAGGTGATCCGCCTGCCTTGGCCTCCTAATAATGCCTGTTTTCTAAACATGCATTCCATGAATCCCAACTATGCTTGTGCAGATCATGTACTTCATTTTTCCCCACAGCTTAGATCACCCTACTTCCCTAACTGATAAATATCCCTAAGCCTTATCTTTGGGAATGAAGATGTGAGTACTCTTCTGCCTCCTAGCTGGGCTTCCCCGTGAATGAATCTTTTCCCTTTTGTAAAACCCGTCATCAAAGTGATCGGTTTAGTGTGCGTGGGCAAAAGATACCTATTTGGTATCAAGGACATTATTAAGTCAAATAGAGGCTACCTGAACACAAGCAGTACGTGATAGTAAATCTGATAACAGAGATGGCTATACTAAGAAACCTTGAATAAGGCAAATTGTTTGCTATCTCCATTTCCTCATAGCTCAATGATTCCTGCCCATTTCACTGAAAACTGCACTAAGTTCAGCAATGACCTTACAGTGTTCAAATCCAAAGTACATTTGCCCATCCTATTTTTCTTGAACTTTCTGTAGTTTTTAAAAATTCTATCTTTAAAATTACTCCATTCTAGTTCTGAAAGGCAATTAAAAAATTACTCCTGGCCGGGCTCGGTGGCTCATGCCTGTAATCCCAGCACTTTGGGAGGCCGAGGTGGGCGGATCACGAGATCAGGAGATTGAGACCATCCTGGCCAACATGGTGAAACCCCGTCTTTACTAAAAATACAAAAAAAAAAATTAGCTAGGCATGGTGGCATGTGCCTGTAGTCCCAGATACTTGGAAGGCTGAGGCAGGACAATCGCTTGAACCCAGAAGGCAGAGATTGCAGTGAGCTGAGATCGCGTCACTGCACTCCAGCCTAGCGACAGAGCGAGACTCCGTCTCAAAAAAAAAAAATTACTCCCTACTTTGACTTCCACACTTCCTTTCTCCTTCTCCTGGCATTCTTCTCTCCCTCTGTCACTGGGTCCCTGCTCCCATCGCCTGTCCTTGAATACTGAACAACGCTCCTCTGTCACCACTCTTCATCCTAACCATGCCTGACATGGGACGATGTCCACACCTGTGACTTCACATGACCCCTATGGTCCTGACCCCCTAGATCATCATCTCTAGCCTTGAACACTCCAAGCTCCAGACTTGTATATCCAAATATCTAACAGATATTTTTCAGTATGCCCAAATTTACAATTTTTCCCTTAGAAACCTGTTCCTTTTCCTGTATTCCTCACTTTGCTTAATAGCACTATGCATTCAAGTAACCAGTGTAAGAATCCAGCATTTCATCCTAGGTTCCTCCTCCTCACTCAATGCCCACAGGCATTGAGTTCTGAAAGTCCTACTGTTCTAAATTCTTCACACTTTGGCTCTTTTTTCTCCCACCGCTTACCCATTGCTTCGTCCAGATTCTAAGTAAAAACTCCCAAAATAAGAAAATGCAAATGTAACTTTTTACCAATCAGAAGACTGTCATATGAATCAACAGCAAAATAAGTGTCTTACCTTTGCCCCCATATCCACAAGCTGTGTTGTAAATGTCTTTGAATAATTTTCTGTTCCATTGGATGACCACACTTCAACATAGGCCACTACATCTGAAAACAAGATATGAACATGAAACATACATTTGAAATTCCAGCATCCCCTGCCCAATAGATTTTGTTCTATTTACATTTAAGAGTAAACCGAGGCCGGCACAGTGGCTCACGCCTGTAATCCCAGCACTGTGGGAGGCGGAAGTGGGTGGATCCACGAAGTCAGGGGTTTGAGACCAGCCGGGCCAACATGGTGAAAAACCATCTCTACTAAAAGATACAAAAAATTAGCCGAGCATGGTGGCGGGCACCTGTAATCCCAGCTACTGGGAGGCTGAGGCAGGAGAATCACTTGAACCCGGGAGGCAGAGGTTGCAGTGAGCCGAGATTGCGCCATTGCACTCCAGCCTGGGTGACAGGGCGAGACCCGTTTCAAAAAAAAAAAAAGAAAAAAGTAAAACAAAAATTTACTCTACTGGCCAGGTGTGGTGGCTCATGCTGTAATTGCAGCACTCTGGAAGGCCAAGGCAGTGGGATCACTTGGGCACAGAAGTTTGAGACCAGCCTGGGCAACATAGTGAAACCCTGTCTCTAAAAAAAATTTTGTTTTTAATTAGCCAGGAATGGTGGCGAGTGGCTGTAGTCCCAGCTACTGGGTGGGAAATGGGGGTGGGTAGGGTGGAGAAGCTGAGGTGGGAGAATCCCTAGAGCCCAGGAGGTAGAAGCTGAGTTATGATCGCACCATTGCACTCCAGCCTGGGCAGCAGAGAAAGACCTTGCCTCAAAAATAAGAAAAGTAAATGAAGTTTCTTCTACTGGCTGAACAAAGTAGCTCATGCCTGTAATCCCAGCATTTTGCAAGGTGGAGGCGGGAGGATTGCTTGAGGCTAGGAATTCAAGACCAGCCTAGGCAACATAGTGAGACCCTGGCTCTACAAAAAAATAATAAATTAAAAAATAAAAATAAAAATAACCGGGCGTGGTAGTGCCTGTAGTCCCAAGTTACTCAGGAGGCTGAAGCAGAATTGCTTGAGCTATTATGTGATCACATCACTGCGCTCCAGCCTGGGCAAGAGAGTAAGACTCTGTCTCATAAATAAATTTCTACTGAAAGCCTTTTCAAAATAGCTTCAGTGGAATTTATTAAAATTTTAAGCAAAGAACAACTGTACCCATACAATACATGAGAGTTTACATTTGTAAAATTAGTTGCTTTCCCCAAATTCTTACGCTTAATTTTTCCAGTGCAGAAACCTATTTTCTGTAAAGAGACAGATGGTAAATATTTCAGGCTTTGTGGCCAATACAGTATTTGCCACAACTACTCAACTTCACGGTTGTGGCACAAACAT